>NC_000008.11:28344951-28647981 GCF_000001405.40 Homo sapiens | reverse complement strand
TCGTCTCCCACCCCCAACCCACCCCCAACCCATCTAGTGCCCCCACCCCCAACCCATCTAGTGCCCCCCAAGGCTGCACCCCGACTTCTCCTTCTAATTGAGACCTCTTTTCCACACACTGAGGAGAGTCACCTGCAATTCCTGATTGATTCAAAGAAACATTCTAAGCAGAGCTGTCATTTATGCCTTCTCCGATCATTTCCTGCAGAGATAATTAAATACTTTAACATAAAAGAGGAAAACTCAAATTTCTTTCCCCGACAGCTTCTGCTGCCTAGAAAAAAGTGTTGGCAAGAATGTCAGAAAAGAACCATCAGCAAAAATGACAGCCTCACACAGAGGCTGAAAGCGAGACTCCCAACGTGTAGGGATCAGGCGTGAACTTTAGAGACAGACAGCCTGGGTTTGAATACCATCTGCTCCACTGGCTTGTCTCCTGAACTTAACATAACCTCTCTGATGCTCAGCTGCCATACCGTCAGATGACAACAGGAATCCCTGCCTCACACAGTTAATGAGAAAATGAGATTATGTATGAGTGATTATGCAGGCAATCATTCCACACAGTGGCTGTCACATAAAAAGAACTAAATTGAGGCCTGTAATCCCAACACTTTGGGAGGCCGAGGCAGGTGGATCACCTGAGGTCAGGAGTTCGAGACCAGCCTGGACAACATGGTGAAACCCCCGTCTCTACTAAATAAAAAAAATTCATTGGGCATGGTGGCGGGAACCTGTAATCCCAGCTACTAGGGAGGATGAGGGAGGACAATGGCTTGAACCCAGGAAGAGGAGGTTGTAGTGAGCCGAGATCGTGCCATTGCACTCCAGCCTGGACGACAAGAGCAAAACTCCGTCTCAAAAAAAAAAAAAAGAACTAAATTAATAGGAATGCTTATTAGCAACAGCCGTGGATTAGAATACAGTCTATTTCATGTTTGCATCTGCTTGAATGTAAGCCTCACAAGAACAGAGATTTTTCTCTGTTTTGTTCACTGAAGTAACCAAGTGCCTAGAACACTGGCCCACAGTAAGATTCACTTAGTGTATGCTGAATGAATGGGGCTTAAAGCTCAGTACTTGGCACTTAGCTGTAATTTGTTGAGAATTTACTATGGTGCTAGGCATGATGCATTTTGTATCTCATTTAGTCCTTACAACAATTATGTATTCATACTATTCATTTTACAAATGAGGAAATGGCAGCCCAGAGAAATTAACTGACTTCCCCAAGCTCACAGAGTTAAATAGCTAAGCTGGCATGTGAACCCAGGCTGTCAATATTCAGATATCTGTTGAATTAATGAACAACTAATGATTCAGATTTAACTTAACAATTTAGTGAATGTGCGTAGCAGTTACACTGGAAGTTACAAGGTAACCTGAAAGGTTACCCTGGCTGGCCAAGATGGACCATTTCTCATTCCAGGAGGGGAGTCCCCAGAGACTTTTAATACATCTGCTAGGGTAGTAATGAGAAAGGCATTCTCCACATTTCACAGAGAGTTGCTGGACAAAAAGCAGAAAAGTAAATATGCCAAGGTTATAAAGAGAATTAGTATGTCAACCATAAACAAAATCCAAGTCACCTGTTCTCACAAGGCTCTAACTTAACATAGCTATGGATTCGGAACCCACTGCAGCTGTGGAAAAAGTGTTATCAACGCAAGAAAGTAAAAGAAATGTGTTCCTTTTCACAAGACCTCAACTATTAACAGTTATTTATTTGTAATTGATTACTTCTGAGGAAAAAGAACTATATAAAATAATTACATTAATATAAGCTCTGGTGGCTGGAGTAGTTTTTAAGAATAACTTTAGGCTGGGCACAGTGGCTCAGGCCTATAATCCCAACACTTTGGGAAGCCGAGGCAGGTAGATCGCTTGAGCCCAGGAGTTCAAGACCAGAATGAGCAACATGGCAAAGCCCATCCCTACCAAATATACAAAAATTAGCCCAGTGTGGTGGCGCACGCCTGTGGTCCCAGCTACTCAGGAGTCTGAGGTGGGAGGATCTCCGGAGCCTGAGAAGTTGAGGCTGCAGTGAGCCATGATCACAACACCACACTCCAGCCTGGGTGACAGAGCAAGACCCTGTCTCGATCAATCAATCAATCAATCAATAAGAGAATAACTTTAAAAAAAAAAAAAAAGTCCAGGTGCAGTGGCTCATGCTTGTAATCCTAGCACTTCAGAAGGCCAAGGTGGGTAGATTGCTTGAGCCCAGGAGTTTGAGACCAGCCTGGGAAACATAGCAAGACCCCATCTCTTAAAAAAAGAAAAAAACAGAGAGAATAACTTTAGAAAGGCTTATTTTATGGTAAGACTACAAGTGGTTATAATAAAAAATAAAGGTTTATTGTAGAAAAGTTTAAAACACAGATAAGCAAAAAAAATTTAATTTCATTACCAGCATACATTCTTCGTGACCATCCTCCTAGTCGTTGTTGTACATTTGTCTTTTACAAAAATAGGATGACACTGTACATTATAGCTCAGGTTTTCCAATTAATAAATCATAAATATCTGTGTCAGTATATATATTATTTTTAACAGAGGAATTCCATTGTACTTATGTGTTAAATCCCCATGGTTGAAAATTTGTTTCTAATTCTCCATTATAAACAAGGCTGAGATGAACATGTTAGACCTAAATGTTTTTGCACGAGTTTTAATTATTTCCATAAGATAGATTTCCAGAAGTAGACTTGCTGGGTCAAAGGGTTGCATTTGGAATTTTTAAATTAAAGCACAAACATCTGTTTTAAATATATTTTAAACTTGTCTTTCATTTCATGTTTGTTTCTTTTTTAGTGTCAAGTACCATGACAAATACAGTGCAGGCCCCCAGGAGAGACTGGTTGAGCAGTTCCTTCTATTATTCCCTTTCTCACTCCCCTTTTCAGAAGAAACAATGTCCCCCAAATTAAGAAGAAAAGAAAGGAGGAGAAAAGATGAAAACAATATGATAATGTTAACCCAAAATGAGAAAGACTAGTTGGCCTGACCAATAGCTAGGGAAATAAAACTCCATCACCAGAGGCGTATACAGAACATTGCATCAGGCACCATGGTAAGATCTAAGAGATGTGAAATCCATAGGTCCAGTACTAGTCCTTGAGAAGCTTAAAATTCATTTCAAAAGCAAAATTATAATAAATGAAAAGATTCAGAAGCATACAACAAGCCCACGTACATACAGTAGGAGAGTAGGTAGTTCTATTAACTGAAATAATCAGTTGAAGCAAGGAATCATAACGAAAAGATACATTGAACATTTTAATTTACTTTTAAATTTTATTTTTTAGAGACAGGGTCTTGCTCTGTCCATCATAGCTCACTGCAGCCTTGCACTCCTGGGCTTAAGCAATCCTCCCACCTCGAGCTTCCAAAGTGCTGAGATTATAGGCGTGAACCACTGTGCCTGGCTAATTTTCAAAATTTCTGTAGAGATGGGGTCTCACTCTCTTGACCAGGCTGGTCTCAAACTCCTGGCCTCTAGTGATCCTCTTGTCTTGGCCTCCCAAAGTGCTGGGATTACAGGTGTGAGCCACCGCACTGGGCCAAACATTTTATTTTGAATTAACAGTTGAGACTGTACTCCAGAGATTCTATGTCCAAGCATACACCCAGAGTAATGTTCATAGCAGCACTGATTCACTAGCAAAAAAGAAAAAAAGAAAAACTTGAAACGTCCTAAATGTCCAATAGTGAAACTGATAATTGTGATCTCTTTATATAATAGAGTACTACCCTAAATAAATGAATCACATCCATCTTTAATGAATCAATCTCAAAAACATAATATTGAGCAAAAAAAAGGCTCATAAGTATGCAAATAGTATAATTTCATTCATCTAAAAGTCAAGCTAAAAAAAAAAATCAAACTGTAAAAATGTTTTAAAAACATATTGCTTAGGCTGGGCACAATGACTCATGCCCATAATCCCAGCATTTTGGGAAGCCGAGGCAGAGGACCACTTTATCCCAGGAGTTTGAGACCAGCCTGGGCAACAGAGTGAGACCCTATCTCTACAAAAATTTAAAAATTAGCTAGGCGTGGTGGTGCCCACCTGTGGTCCCAGCTACTCAGGAGGCTCAGGGGGGAGGTTCACTTAAGCCGGAGAGGTTGAACCTACAGTGAGCTGTGATTGTGACACTGTACTCCAGCTTGGGTGACAAGGCAAGACCCTGTATCATAAAACAAAAACAAAACCTATATTGTTAAGAAATACAAATGCATGTAATAAAAGAAAGCAGGAGAGGCCAGGCGCGGTGGCTCACGCCTGTAATACCAGCACTTTGGGAGGCTGAGGCTGGTGGATCACGAGGTCAGGAGATCGAGACCATCCTGGCTAACACGGTGAAACCCCATCTCTACTAAAAATACAAAAAAAAAATTAGCCGGGTGTGGTAGCGGGCGCCTGTAGTCCCAGCTACTCGGGAGGCTGAGGCAGGAGAATGGCGTAAACCCGGGAGGCAGAGCTTGCAGTGAGCCAAGATAGCACCACTGCAGTCCGGCCTGGGCGAAAGAGCGAGACTCTGTCTCAAAAAAGAAAAAAAGAAAAAAAAAGAAAGCAGGAGAATGATAGGTTCAAAATTCAGGACGGTGGTTACTTCTTAGGGGGAACAAAGGGAGTAGAATGGGCCAATGGGGGCCTCTAAGACAAGCCATTATGTTCTTAAAATGGTTGATGAGTACACAGGATTCACCGTGGTGTTCTTTTTTTTGTTTTTTGAGATGGAGTCTTGCTCTGTCACCCAGGCTGGAGTGAAGTGGCTCAATCTAGGCTCACTGCAACCTCCACGTCCCAGGTTCAAGCGATTCTTCTGCCTCAGCCTCTTGAGTAGCTGGAATTACAGGCACCCACCACCACACCTGGCTAATTTTTGTCTTTTTAGTAGAGATGGGGTTTCACCATGTTGGCCAGGATGGTCTCCAACTCCTGCCCTCAGGTGATCCATCTGCCTCGGTCTCCCAAAGTGCTGGGATTACAGGCGTGAACCAGCGCGCCTGGCCCACCGTTGTTATTATTTCTGTACCCTACACCTGTATTGCACATTTTCTTTTGCATCTACTCAACATTTATATAAAAGTCATTTTAAAAGTAGTTTCTACATGCTAAATTTAAAATTAAAATGTCTATAACTATATATCCCAAAAATCAATTTTCTGCATGTCAATTTTTAAAATAAAATTTCAAGGTAAAAAAAAAGTTAACAGTAAAAAATAACACCTGAAGAACACTTACTTGCAATCTGTGGCCAAGGAATTTCCTTTTGGAATAGGTCAATTCATTGGAGTTTCATAATATATTGGTCAATCGGTTCCACTTTTGGTTTCCTTAAAACATTTCTTTTGTAATGCTAGGGTCTTGCTCTGTCTCCCCGACTGGAGTACACTGGCACAATCAGAGCTCACTGCAGCCTCGAACTCCTGGACTCATGCAATCCTCCCACCTCAGCCTCCCAAAGTGCTGGGATTACAGGTATGAGCTACCACACCTAGCCCTAATTTTTTTTTTTTTTTTTTTTTGAGACAGTGTTTCGCTCTGTCACCCAGGCTAGAGTGTAGTGGTGCAATCTTGGCTCACTGCAGCCTTTACCTCCTGGGCCCAAGTGATTGTCCTGCCTCAGTTTCCCAAGTGGCTGGGACCACAGGTGCATGTCCCCATGCCCTGCTAATTTTGTATTTTTTTTAATAGAGATGGGGTTTCACCATGTTGCCCAGGCTGGTCTCGAACTCCTGGACTCAAGCAATCTGCCTGCCTAGGCTTCTCAAAGTGTTAGAATTTACAGGCATGAACCACTGTGCCTGGCCTAAATTTTTAATTAAAAATTAAAAAAGGCCGGGCACGGTGGCTCACGCCTGTAATCCCAGCACTTTGGGAGGCTGAGGCGGGCGGATCACGAGGTCAGGAGATCGAGACCATCCTGGCTAACACAGTGAAATCCCATCTCTACTAAAAATAGAAAAAATTAGCTGGGCGTGGTGTTGGGCACCTGTAGTCCCAGCTACTTGGGAGGCTGAGGCAGGAGAATGGCATGAACCCGGGAGGCAGAGCTTGCAGTGAGCCAAGATCGCTCCACTGCACTCCAGCCTGGGTGACAGAGCGAGACTCCGTCTCAAGAAAAACAAATAAATAAATTAAATTAAATCAAATTTAAATTTAATTTAAAATAAAGTTATGGCCAGGCGCCATGGCTCACACCTGTAATCCCAGTACTTTGGGAGGCCACGCGGCGGAGGGGGTCGGGGAGGGGGTGGATCACTTGAGGTCAGGAGTTTGAGACCAGCCTGACCAACATGGTGAAACCCCATCTCTACTAAAAATACAAAAATTAGGCGTGGTGGCACACGCCTGTAATCCCAGCTACTCCGGAGGCTGAGGCCGGAGAATCGCTTTAGCTCGGGAGGCGGAGGTTGAAGTGAGCTGAGATTATGCCACTGCACTCCAGCCTGGAGGAAAGAGTGAGACTCCGTTTAAAAAAAAATAAATTAAATACTTTTCCCCAATATTTGCTTTTTAATCCATACCCAATTCTAAAATAATTATTTTTCAAGTGTTACTCTTGCTCGGTCTTTTCCAAACCTTAACTTATAGAAACAGCTTTCAAGCTCATGTTTCATAATGGACTGCTCCATTGCCCCTGTGAAGTTAACAGTGAGTCCTGTAAACTTCACAGAAGCAATAGGGAACGGTTAATACAGAGTTAAACCAGTCTGTTACTTCTTTTACATAACATAAGCATTCCCCAGATCATCAAATCCAGATGGCATCTACTCAGTCATTATCCTTCTGAGGTGAAACTGTAGGAGAACTGAATACAATGTGTAATATCTGGCTCTTTGTGAGCAATGTGTTAGGTATTAACCCGACCCGTGGAGCACAGAACCTTAGAGGATACACAGGCGTCTACAGACCTGGGAGTGATTTTCCTCCTGAAAATCTATTGAGATGTACAGGATCCAAAAGTACATTTTAAAAAGTAAAACGTGAGGCTATAAGCAATAAGATTCCTTTGTATTAATAGAAAAAAAAAATCATACTACACTAGTCTGTTAAAAGTGCTAATAACAGCTGGGCGTAGTGGCTCACGCCTATAATCCCAGCACTTTGGGAGACTGAGACAGGAGGATCACGTGAGCCCAGGAGTTTGAGATCAGCCTGGGTAACATATTGAGACCCCATCTCCACAAAAATATAAAAATTAGCCGGGTGTAGTGGCACATGCCTGTGGTCCCATCTACTTGGGAGGCTGAGGCAGGAGAACTGCTTGAGCCCAGGAGGTCGAAGCTGCAGTGAGCTATGATCGCACCACTCCACTCCAGCCTAGGCAACAAAGCAAGACCTTGTCTCAAAAAAATAATTAAGTTAAAAATACATAAAAGTGCTAATAAAAGTGTTAATACCATGGTGAAGCCCTGGACTGAAAGTCGGGGGCTCTGAGTTTGAGTTTATGGATCTAATTATGCAACCATAAATAGCTCTGTGGTTTGTGCAAGTTATGGAGACCCTCTGAGCCTCCCCTTCCTAAGCTGTCAAATGAAGTGAATTAGTGCTAGATTTTACTAAGATCTTTTCAATTCTCAAACTTTACCGTTTGTTAAGGGGGAACCATAAGCACATAAATAAAGAGAAAGAATAGATATTATATTTTTAGATTTTTCCAGTTTATGGAATCAATCTAAATTCTAAAATCTAGAAGAGAATTGGAAAACCACTAATACAATTGCATCTCATTTTATGGTACAAGTCAACAAATACATATTGAGTTATACTTTGTAATATTGGGGATATTTCACAAAATAAAGCAAATATCTGCACTCATGAACCTTAGAGTCTGCAGAGGGGTATGGATTTTTTTTTCTTCTTTTTTTGAGACAGAGTCTTACTGTGTTGCTCAGGCTGGAGTGCAGTGGTATAATCTCAGCTCACTGCAACCTCTGCCTCCCAGGTTCAAGTGATTCTCGTGCTTCAGCCTCCCAAGTAGCTGGGATTACAAGCATGCACCACCACACTTGGCTAATTGTATTTTTAGTAGAGACAGGGTTTTGCCATGTTGGCTGGGCTGGTCTAGAACTCCTGACCTCAAGTGATCTGCCCACCTTGGCCTCCCAAAGTGCTGGGATTACAGGCATGAGCCACTGCGCCCATGGGTGATTTAACAAGCAATTACAAGAAAGGGTGATAAGTGCTAAGATGGAAAAAGTAGAATGTTCTAACAGGAAGAGTATATACATACTTCAGTATGAAAGGCTGTCCTCGGTGAAGTTATGTCTAACTTGCAACCCAAAAAGCAGCTGTCAGGAGGGACTCAGGAGAGGAACCGTCCAGGTGGAGGGAGTGGCTCAACTGGCATCAGAGGCCAAACCGCAGGGACCAAGAGGGGAAGTATAAAGAGGTAGGCAGGCAGGGGCAGGCAGGAGCCGCAGCAGGCAGCACCTTTCAGAAAACGTAACACGGAGTTTTGCTTCAGCTTCCTGCTAATGGGTGCTTTGTATATCGAAGGGATGGGACCAGATTTACATTTTCAAAAGATGGTCCCAGCTGTGACGGGAAAAGCGGACTGCAGAGCAGCAGAACCTGAGGCAGGAAACCCCCAGGAGGTCGGACAGGGATGGAGACAAAGGACAGTGACCTGAATTAGATTATTGGCAGCAGGGACGCAGAGAGATTGAGAACCCGGGACTGGACTTGGTGACTAAGCCGATGTTGGGGAAGAGGAGTCAAAAATGATTCCTGGCCAGGCGCGGTGGCTCACGCCTGTAATCCCAGCACTTTGGGAGGCCGAGGCAGGCGAATCACAAGGTCAGGAGTTCAAGACGGGCCAGACCAACATGGTGAAAACCTGTCTCTACTAAAAATACAAAAATTAGCCAGGTGTGGTGGTGGGCGCCTGTAGTCCCTGCTACTTGGGAGGCTGAGGCAGGAGAATTGCGTGAACCTGGGAGTTGGAGGTTGTGGTGAGCCAAGAACACACCATTGCACTGCAGCCTGGGTGACACAGTGAGGCTCCATCTCAAAAAAAAAAAAAAAAATTATTCCTAGCCAGGCTCAGTGGCTCACACCTGTAATCCCAGTATTTTGGGACGTTGAGGTGGGCGGATCACCTGACGTCAGGAGTTCAAGACCAACTTGGCAAACATAGTGAGACCCCGTCTGTACTAAAAATACAAAATTAGCCAGCCATGGTGGCACATGCCTGTAATCTCAGCTACTCAGGAGGCTGAGGCAGAAGAATCGCTCGAACCCGGGAGGCAGAGACTGCAGTGAGCTGAGATTGCACCACTGCACTCTAGCCTGGGTGATAAGAGCAAAACTCCGTCTCAAAAAACAAAACAAAACAAAAGAATCCTAGACTTCCAGCTTAAGAAATTGAGTAGAAGATTGTCTTGTGTTTGCTAAAAGGACTGGGTAAAAGGACTGGGTCTCAGCTTGGAGATGCTGGCAGGCATTTTGCCATCACTTGGAAAGAGGCTGCCTGAGAGTGGAGCGAACAGAGGAAAACAAACCAAGAGACAGGCAGAGGGAGGCTGAGCATGACGACCTTACTTTATGTCTCTGGGCCAGATATCACAGATCTACCTCAGGATTTTCAGGTGCATGAAATAATGCATTTCCTTTGTCATAGGGTTCGTTGGTAGTGGTGTTTTAGTTGGTTGAGTTTATGGAGTTAATTGTGCAACCATAAATAGCTCCATAAACTCAACTATCCCTTTGCTTGGCTGTTACAACCAACCAAGCAAAACACCACTACCAACAAAACCATGAGTTTGGGTTCTGTCACTTGGAACCAAAAGAATTCCAAGAAGATGGGTACAGGGAGAGTAGGGGGCCCAGGGCAGAAATGCCATGGAGGAAGGGATCCAGGAAGATAAGACCAAGAACAAATAGCACGAGGAAAAGGAGGAAAGAAAGTGGGAGAGGACAGGGCCAGCAGAAGAGAATTTCTCAAAGACACGTGCGTCAGGAAAGCCAAATGCTTTCAGGAGATAAGTTAGATAAGGACTAGGACACATACATTGGGTTTAGCAGCAGGGAATTGGTTGTGACTTTTGCAAGGATAGTTTCATTGCAGCCAGGGGAATAGAAGCCAGAGTGAAGGCAGCTGGGGAGCCGAGGAGGAAGGAGGTCCCTGGATAGAAATAATTCTAAGCCAAGAAGCTGGGCTGTGAAGAGGAGGGTTGCTGGAGGAAGACGGATTTTGATGGATGAGATGGGACAAGGTGCAAAGGCTGAGAAGGATGCAGGAGAGGTGATCATCAATAAGAGAGATCCTAGAGAAGGGAGGAAGGAGAAGGCCTAGAGCACAGGCCAATCCACAGATTGATTGTTTTTTTTTTCAGACATGGGGTCTTGCTATGTTGCCTAGTCTGGTCTCAAACTCCTGGGCTCAAGTGATCCTCCCACCTCAGCCTCCTGAGTAGCTGGGATTATAGACACAGGCCACTATCATACTGACTCAATCGACAGATTTAAAGGTTGGCCCTAATCAAAGGAGTGATACTTCTTCAGCTGGAATGGGATAGAAAGAGAGAAAAACTTACTCAGATGCACCTGGGCAGCAGCAGGAACTGTCTGACAGTCTCTCCTGTCTCCATAAAGTAGCGGGCTGGCTCTTTGCTGGGAGTGATGGGAGCCTGGGAGGTTTAAGGGGAATGCGGTGTTTGAAAATCTGCTGCGGAGAACAGGAGAGAGAGAAAGCTGGCTAGAAAATCGACTAAGCTAGGAGAGTCCAGTTGATTAATAGAAACCGTTCCCATTTTACCAGAACCTGTTCAGAAAGAATGGAATCTAGAAGTTTGATTACAATAAAACGACTGATTTATAAAAGGTTTCTTTTATAAAGGAATGTTATTACTGGGATATTTTTCATTAATGACCTGAAAGAGGAACTTTTAGGTTGGCTGATATAACACTATGTTTCCTTCCTCCCTTCCCCGCTCCCTCCCTCTCCCCGCCCCACCCCCTCCACCCGCTTCTTTCTTTCTTTTTCTGAGACAGTCTCACTCTGTTGCCCAGGCTAGAGTGCAATGGCGGGATCTCAGCTTACTGCAACCTCTGCCTCCTGGGTTCAAGCCGGGATTACAGGCACATGCCACCATGCCCAGCTAATTTTTGTATTTTTAGTAGAGACAGGGTTTCACCATGTTGGCCAGGCTGGTCTCGAATTCCTGACCTCAGGTGATCCACCTGTCTCAGCCTCCCAAAGTGCTGGGGTTACAGGCGTAAGCCACCACGCGCCAACCTGCTATAACACTAAGTTTTCCGCAGAGTAAACGGGCAAGTTCATGGAGATCTGCCACCCTAGGAACTCACAACAGGCCCAAAGTGGCCGAAAGGATTCCTAGGCTAGAGTGAGAGCATGAAAAAACCAACTCAAACTGTGCTTGTAAGATAAAGGTCTTGAGAGCTCAGCAATCACCCAGTTGAGATCAAAGTTACAGACAACAATTCTCTTAAGGGCAGATATTGCCCTTGGAGAGAGCAGATACCAAGAGGCTATTAGGTAAGATCCTTCCAGCCCCAATCCTTCCTTGTCCTGTGACAAGATTCCGTTGAGGGTGATAAGAGCTCATGTGAGATATCTGTACTTGAAAGATCTTGTCTCCTGGCGAGTTAGACATTTGTTTTTTTTTTTTTTTGAGATGGAGTCTTGGTCTGTCACCCAGGCTGGAGTGCAGTCGCGCGATCTCGGCTCACTGCAACCTCCGCCTCCTGGGTTCAGGCAATTCTCCTGCCTCAGCCACCCAAGCAGCTGGGACTACAGGTGCGCACCACCACACCCAGCTAATTTTTTTGTATTTTAGTAGAGACAGGGTTTCACCGTGTTGCCCAGGGTGGTCTTGAACTCCTGACCTCATGTGATCTACCCGCCTCAGCCTCCCAAAGTGTGAGGATTACAGGTGTGAGCCACTGTGCTGGACCAACATTTGCATTTTTCAAATTCTATCCTCGGCCGGGGGCAGTGACTCATGCCTGTAATGCCAGCACTTTGAGAGACTAAGGCAGGCGAATTGCTTGAGCTCAGGAGTTCAAAACCAGCCTGGCCAACATGGCAAACCCCATCTCTATTAAAAAAGAAAAGAAAATTCTATCCTTATATTTTATCATCAACAAAGTTGTTGGACAATATTGTCTCAGCCCCTCCTGAAATGTCTTCTCTGAATTACAATGTAGCCTTGTGCTGGAAGTCCTTGGAGAGGTATTACATGAATATTCTGTTTGAATAGTGTGTGTGTGTGTGTGTGTGTGTGTGTGGAGTTGTGGGGGGGTCTCACTATGTTGCCCAGCCTGGAGTGCAGTGGTGCGATCTCAGCTCACTGCAAGCTCCACCTCCCAGGTTCACACCATTCTCCTGCCTCAGCCTCCTAAGTAGCTGGGACTACAGGCACCCGCCACTATGCCTGGCTAATTTTTTTTTTTTTTTGTATTTTTTAGTAGACACAGGGTTTCACTGCATTAGCCAGGATGATCTTGATCTCCTGACCTCATGATCCGCCCGCCTCGGCCTCCCAGAGTGCTGGGATTACAGGTGTGAGCCACTGCGCTCGGCCAATTTTTTTTTTTTTTTTTTTTTTTTTAAGAGACCAGTCTTGCTATGTTGCCCAGGCTGGTCTCAAACTCCTGGGCTCAGGTGATCCTCATGCCTCAGCCTCCTGAGTAGCTGGGACTACAAGTGTGTGCCACCATTCCTTGCTTAGTGTTTTCTGTCTTTTATAGTTAAGGGTATTTCCTACTGAATTATTCAATATCCTTCACATAAAGGAAAAGAAAAAAGCCCAGGCAGGAACGTTGCCACCCTAGGCCTTCCTTGCTTCAGTTTCCATTCATCAACATCATCTTTTATTGAGGAATTTCTAGTTCTTGAGCTAGAAAGTTCATTCCTCCCGGTCCTTCAGAGGACTCATCCTCATTTACAGCCTTCACACACTCCAGGTTACCATGGTCCAGGAGCCGTGTGGGGTGCTAAGTTTACAACGTCATCGCTAACAGGAAAGAATCCACAGACAGTGGACATCGCCCATGCAGAGTGACAGGTGGTAGGATAGGAGGTAGAGTGTGGCAAAAAAGCAGATGTCAGCCGGGTGCAGTGGCTCACCCCTGTAATCTCAGCACTATGGGAGGCCGAAGCGAGCGGATCACTTGAGGTCAGGAGTTCAAGACCAGCCTGGCCAACATGGCAAAACCCGTCTCTACTAAAAATACAGAAAATTAGCTGGGTGTGGTGGTGCACGCCTGTAATCCCAGCTACTCCAGAGGCTGAGGCAGGATAATCACTTGAACCCGGGGGTGGAGGTTGCAATGAGCTGAGATTCCGCCACTGCACTCCAGCCTGGGCAACACAGTGAGACTCCATCTCAAAAAAAAAAAAAAAAGCAGATGTGGTCATCTCTTCCCTCTTCCAGGATGGGCAGAAAGAGCCAGGAAGGGCCTCCCGGAAGAGGAGGTGGCACTTCAGCAGAATCTTGAAGGCTGAGGATTCCGCCAGGTTGGGAAGGTGTGGAGGGGTGGGAAACGGAGGGACCCGCAGAGGATAAAACAGCATGAAAGGTGTAACAGACTTCTTCCTGGGTGCTGCGAGCTGCACGGCCTGAGTAGAGCCGGGGGTAGGGAGCGATCAGGAGGGGAGTCCTGACAAGGAAGTGACAGGGGCCAGGCAGACACAGCATGGCTTAAGAACAATGAAGAACTTTGGACTCTATCCTGGCCCAGATGTGAACCGATCATTTCTCCTCCTTGATTTAGCTTAGATGAGAATTTTAAAAGAGAATTTTTGCTAAAACACAAAGGGAAAAGCAAACAAATACGAAAGCATAAAAACAAAAAGCTCAGAGATCCCAGATTTCTCAGCCTGCTCCACTAAGTTCTGGCCCCAGATGGGCTTGGCCCCAGCCCTGTTTCTCTCCTCAACCCGGCCCATGTGGATGCTGGGACTGTCCAGCACAGGCCTTGTCCATGGGTCTCAACAAGGGGGCAGATGGGATTTCCACTCCTACCAGATTCCGTGTCTGAAAAGTCACCCCTGGGCGATCTTGCTAACACAGAGGTCGGCTGAGTTTCTGTTCTGTAGCGGCCCCTGGAGGTCTTGTTCTAAATCAGGGATCAGCGAACGTTTTCTGTCAAGGGCCACATAGTAAACATGTAGGGCTTTGCAGGTCATTCGTATCTCCATCACAGCCACTGAAGACTAATGCAGTGCTGATGGCTTTAGATGGCATGTAACATCTTTAGACAGCATGTAAACAAAAGGGCGTGAATGTGTTCCAAGGAAACCTTATAAACACTGAAATTTAAATTTATATTATTTTCATGTCATAAAATATTATTATTATTATTTTTGAAACAGAGTCTCGCTCTGTCACCCAGGCTGGACTGCAGTGGGGCAATCTCAACTCACTGAAACCTCCGCCTCCTGGGTTCACGTGATTCTCGTGCTTCAGCTTGCCAAGTAGCTGGGACTACAGGCGCCCAACACCACACCCGGCTAATTTTTGTATTTTTAGTAGAGATGGCCAGGCTGGTCTCAAACTCCTGGTCTCAAGTGATCTGCCCACCTCAGCCTCCCAAAGTGAGATTACAGGAGTGAGCCACCACACCTGGCCTGATTTATTTTTTTATTTTTATTATTATTTTTGCAGACAGGGTCTCATTCTGATGCCTAGGCTGGAGTGCAGTGGTGCAGTCATGGCTCACTGCAGCCTCAACCTCGCAGCCTCCAGTGATCCTCCCGCCTCAGCCTCCTGAGTAGCTGTGAATACAGGCGTGCGCCAACACACCTGCCTAATTTTTAAAATTTTGTAGAGATGGGGTCTTGCTATGTTACCCAGGCTGGTCTTGAAATCCTGGCCTCAAGTGATCCTCCTGCCTCAGCCTCTCAAAGCACTGGGATTACAAGTGTGAGCCACAACACTCGGCCTCTATTTTAATTTTTTTCCCAACCATTTAAAAATTTACACACCATTCTTAGCTCATGGACTACGAAAACAGACAATGGGCCAGATTTAATATTTTTATTATTTATTAATTTTAAACAAATGATACTAATATATACCATCTGCCGAGCATCTTCTAATTGCCAGGTAGTATGTACCACAGAGAGTTGCTATTAAGAATAAATGTGGCTGGGCATAGTGGCTCACGCCTGTAATCACAGCACTTTGGGAGGCCGAGGCAGGCAGATCACCTGAGGTCAGGAGTTCGAGACCAGCCTGGCCAACATGGTGAAACCCCGTCTCTACTAAAAAATACAAAAATTAGCTGGGTGTGGTGGCGTGCCTGTAAATCCCTGCTATTTCGAAGGCTGAGGCAGGAGAATCGCTTCAACCCAGGAGACAGAGGTTGTGGTGAGCCGAGATCGTACCACTCTACTCTAGCCTGGGCAACACAGCAAGACTCCTCTCAAAAAAAAAAAAAAAAAAGAATAAATGAGATAATGCAGTTAAAACACTTAGCAGAGGGCCTGCACTAAGGTCTCAATCATTGTTAGCACTCATTATTATTACTATTATTATTGTTTATATACCTTAACTTTAATTGGCAAAACAACCAAGAAATACGAGATAACTCTTTTGTTTTTTGAAATGAAGTTTCACTCTTGTTGCCCAGGCTGGAGTGCAATGGCATGAACTCAGCTCACTGCAACCTCTGTCTCCTGGGTTTAAGCGATTCTCCTGCCTCAGCCTTCCAAGTAGCTGGGATTACAGGTGCCCAGCTAATTTTTGTATTTTTAGTAGAGATGGGGTTTCACCATGTTGGTCAGGCTGGTCTTGAACTCCTGACCTCAGGTGATCCACCTGCCTCAGCCTCCCAAAGTGCTGGGATTACAGGCGTGAGCCACCACGCCTGGCCCAAGATAAATTTTTTTTTTTGGTGGGTGGTGGCGGGATGGAGTCTCACTCTGTCGCCAGGCCGGAGTGCAGCGCAGTGGCTCAATCTTGGTTCACTGCAACCTCCGCCTCCCAGGTTCAAGTGATTCTCTTGCCTCAGCCTCCCAAGTAGCTAGGACTACAGGCGTGCACCACCACACCCAGCTAATTTTTGTATTTTTAGTAGAGACGGGGTTTCACCATGTTGGCCAGGATGGTCTCGATCTCTTGACTTTGTGATCCACCCAACTCGGCCTCCCAAAGTGCTGGGATTACAGGCATGAGCCACTGTGCCCGGCCCAAGATAACTCTTAATATCCCATTGAGGATCAGAAAATTAAGTACTTTGTGAAACTAGCAACTAGCAGACCTAGGATTTGAACTTGATATACCTGACTTCAAAGTCCATGCCTTTTCCATGGCATCATCCTACCTCCTGTTTAGTTTATCTGAAGCATATTCCCTGGATGGTTGCTAATCCCTGGTCCGCCCATCAGCAGCAGGCATTATCATCCCCAGAGCCTGCTATCTTGTGTCAGGATTAGCACAGGACTTACTCTATTCTTGTTTTAACACTTCAACGCCTGTTGGACCACTTAGCTCTTATTTCATGCCAAGGGATCCTCTGCCCTGTAGCACAGAGAAAATAACTGAGCTCAGAACAATGAGAACTTTTCCAGTCTTCTCACTTCTCCAGGTTCTTCTGATGACTCATCGCCAGGTAACTTCCTGAAAGTGACTCTCCCAGAATCCTAGCACACCAGGATTCTAACAGTAAACCACTTTACACATCAGTCATAACTCCAGATAGCTTCCACCAAAGGTAAGAAGAGTGCCGTGGTATAAAAACCATCAGAGCTGTCCATAAAATGTTACTGATGGTACTGTTCACAGCTTCAAAATTATATTCAAGGGAGGCCACGTGATAATCCTTCCTTGATTTAGCTCCAGAAAAAAAAAAAAAGTCCTCTCTAAAGTTGAATCTGTGTACTTTCTCTTACTAGAATAAGAAAATGATGTCACCCGACCTGTTTCCTTTTCTGTCGTGGCTTCTAAGAAACTTAAAGCCAAATTCTGTGCCAAAATGTCTCATCTCAGGTGTCCCACGGGATTTATTTCTGCTTCACTGCTTTGATCACTTTTATGTTTTATAATTTTAAAAACAGCTAGTCTCTACTGTGCGTCTCCTATATACCTGGCACCATGCCATTCCTGACATGCCTTCCTTCTTTCTGCATACATTTCCTGATATACCTTCTTTCTTTCCTGTATGCATTTCCAGCAAAGTTCTTTGACACCTCACCCACTTGTCTATCTACGTGTCTGTCTTCCTCCGCCCCAGTTATAAGCCTCTCAATGGCAGGCACCATGTCTTACCCATCCTTACCTGTTCTGCTCCTAACACAGTATTGCCACTAACGTGGCACTCAGTAAAAGTGCTGAATGAAAACATTAATGGATTTCTAATTCTCCCAACAACTCTGTAAAGTTGTTACTGCATTTTACAGATGAGGAAACGTAACATTCTGGTAGGTTAGTTAATTTTTCCAAGGTTCCAGAGTTTGATAAGTGGTTTCAAAGCTGGCCATTGTTTTACTAAACTACCCTAGTGCCTTATTTTTTAAGTTATGTTTTATCTTGTAGTCTACAACTCAACTCTCCTGGGAGCAAGCAGATACAAATAGTGGGTTAGTGGGTTAATGTATTAGTACTGCTAATAAAGACATACCCGAGACTGGGTAATTTATAAAGAAAAAGAGGTTTAATGGACTCACAGTTCCACATGGCTGGGGAGGTCTCACAATCACAGCAGAAGGCAGAGGAGCAAAGGCACATCTTACATGGCAGCAGGCAAGAGTGTGTGTGCAGGAGAACTCCCCTTTATAAAACGATCAGATCTCATGAGACTTATTCACTATCACGAGAGCAGCATGGGAAAAACCTGCCCCCATGTATCAATTACCTCCCACCAGGTCCCTCCCACGACACATGGAGATTATGGGAGCAACAATTCAAGATGAGATTTGGGTGGGGACATAGCCAAACCATATCAGTTAAAAAAGAAAAAGAGGCTCTATCTACCTTTATGCATCATCGTGATGAGTCAACCTGGCTTTATCCTTAGAGGCCACAAGATTGGGATGTCGTCCCAGGAAAATTGTGGGTCTTCCAGATTGCACCCCCTTCCACATCTCTCTCTCTCTCTTGCATCTCTGCTTATCTCTGAATAGCTCTCCTTTTAGTCTGTCTTTTGGGTTTTCTGCTGCATGTATCACTGGGAACCTCCATGCAGGCATTAAGACCTCCAGGCAATCCCCATACCTGGTCTCTGCCGGAGCAAGTTACACCAACAGGATTCCAGTCCTTCTGCATCTTAGAGCCCCTAGACACACATCCGAATTGGAACCCTGTAGCTCTGGGTGGCTTCCTTGATGGAACTGAAACTGTCTCTGGCATTTGGCACCGCCCACCTTCATCTCATAACATCTCCCCTCCAACTCTACCTATTCCCGAGGGGCCCCATCCAGGAGTCAATGAAAGCTTACATAAAAGGAGTTTATGTCCAAGGGCAACTGGCAGAACATCTAGAATAAAGATGGCAGATGGTTGTTACTAGATAGAAAAACTAGAAATTGGAGAAGATATTTGACACGTTGTCGGCCCTCAGATATTTGATAATGAATGAATGAATGAACTAACTCACTCTAACGTCACCACTTTCCCACCTTGATACCTAGACAGCCAGCAACCAAACACCAAATTCTAAGCACCCAAATCTCTTCAGCCATGGTAGTCCTATGAATGTGCTGTAGCAAGACTGATTGAGATGGAAAACTCGGTTTGTTTTCTGCTTGAAAAGCAAGCCAGAGCACATCTTTGTCAGTCAGCCCAGAGATTCCTTCTCAGTACCAGGCACTGGTTGTCTTTCAGGGGGAATTGGAGGGTGGGGGTGGGGGAGGGTGGACAGGTTTTGGCTTCACATCCTCCCTTTGCTTGAAGTTGCTCAGTGACCCTAGGCAGTCACTGGATAGCTCGGGCCTCACCGTTCTCATCTGTAAAAAGAGGAAGTTGAACTAAATGCCATCTCTGCCACCTTCCAGCTTCTCATTCTGTGATTTTTCCTCCAGGAATCCAGCCAGCATTCTTTCCTTGGGCTGGAATCTATGAGATGCCCATTTTAATCTTCCTGGTTGCATTTCCTAGTCTTCCTTATCACAAATCTGTCAGGAATTGGAGACCAGCCTGGCCAACACTGTGAAACCCCATCTCCACAAAAAATACAAAACTTAGCCAGGAATGACGGTGTGCACCTATAATCCCAGCTACTCGGGAGGCTGAGGCAGGAGAATTGCTTGAATCTGGGAGGCAGAGGTTACAGTGAGCAGAGATTGTGCCACTGCACTCTAGCCTGGGAAACAGAGTGAGACTCTGTCTCAAAAAACAAACAAAAAACAAGTTTGTCACAAGCTCCTAGGCCTTGGGAATCTGATCATAACGTGACATACCATAGGACTTTTTATGTGTGTGGTAAAATAGATTGAACATAAAATTGGCCATTTTCACCAGTTTTTATTGAAGCGATGAGGTCTCGCTCTGCTGCCCAGGCTGGAGCAGTGGTGCAATGATAGCTCACTGCAGCCTCAACCTTGGCTCAAGTGATCCTCCTGCCTCAGCCTCCTGAGTCACTGGGATTACAGGCGTGAGCCACCCTGCCCAGCTATCTTAACCATTTCTTTTTATTTTTTGAGATGGAGTCTCACCCAGTTGCCCAGGCTGGAGTGCAGTGTTACGATCTCAGCTCACTGCAACCTCTGCCTCCTGGGTTCGAGCGATTCTCCTGCCTCAGCCTCCCGAGTAGCTGGAATTAGAGGCTCGTGCCACCACATCCAGATTATTTTTGTGTTTTTAGCAGAGACGGGGTTTCACCATGTTGGCTGGGCTTGTCTTGAACTCCTGACCTCAGGTGATCCACTAGTCTCGGCCTCCCAAAGTGCTAGGATTACAGGTGTTGAGTCAATGCACTTGGCTTATCTTAACCATTTTTAAGTGCAATGGTGTATGACATTAAGCACGTTCACATTGTTGTGTAACCATCACCATCATCCTTCTCTAGAACTTTTTCATCTTCCCAGGCTGAAACTCTGTACCCATTAAACATGAACTCCCCACTCCTCCTCCCCCTAGCTTCTGGCAACCCCCATGCTTTCTGTCTCTATGAGCTTGACTGCTTTAGGGACCTCATACGAGTAGAATCATATAGCATCTGTTCTTTTGTGACTGGCTTATTTCACTTAGCATGATGTCCTTAAGGTTCATCCATGTTGTAGCATGTGTCAGAACTTCCTTTTTAAGGCTAAATAATATTCCATTGTTTGTACTGACACATTTTGTTTATCCATTCATCTGTCCATGAACACTGAGGCAGCAGCCACCTTTTGGCTACTGTAAAGAACTTTGCTAGGTACATGGATGTATAAATATCTATTCAAATCCCTGCTTACAATTCTTTTGGCTTTAAATCCAGAAGTGACATTGCTGATCACATGATAATTCTATGTTTCATTTTTTCCAGAACTTCTATATGATCTTTTTCAAGGAGACTTTTTTTTTTTTTTTTTGAGACAGGGTCTCACCCAGGCTGGAATACAGTGATGCAATCACAGCTCACTGCAGCCTCTCTCTACCTCCTCAGCTCAAGTGATCCTCCTAGCTCAGCCCCAACTAGTAGTTTGGGCAACAGATGCACGCACAACCATGCCAGGCTAATTTTTGTATATTTTTGTAGAGACGAGTTTTGCCACGTTGCCCAGTCTCAAGTGATCCGCCTGCCTCAGCCTCCCAAAGTGCTGGGATTAGTCATGAGCCACTGCGCCCAGCCTCAAGGGGAATTTTTTTTATTTTTTTTAATTTTTTTTTTTTGAGATGGAGTCTCGCTCTGTCGCCCAGGCTGGAGTGCAGTGGCGTAATCCTGGCTCTGGCTCACTGCAAGATCCACCTCCTGGGTTCACGCCATTCTCCTGCCTCAGCCTCCTGAGTAGCTGGGACTACAGGCGCCCGCCACCACGCCCAGCTAATTTTTTGTATTTTTAGTGGAGACAGGGTTTCACCGTGTTAGCCAGGATGGTCTCGATCTCCTGACCTCGTGATCTGCCTGCCTCGGCCTCCCAAAGTGCTGGCATTACAGGCATGAGCCACCACGCCCAGCCAGGGGACTTTTAAATGCATAAACAGTATTGCTTGAGAAGCCAGGCACTGCGGTCTCACTCCCATGCTGACGCCTGAGGTGTGGGTTTACCTGGAAGGGCTGTCCCACCTCAGTCTTCAGAGGCAAGGACCAATCTGCTGTTCAGAATGAGCCCTGTATGAAAAGACTGCACCTGGAGCTGATTGTGCCTCTGCCCTCACCAGTGCCTCAGTACACGCTTCTGGGAAGTGGGCTAATAATACTCAACTTACAGGGTTTTTATAAGATTCAGGGATAGTGAACACAAAGTGCCTAAGTAAACACTTACAGAATGCGCCTATTAATCTACCCTACAAAAAGCAAAGGGTGGTTACAAAAACCAAATGAAATCATGTCTAAGAAAGCTGATAATGTCTAGGAATGCATGACCATTTGGCCACACGTTCCACCAACGCTGCACCCTCATCATTTCTTTCCTAATCACTGCTGCAGCCTCTTAACAGCTCTTCCTGCCTCCTACCCTCCTAAGTCCATTCTTCACTGAAGCCTCAGAGTAAGCTGCTTAAAGCAGATCTGATCCTGTTATTCTCCCACCAAAGTTTCCAGTGGCTCCCCCTGCCTTTACAAGACTTTTTATGGTGTGACCCCGTCCTCTTTCTTTAGTCTTATTCTATATCTTTCTAGGCCTCATATTTTGGTACTTTATCTCCACCATTTAAAAAATTTTTTTAGTTTAATTTTTTTTTTTTTTTAGACAGGGTCTCACCCTGTTGCCCAGATTGTAGTGCAATGGTGCAATCTCAGCTCACTGTAACCTCCACCTCCTGGACTCAAGAGATCCTCACACCTCAGCCTCCCAAGTAGCTGAGACAACAGGTGTGCACCACCTCACCTGGCTTTTTTTTTTTTTTTTTTTTTTTTTTTTGGAGAAATGTGGTCTCACTATATTGCCCAAGCTGGTCTCAAACTCCTGGGTTCAAGCAATCCTCCCACCTTGGCCTCCCAAAGTGCTGGGATTATAGGCGTGAGCCACCGTGCCTGGCCTTTACCTCCATGATTTTGTTAATGTTTGTTCCCTCTACCTGGAGCAGTCTCCTCCCACTTCTGGCTAAAACTTAGTCATCCTTTAATACTAATTTCAGGCACTGATTTTTTCAGAGGTCCGATAGCACTACGAGCAGACATCTATCATCATACCAACTGCATAATTATCTCTGGGTTGATTTCCCCAACTAGATCAGCTTCTTAAAGTCAGATGTTAAACTATTTATCTTCATATTCCTAATCCTAAAACTGTGCTAGGGTGTTTATTGAACAAATACATGAATAGGAATAGAGTGATGTTTTTATTATTGGAAACCTGGACAGTTCATGTATGAGTGACTATCTCCTTCAGAATAACTACTTCTATAACCTCACATTACATGACTATTATTTAAAAATTAGTATCATTAGACAATAATTTTGTTTTAAATTGGCACCACAAAGGGGGAAGCCACAGAGGAAATGCTCTGAGTTCCTCTCTATTGTTCTTTCTGCGTTCCTTTTTCCCTTCAAAATAAATGATGTGTTTTAACACAGAGCTACTCATGTCTTTATGGTTCTTCTGAGAGATGTTTCTGTTTCATCAGTGTCTAAGAAATATGCCGGCCCCTACTTCTGAGGTCTTGATGACACAGCCTCCATTTATAGATCCTATGTGCAGTGTTTTCACTAGGAGTGAGCTAAAGCTATGAGTCCAGTCTTGCACTTAGTAGGTAAATAATCTGCAGAAAAAATGAGTAATTGGTGAGTCACTCACCTGTTTGAGTTAACTCCTCTAAGTGCCGGTCTGTAACTGCGGGTCAGTTTTTAAAGTTTACCTCCTTTAGAAGCAAAAAGTATGCCAGCTGTGCCTTTTTGGAAGCATACAGGCATTGGAAGATTGTAAAAAACAGTGGGTCATTTTTTAAATTAACCTAACGTGTGTGTATTCACAGTTGATGCTGGAGATACTTGATCTGCTTATTTTTTTAGTTAGCCCATGAATTTGTATTTAAATTTCTTGATCTGAGTGTCAGTGTCTTTCCATAGGAATCACTTGAGGGTTTGGGTTTACTGATGTTTGCAAACCACTGTGCAAAGTTATTGTCTGAATTTAACATGTTTTTAAACTTCCTTTTAAGCTTCAGATGGTGCCTTCTAGTTCTTATGGTGTCGGTGACTATTAATAACTAGATTTTGGTTTTATCTTTTGGGTTTATTGTCCCTCCAGGGAAGTCAAAATGGTAATCACTAACATATACTAATTTTTTCTTGTTTTTAATCTTTTAAAGATTTGTTTCTTTTTACTCACAATTACAAAATGATTTTTATTTTTTGAGACAGGGTCTCACTCTGTCACCCAGGCTGGGGTGCAGTGGGGTGGTCTCAGTTCACTGCAACCTCTGCCTCCCAGGATCAAGTGATCCTCCCACCTCAGCCTACCAAGTAGCTGAGACCACAGGTGCTCACTACCATGCCGGCTAATTTTTTCATTTTTTGTAGACATGAGGTTTCGCCATGTTGCCCAGCATGGTCTTGAACTCTTGAGCTCAAGCAATCCTCCCACCTCGGCCTCCGGATGTTCTAGGATTACAGGTGTGAGCCACCACACCCGGCCTCACAATGCTTTTAAATGAATATTAACGTGAGATGTGGAATATTGTATGTAATAGGCAATTCATAATTTCACATTTTGAAAAAGAACTGATAATTCCAGAGCAAAGTACTCAGAGTTTGTTAAGGACCAGCAGGAATTTCTGCTTAACAAAATATTTAGAATCCCAACAACTCTGAGACTTATCTCCTTTCCCTGGGGATAGGTAAGGTGAGAACAATTGGAAAGAATTTTCTTCAGTTCTGGGGATGAGGAGAATTTTCTTATTATCTCAAGTCAACAGGTATGACTGTCTAGCAAAAAAGGAATGTGAGTTCATTGCTAGCATTTTAGACTTGGAATGAACAATAAATATAATATTAATAGTTCAACCTTCTCAGAGGCAGAAACGTTTTAAAACCAAGCTTGCCTGATTTCCCATCTGCTGCCTTTTACGAGCAGCAAATTTGTTAAGGAGGATCATGTTTACCTGATGAATATCTTTCAGTTTTCCTAATTATAACCTTTATTACTAAATGCCTAAAGGAGTTCACAAGTAAAATCAACCAATTCGTATTTATGGGAATGAAAATATAGGGGGAAGGTTTTAAATAAAAACATATCTTTAAAAACATGAATTATGTTACATGGGGGATAAGGATCAAAAGACACACGTGCTTTGCCAAGCCTTGAAAAGTAGGCAAAGATGGGGTCTAGACTTTCAGCATGGAGCCTTCAGGACAGGACATGCTTACCAAGGGGTGAGACTGAACGGATGGAGCCCTGCAGGGTGACCCAGAAACAGGCTGAGGACAAACACCAACAAAACTCAGCATTCCGAGCGCCCCCTATTCCCGGGCTTCCAATCTGCCAAACTTAACTTTTGAAAAGCTCAAATTGTGGGATCCCAAATTAAAGTCAGCTGTGCTGAGGGGCTCGCAGGTACGGCTGGCTTTGGGGTCCGCATTCTGTGGTGTCCTCTGGGGTAGGTGTGTTTGGGGCTGCAGGGACTGGAGGGCACCCACGGCACGGGCTTACCCACGGGGACAGCGCCTCCTGACAGCGCGCGAGGCGGGCGCGTGGCAGATGCCGCTTACCCCGTACCCGAGGCAGCAGGGGTCGGGACCCCCGCCCACAGTGTGATACGGACCCCTGCCGACAGCCACACTCTCCCAGTTCTCACAAATTCCCGCCTCTGTAGAAACCCAGCCCAGCCCACCCCGGAGTTCACGTCCACACTCCGAGGCAGGGGACATGGACCGCGAGCTTGCAATCGCCCGCCCCAGACGCCCAGAGCAGGCGCCCCACGTCCGGCCCGCGGGCAGGACGACGGGGCCAGACAAAGAGTTTTAAAATCGATCCCCCGGGTAAAGCCCGGGCTACAGCGAGAAGTGCGAAGCCGTCTCTAAATTTTAGCAGCTCGCCGCTTCTCCCGTTGGCACGACGAAGAAAAGACTTCCCACCCCCGAAAGGGAAGATCCCGAAGAGCCCCTACCTCGCTGCAGCGCCAGGTCCCGCGGTCTCCAGCGGCGGCCACTGCAGCCGGCGACAGCGCCAGCGGCCCGGCCCCGCCCTCTCCACGGTCCCGCCCCCTGAGGCCCCGCCCTCGGCTCACCGCATCCCCGGCCCGGCCGGCCGGCTCCCGGTCCCACCCACTGCCCCCTGGGAGGCTCCCGGCTCCGCCCCCCGAATACCCCGCCCACCGCCCCCTCGGCGGCTCCCGGCCCCGCCCCCTAACGCCCCGCCCACCGCCTCCGCGTCGGCTCCCGGCCCTTTCCTCGGAGGCCCCGCCCTCGCCGGCTCCCGGGCCCGCCTTCTCGCGGCCCCGCAGCTGGGTTCAAGACTGTCGTGCAGGCCCCAGAGCCCGGTGCATTGTGGGACGCCGCAGCCAATGCCGAGCCTGCGCTGCCTCCTGGCGGGCGCCGCTGCAACAACACCAGCACCCGGCTGCACACGGCGGAGGGCTATACGGCACCGGGCGCCTAGCGCAGAGGGCGCCGGTCGCTGGGGTCCGGTAAAACATGAAAATGAGCCGGATGCTTAGAGTGCGGGGCTACCTCCCGCTTAGCGACATAAGGAAACGCGAAAACAGCGTTAAGACTAGGGCAAGCTTTCGAAACTAGGGAAAATCATTACAAAGGATCAAACGAAATGACGTCAAGGGGAGGGAGAAACCTGCACGCGTCGTTTTTATTTCTGGGGAAACCACAGGTCAGCTCAGTCTAGAGAAGAACGGGGTTCTGTGTGACAGGGGCTAAAATTGGAATCCAGAACTCTTCCCGTACATGCCCCGAGGAAAAAGTTTAAATGCAGTTAAAAAATAAATTACACAAAAATGTAGTGAAAAATGAGAATATAACAAATGACTAGTAAGTCGCTATTTAAATAAGAATATGAACATTGTCACTACGTGGAAATATTTCTGTCATGCGATGTTAAGTGACAAACACACACAAGACAGCACGTGGCCAGTGATTTCAACTGTGGCAAATCTGCGTGTCCACAAACAGAAGAAGCAGCTTCCAAGTAGCTTAGAGTTTAATGCGTCTTAAGGTTCTTTATTTTTATTAGATCAGTTTTTAACGTTTCTGAGTGGTTGGGACTAATCCTAATTGTGGATGGCATTGCAATATTTCAGTTTTCCCTCACTGTAAGTAATAATTATAAAAAGTGATCCAGGAAGAAAACATTCTGAGGCGTTAGGGAACTATGACAATTTTGCTTGTCTGCAAACCCTGGTGGGGCACAAATGGAAAAGTACATTTAGCAGGGAGTGTATTGGTTAGCTAGCGCTGCTGTCAGAAAGTGCCATAAGCTAGGGGGCTAAATCAGCAGACGTGTGCTGTCTCACAGTCCTGGACGCTGGAAGCCTGTGTTCAAGGTGTGGGCAGTGTTGGTTCCAGTTCTGATGACTGTGAGGAAAGATTGTTTCAGGCCTCTCTCCTGGGTTGTAGATGGCCAGCTTCATGTACACGTGGCATTTTTCCTGTGTCCAAATATATCCCCCTTTTATAAGAACACCAGTCATATTAGATTTGGGGCCCACCCTACCCTACTCCAGCATGCCCTCATCTTAACTAATTACATCTGCAATCATCTGATTTCCAAATAAGGTCATATTCTGAGGTACTGGGGCTTAGGACTTCAGCCTGTCAGTGGGGAAGGAGGGGGACAATTCAGTGCACACCTGGAGATTCAAAGTGTAATCTTTGGAAAATCACACACACTGAATGACAAAAACAATCATAATTAACAGTAATGTACATGATCTTAAATGTATCAAAAAGCCAACAATGGGCACTGTGGCTCACATCTGAAATCCCAGCACTTTGGGAGGCTGAGAGGGGAGGATCGCTTGAGCTCAGAAGTTAGAGACCAGCCTGGGCAAGATAGCCAGACCCAGTCTCTACAAAAATAAGCAAGTTATCCAGGCATGATGGTGCCCACCATAGCCCCAGCTACTTAGTAGGCTGAGGCAGGAGGATCACTTGAGCCTAGGAGTTCAGGGCTGCAGTGAGCTAATGATTACATCACTGTACTACAGGCTGAGTGATAGAGTGAGACCCTATCTCTTAAAAAAAAGAAAAGAAAACAAAAGAAAAGCTAAACGGTTAAATATAGTCAAACCAAATTGATTACAGTGTTTTTGTTTCTGTTTAACACCTTTCTGGCCTTTCCAGTTTAACTGCGAGATGTTAATGAGCTAAGACAGCCTAGAGGCCATGAAGCCTACATGGGGTATGTAATGTGCCTGGATTCCGGTCCAAATGCCTGAGACCGGTGTAGGGGCAGCATCTCTTGCATTTGAACCTCAGGAACATGAGAGGACAGGGGTTGGCAGTTATGGGAAACAGCATCCCCATTCTTGGATGGCACACACAATCCATCCTGCTGAAGAACTCAGAGCTCTAGTTCAAGTTCCATAGGAGCCTGCAGAATGTGCTTGTGAACTGAGCCCTCTCTCAGTTAGCCTGACCACAGGGGTGAAATGAGAAGTTCTACAATGTTAGGAAGCACTGGCCCTGCCTGCTGAGGTGGTGGGGACCTAGCAGATCTCAGAGAAATGAAGCCCTGCCTGGCACTGTGGGATCAGTTTTTTTCTTGCAGGAGTCTGTCTGCAAGAATCAGAAGCCGGCCAGGCGCGGTGGCTCACACCTGTAATCCCAGCACTTTGGGAGGCCGAGGCGGGCAGATCACTAGGTCAAGAGATCGAGACCATCCTGGTTAACACAGTGAAACCCCGTCTCTACTAAACAGATATAAAAAAATTAGCCGGGCATGGTGGCAGGCGCCTGTAGTCCCAGCTACTCGGGAGGTTGAGGCAGGAGAATGGCGTGAACCCGGGAGGTGGAGCTTTCAGTGAGCCAAGATCGCGCCACTGTACTCCAGCCTGGGAGACAGAGCGAGACTCCGTCTCAAAAAAAAAAAAAAAAAAAAAAAAAAAAAAAAAAAAAAAAAAAGAACCAGAAGCCCTGTCGGCGGTGTACGGATACGGATGACAGCTGGCTCTCCAGAAATAAAAGCGCTAATGTGTGGTGTCTGCAGATGCCTGTGCTGTAATACTGCCACCCTCGCTGATTTCAAGCTCCTGACATGAGGTCACTGAACAAGGAGCTGGGGCCCAGGTGACTGAGTTAACAGGGTCTCAAAGTGGGGAGGCTGCCGGCAGGGAGCTGTATCTGGGAGCACCACGGGGAAAAGTAGACAGAAGAAACAGCCCTTAGGGGTTAGGAGCAGAACCTCCAACTGGCAGCAGTGGGAGAGGGGAGCTGGGAGCCATGGGCAGTGGGTCAGTCCAGGGAGGAGCAGCAGGGGTGGGGAATGGCAGGTAGCCCCGACACACCCGGAGGAAGCGTGTTCTTTCGGAGCGCAAAAGAGAGGCAATCCGAATTTTCAGGCGGGAGGAAAACACCCTTCTTTCGCTTCTCCCCCAGGAGACCTTGCCAGGAAGGTAGATATTTAGGTTAGAGCGTCCAGGGCTCACACAGGGTTTTTTTTTTTTTTTTTTTTTTTTTTTTTTTTTTTTTTTTTTTTTTTTTATCACTAAGCTAATTTCTACGTGGGCTTCCTCCCCAGTTTAGAGACTTGGTATCCAGGTGGGCCTTGAGAAGGACATATGGTCTCCTGTTAGAGCAGGGAAAACTCGTGCTAAATCAGGTAACAGAACTGAGACACAGGTGGGTCTGCTGTTTTTTTTTTTTTTTTTTTTTTTTTGAGACGGAGTCTCACGCTGTGTCCCAGGCTAGAGTGCAGTGGTGCAATCTTGGCTCACTGCAACCTCCGCCTCCCAGGTTCAAGCGATTCTCCTGCCTCAGCCTCCCTAGTAGCTGGGACTACAGGCACGTGCTGCCACGCCCGGCTAATTTTTTTTTTTTCTGTATTTTTAGTAGAGATGGGGTTTCATCGTGTTAGCCAGGATGGTCTTGATCTCCTGACCTCGTGATCCACCAGCCTCAGCCTCCCAAAGTGCTGGGATTAGAGGCGTGAGCCACCACGCCTGGCTTGTCTCCTGTTTCTTACACTGGCTTTTAGGGGCACTAGGGGCCGCTGGGGAGTGGGAGCTGGGCTAGAGCCTATTTTCTCGTGCCTGGCCTGACCCTGCGGGGTTCTCTCACTGCTTTCACCACTGTTCTCAGGCCATAAATCCCCCACACTTTTTGGAGTGATTTTGCCCACAGTCAAACCTGATCAGCCATATGCTCCTTCCTGCTTAGAAACCTTGCTGCGCCAGGTTCAACCTCTTTCGTGCCGGACGTGAGGCTTCTCCTGATCTGACCTCCACTCAGCTCCCCAGCTTCATTCACTGCCAGCCCTGGGTGACTTCATTGAACCCAGGTTCCCATTTCCCAACGAGCTTAGTTTGCTTCTAATTCTAGGCCTTTGCATTTTCCCCCTCTGAATTTTGTCTCTTTTCCATAGTTCCCTCAGTCTATTCCCATGCCAGGAATCTTGAGTCACATCTATTGTTTTACTATTATTATTATTATATACCTTTTTTTTAAGTAGAGATGGGGTTTCACCATATTGGTCAGGCTGGTCTTGAACTCCTGACTTCAGAGGACCCACCCGCCTCTGCCTCCCAAAGTACCTGGGATTACAGGTGTGAGCCACCATGCCCGGCTTCACTGTCTTTTTTATTATGGTAAAATATTTAAGATAAGATAAAGTTTGTCATTTTAATCATTTTTAAGTATAGAGCTCAATAGCATTAACTATATTCATAATGTTAGGCAACCATCAACACTATTTCCAAAGCTTGTCATCACCCATAAGATAAACTCCGTATCTATTAAAGCAATAATTTCCACTCCCCTCTCCCCTTAGACCCCAGTGAGCTCAAATCTGCTTTCTGTCTCTATGAATTTCCATGTTCTAGATATTTCATATAAATGGAATCGTGCAATATTTGCCCATTTGTGTCTGGCTTCTTTCAGTATAGTATTTTCAAAGTTCATCCGTGTTGTAGCATGTATCAGAATTTCATTTCTTGTTTTTTTTATTGTTGTTGATTTTGGTTTTGGTTTTGAGGACAGTGTCTTGCTCTGTCACCCAGTCTGGAGCGCAGTGGCACTATCTCACTGCAGTCTCCATTTTCCTGGGCTTAAGTGATTCTCCCACCTGAGCCTCCCAAGTAGCTGGGACTACAGGCATGTGCCATCACACCTGGCTGATTTTTGTGTTTTTTGTAGAGACAGGGTTTTGCCATGTTGCCCAGGCTGGTGTTGAAGCCCTGGGCTCCACCAGCAATCCACCCACCTTGGCCTCTCAAAGTACTGGGATTACAGGTGTGAGCCACCATGCCTGGCCTGATCTTCATTTCTTTTTATGGCTGAATAGTACATATATATGGTACTATTGTACAGTGTATATTGTACATATACATTCCTTTTTGTTTATTCATTTGATGAACACTTGGATTGTTCCCACATTTTGGCTATCGTGAATAATGTTGCTATGAACATTAGCTTACACTTCACATATGTTTTCTCCTCCACATAAGATCTTATTTCCACTGTAGACCCTAGTCACGGGCCATCCCCATGAAAAATGAGGAAGGAAGCTGCCCCATCTTCTTTCTGTGTCCTTGCCTTCTCGGAACGGGGTGTTGGTAGCAACAGGTATGACTCATTCATGGTGAAATTTTTGGCATGAGTAGGACAGGGCAATCTTGCAGACACTCCTCAAATCATCCCACAGACACACCACATACTTGGCTTGGCTAAAAAGCAAGTCCTGCCAGGACAAATCCTCTCAAGACTAAGACACTCTTAACAGGAAGTGGGATTCCTGGAGTTGGGTATTAGTAGGCATACTGTGTTTCCTTGATGCAGCCTTTGTGAAAAGGGTTTGAGATTGCAAAAGACGTGACCGTAAGAAGGAAGCAAAGAGGAACATTGAGAATAAGCCTGGAAGTCCGTTTTGTCTTCCCTTCAGTGTCCACAGCTGGTTCCGAGGCAATGCGTTCCAAGGCAGATGAAGAGGAGTCTCCAGGTGCTGTGTCACCAGCTGTTTCCTGGGAACCCTGATGCACTCCTGGTTCACTCTCCACACCCAAATCTATACTCAGCGCACACCTGTTAACTGAATTCACTTAGAGAGGAAAACTCTTAAGCATTCAGGCGGTATCAGCCCTGGGCAAGAATCTTGAAGAGCACACATTTTGGCTTTTTTTTTTTTTTGAGACGGAGTCTCGCTCTGTCGCCCAGGCTGGAGTGCAGTGGCATGATCTCGGCTCACTGCAAGCTCCACCTCCCAGGTTCACGCCATTCTCCTGCCTCAGCCTCCCAAGTAGCTGGGACTGCAGGCGCCCGCCACCACGCCCTGCTAATTTTTTATACTTTTTTAGTAGAGGCGGGGTTTCACCCTGTTAGCCAGGATGGTCTCGATCTCCTGACCTCATGATCCACCCGCCTCAGCCTCCCAAAGTGCTGGGATTACAGGCGTGAGCCACTGTGCCTGGAACGTTTTGGCTTTTATGTCTGACTGCCTCTCTTTTTGTTTGTGGGGCTTCCATCTCCCTCCTTCAGTTACTGACTCTTAATTCCTCACCCCCTCCCCCATTTCCCTCCACCGAAAAGTATTCTTTACCTGTTTATTGAAAGTCTCTTATATACTAATTCAAACTAAAGTATAAATGACTGAAAGTAGCTTACTGTACTGCCCTTTGCAAGAATACTTCATTACATTTTTCACAATAATAATTTCACCAGTGATATCTTTTTTCTTTTTTTAAAAGATAGTCAGCATCTCCCTATATTGCCCAAGTTGGTCTCAAACTCCTGGCCTCAAGTGACCCGCCTGCCACAGCCTCCCAAACTGCCGAGATTACAGGTGTGAGCCACTGTGCCTGGCCTACTGATAGATTTAATGTAATAAAATCCAAGAGCTGGAGAAAGACATACTATGCTAACACCAATCAAAAGAAAGCTGCAGGCCGGACATGGTGGCTAAAGCCTGTAATCCCAGCACTTTGGGAGGCCCAGGCAAGCAGATCACTTGAGGTTAGGAGTTTGAGACCAGCCTGGCCAACATGGTAAAACCTCGTCTCTATTAAAAAAAAAAATACAAAAGTTAGCTTGGCATGGTGGTGCATGCCTGTAATCCCAACTACTTGGGAGGCTGAGGCAGAAGAATTTCTTGAACCCAGGAGGTGGAGGTTGCAGGGAGCTGAGATCAAGCCACTGCACTCCAGCCTGGGTGACAGAGCAAGGCTCCATCTCAAAAAAAGAAAAAAGAAAACTGGAGTAGCTATATTAATTTCAAAGTAGACTTTTGAGAAAGGAAAATTATCAGAGATACAGCAGAACATTACATAACGACAAACGGGTCAATTCTCCAGGAAGACATCAAAATACTCAATATGTATGTGCCTAACAACAGCATCAAAATAGATGAGGCAAAAACTGATAGACCTGCAGAGAAGAAATAGATGAATTCACTATTATTATTGGAGACTTCAACACTCCTCTGTCAGAAGTAGACAGATTCAGCAGGCAGAAAATCAGTAAAGATACAGCTGAATTCAACAGCACCATCAATCAGCTGAATATAATTGACATCTACAGAATACTTTATCCAGCAACAGCAAATTACAAATTCTTCTCAAGCACACATGGAGCACTGACAAAGGTAGACCACATTCTGAATAAAATACATCTTAAGAAACGTAAAAGAAAGGAACTCATTCAAAATATGCTCTCAGACCACAATGGAATTTAACTAGAAATCAATAGCAGAAAAATAGCTGGAAAATTCTCAAATATTTGGAGATTAAACAACATAATTTGGAGGGCGGGGGTGGGAGGAGGGAGAGGATCAGGAAGAACAGCTAATGGATGCTGGGCTTTATACCTGGTGGGAGGAGGGAGAGGATCAGGAAGAACAGCTAATGGATGCTGGGATTATCTTTGCAGCAAACCACCATGGCACACATTTACCTATGTAACAAACATGCATATCCTGCACATGTACCCCACACTTAAAAGTTGGAAATGAAAAACATAATTCTAAATAATACATGGAAGAAGTCTCAAGAAAAATTGTTAAACATTTTGAACTAAATGAAAATGAAAATATCATTTATCAAAATTTGTAGGTGCAGTGAAAGCAATGCAGAGAGAAAAATTTATAGCATTGAATGGAGATATGAGAAGAGAAGAAATATCCAAAACCAGCAACCTAAGCTTCCACCTCAGGAAAATTTAAAAACAGCAAAATAAATACAAAGTAAACAGAAGAACTGGGGTCCTCACACCTGTAATCCCAGCACTTTGGGAGGCCGAGGCGGGTGGATCGCTTGAGCCCAAGAGTTCGAGATCAGCCTGAGCAACATGGTAAAATCCCATCTATTCAAAATATACAAAAATTAGCTGGGCATGGTGGCACGTGCCTGTATATCCAGCTACTCAGGAGGCTGAAGAAAGAGAATTGTTTGAACCTGGGAGGCAGTGGTTGCAGTGAGTTGAGATTGTGCCACTGCACTCCAGTCTGGGTGGCAGAGTGAGACCCTATCCAAAAAAAAAAAAAAAAAAAAGCAAAAAACCCCACAAAGTAAACAGAAGAAAACAAATAAAAATTAGGCTAAAAATCAAAGAAACTGAAAACAGAAAATCAATAGAAAAAATCAACAAAACTAAGAGCTGGTTTGTTGAAAGTATCAATAAAATTGATAAACCTGACTGGGTTCGATGACTCATGCCTATAATCCTAGGGATCAGGAGACCGAGGCAGGAAGATTGCTTGAGGCCAGGAGTTTGAGACCAGCCTGGGCTCATGACGTTTCATGAGACCCCATCTCTACAAAAACATAAAAAAAGTAGCTGGGTGTGGTAGCATGCATGGGCCTGTAGTCCTAGCTACTCCAAAGGCTGAGGTCAGAGGATCGTTTGAGCCCAGGAGGTCAAGGCCGCAGTGAGCTATGACTGCACCAAGTGAGACCCTGTCTCTAAAAAAAAAAAATACACCTGTGACTAGGCTAATAGGCTAAAAAAGAGAGGCCATCACTACTGATCCTATGGCATTAAAAGGATCATTAAAGAATATTATGAACAACTATGCCCAGAAATTTGATAACTTAGATAAAATGGACCAATTCCTTGAACTCACATAAGGAGAAGTAGATAATTTGAATAGATCTATACCTATTAAAGAAACCAAATCAATAATTATTAACCTTCCAAAACAGAAAGCACCAGGCCCAGATGGTTTCACTAGTGAATTCTAAGAAATGGTTAAGGAAGAAATGATATCAATTCTATACAATCTCTTCCAGAAAATAGAAGCAGCGGGAGTACTTCCCATTTCATTCTATAAAAGATAGCATAGGGCCAGGCGCAGTGGCTCACGCCTGTAATCCCAGCACTTTGGGAGGCTGAGGCACGTGGGTCACGAGATCAGGAGTTTGAGACCAGCCTGGCCAACATGGTGAAACCCTGTCTCTACTAAAAATACAAAAATTAGCTGGGCGTGGTAGCAGTTGCCTGTAATCCCAGCAACTCAGGAGGCCGAGGCAGGAGAATCATTTGAACCCAGGAGGCAGAGGTTGCAGTGAACCAAGATCATGCCATTGCACTCCAGCTTGGGCAACAGGGTGAGACTCCGTCTCAAAAAAAAGAAAAAACAAAACAAAACAAAATACCAAAAAAACAGCATAATCCTAATACTGAAACTAGATAAAGGCGTTACAAGAAAAGAAAACTATAGACCAATATCTTTCATGAACAAAGATGCAAAAATCCTCAACAAATTATTAGCAAATTGAATACAACAATGTTTAAAAAGAATTATAGACTGGGTGTGGTGACTCCCACCTATAATCCTAGCATTTTGGGAGGCCAAGGCAGGAGGAACACATAAGCTCAGGAGTTTGAGACCAGCCTGGGTAACATAGTAAGACCTCATCTCTACAAAAAACTTAAAAATTAGCCAGGCATGGTGGTGTGTGACTGTAATCCTAGCTACTTGAGTGGCTGAGGTGGGAGGATTGCTTGAGCCTGGGAGGTTGCGGATGCAGTGAGCCATGATTGTGCCACTGCACTCCAGCCTCGGCAACAAAGCAAGACACTGTCTAAAAAAAAAAAGTCAATTTGTGTAATCCATCACATCGATAGGCTAAAGAAGGAAACTCATATGATCACAGCAATAGATGCAGAAAAAGCATTTAATAAAATTCAGCACCTGTTCATGATAAGAATTCACCCTGGGGCTTTTTATAAAAATTAAGAAGATAGTAATAACTTTTACCTGGATAAATTATTGGTCAAGCATACTGGGAGAGTTGACTCACTTTGCTAGAATTTTGTTTTTTATTTTTCTTTTTTTCTTTTTTCTTTTTTTTTTTTTTAAGAGATGGAGTCTCGCTCCGTCACCCAGGCTCCCAGGCTGGAGTGCAATGGCATGATCTCGGCTCACTGCAACCTCTGCCTCCCAGGTTCAAGCGATTCTGCTGCCTCAGCCTCCCAAGTTGCTGGGACTACAGGCATGTGCCACTAAGCCTGGCTAATTTTTGTATTTTTAATAGAGACAGGGTTTCGCCATGTTGGCCAGGCTGGTCTTAAACTCCTGACCTCAGGTGATCTGCCTGCCTCAGCCTTCCAAAGTGCTGGGATTACAGGCGTGAGCCACCATGCCTGGCCCACCTTGCTAGAGTTTTAAGACATGTTAGAAATGTACAACCACCAAAAAGTTACGATAGGAGATTTAAACATCCGAAGAACATTTGCACTGAAGATAGATTTTGAACAAACATCACGCCACTAAGCTGGAGCGGTTCTTCCTGTCTGCCATCAGAATACCGTTCTGGATCCAGGCGGGCACACGTCAGTGAAGAAAGAGCCCTTTTCTCTTTGCTGTTGGCAAAGCCTAGAGGAAATGACGATCCTCTTGCAGGGAGCCCCAATGACAAGGTCTAGCTGGGGTGGGTGACAGCGGCTGGCATCGCAGCGAACAGACTCGGTTCTGTATTTAACCCTGTGACCCCTTTGACATTCCCCAGCAGGCTTGGTCTTCAAAGCACAATGATTTAGAAAATAAGAACTATTTCCCAGAGCTAAGGAAAGGAAGGCACTGTGGGCAAGGGAGCAAAGTGGCTCTGACAGAATCCTTTATGCTTCCAAGAGGCCTTTCACCTCGGGGCTCACAACAACAAATCCCTGCATTTCAGATGCCCCAGCTGCTGGGTCATCACCCCTCTCGCTGTGAAAGCATGGAGATCATGCTCTAGCTAAAGCATTTCAGCTACAGTAAGATTCAAAGTCACTTAGAAAACTGAAACATAAACACACTCAAATGCATTCAGAATCCAGAATATTACAGCTAGATGAGACCATAACAGTCAATGTGGTTTTTTTTTTAGAAGCAGAGTCTCACTCTGTCACCCAGGCTGGAGTGCAGTGGCACGACCACAGCTCACTGCAGCCTCTACCTCCTGGGCTCAAAGTGATCCTCCCACCTCAGCCTACCAAGGAGCTGGGACTACAGGCGTGCACAACCCCACCTAATTTTATTAAATTTATTTTTTGTAAAGATGAGGTCTCACTATATTGCCCACACTGATCCTCAACTCCTGGGCTTAACTGATTTTCCTGCTTCAGCCTCCTAGAGTGCCGGGATTATACAGGCCTGAGCCACTGCACCCATCCTAATAATCAGTTTTTTAATGTCCCACTTAATAAATGAAGAAACCCCAGCCCAGAGGAACTAAACATCTGGCCCAAGCACATGCAGCAAGGAGAGGTAATACAGTAGAACAGCATCAAACAGATGTAGGGGGTGCAGTGGCTGACGCCTGTAATCCCAGCACTTTGGGAGGCCGAGGTGGATGGATCACTTGAGATCAGGAGTTCAAGACCAGCCTGGCCAACATGGTGAAACCCCATCTTTACTAAAGATACAAAAATTAGCCAGGCGTGGTGGCAGGCGCCTGTAATCCCAGCTACTTGGGAGGCTGAGGTTCCTGGGAGAATCACTTGAACCCAGGAAGTGGAGGTTGCAGTGAACTGAGATTGCACCACTGCACTTCATCCTAAAAGACAGAGACTCCATCTAAAAAAAAAAAAAAAAAGAAACAGATCTGGGCTTGATTTACAAACTTGAAGAAGTCATTTTACCAACCTGAGCCCATTTCTTCATCTGTCAAGTGGGGAAAGTAAGAATCATCGCATAGGTATGGTGTGAAAATTAAGACAGAGATTCCATGAAGCACTATGTAGGGCTGACACATGAAAGCGCCCGATAACTGTTATTTTTCTTTGTTTTGGTTCCTGGAATCAGAGCCGGTCCTCAGTGCCTGGGCTCTGGGATCCCAGTTCATCCCTTTTTCCTCTGGTCCAAATGACAACCACAGGTAGTGTATTTGCCAGGACTAGGTCAGGTGGGGAATGAAACAGATCCCTGGGTGTGTTACAGTGGCTGTCCAGCATGCAAGACACTGAACTGGACCTGACTAACAATCTGTTAACAAAGAGATGAGGAAATTGCCCCAGGATTCCCCATATCTATATTTTCAGCCCTGATCTCTTTTCCTAGGACTCTCGACTAACTCTGGAATTGTTTCACATGCATACACAAACACACACACACACACACACACATATACATATTTTTGAGATGGAGTCTCGCTCTGTCGCTCAGTCTGGAGTAAAGTGGTGGGATCTTGGCTCACTGCAACCTCCACCTCCCAGGTTCAAGTGATTCTCCTGCCTCAGCCTCCCGAGTAGCTGGGACTACAGGCACCACCACCACGCCTGGCTAATCTTTGTATTTTTAGTAGAGATGGGGTTTCACCATGTTGGCCAGGCTGGTCTCGAACTCCTGACCGCAGGTGATCCACCTGCTTTGGCCTCCCAAAGTGGTAGGATTGATTACAGGCATGAACCACTGCATCTGGCTTTTTTTTTTTTTTTTTAATTATTTTTTTGAGCCAGTGTCTCACTCTATCATCCAGGCTGGAGTGCAGTAGCTCCATCATGGCTCACTGCAGCCTCAATCTCCTGGGCTCAAGCGAACCTCCCACCTCAACCTTCCAAGTAGCTGGGACTATGGGCTCACACCATCACGCGCAGTTATTTTTTAAAAATTTTTGTAGAGATGGGGTTTCGCCATGTTGACCAGGCTAGCCTTGAACTCCTGGGCTCCACCAGAGATCCACCCACCTTGGGCTCCCAAAGTGCTGGGATTCCACGTATGAGCTACCGTGCCTGGCCTTGCATACATCTCAAAAGAACTTATGCAAAAGAGAACTCTTGATTCCACCTTTCCCTTGCCCACCCAGAGCTCCTCCTTCAGGCATCCTCATCTTTAAAAAGGCAACATAATCCACTCAGTTACTTAAATCAAAACTGTAGGAATTTCCCTAGATTTCTTTTTTTTTTAATCTTCTTTATCGCTTGTGGAATCCATGTCCGAAATGCACCCAAGTCCACTCTCCACTTTTACTGTACCACCCTCCCCTCCAGCGAAACCCTCATGCCAGTGACCTTAAAAATATGCACCATATCAAGTTTTCCCTCTGCTTACAGCTTTCCAACGATTTCCCACAGCACTTAGAAAAAAATCCAGACTCGTTTCTCTGAGTCACAAATGCTCTGTGACGGCCCCAGGCTATTTCTCTAACTCAACTGTACCCACTCTCTGTTCACTCACTGTGCTCTGGACAAATCGGCCTTATTTCTGCCTCAAATGTGTCAAGCTCAGTCCTGCCTGAGGGCCTTTGCATGACCTGTGACTCTGCCTGGGATGCTCTGCTAGCAGACTTCTGTGTGTAGGCTCCTTCAGAACTCAGCCTAATGGCACAATCTCAGATCACCCAACACAAGAAGCCACCCATTCACTGTTAGGCCATTTTATTTTAATTCTCCGCAGCTCTTATTGCTGTTTGATAATTTTCTTGGTTATTTCTTTGGGTTTTGTGTGCATGTGTGTTTTTGTTTTTGTTTTTGTTTTTGTTTTGAGACACAGTCTTGCTCTATCTCCCAGCCTGGAGAACAGTGGCATAATCTTGGCTGAACCTCTGCCTCCTGAGCTCAAGCGATCCTCCTACCTCAGGCTCCCAAGTAGCTGGGACCACAGATGTGAGCCACCAGGACCGGCTAAGTTTTTGTATTTTTGGTAGAGACCAGGTTCCACCATGTTGTCCAGGCTGGTCTTGAACTCCTGAGCTCAAGTGATCCCCCCGCTTCGGCCTCCCAAAATGCTAAGATTACAGGTGTGAGCCACTGTGCCTGGCCAGGTTATTTCTTTGGTTATTTTTGATCTCACTCTACAGGAAGGGAAGTTCTATGAGACAGCAGAGATCTTATCAATGTATCTTGTTAACTGTATCTTAGCACCCAGAAACTCTTTGGCTGTCAACAAATATATGTTGATTGGGTAAATCAAAGACTGAATTCCAACCCACAAAAACTAGTAGTAAAGTGGAGAGCCTTATCTTGGGGGAGTGTTCATTTTCACTGGACTCCCAAGATGGTCTCACATTAGGCACGTTTGTGCCTAAATGCACAAGCTCACTAGGCAGGAGTCACAGGAGCGTGGGTGAGTTCAGCAGGATACCCTGAACCCTTTCCCAAGGGGTCCCAACTGGCTGGACATCCAAAGGCTTCTCCCCTAAGAGATCGCTGCAAAGGGAAGTTCTCTGTGTGTTTCAGTAATGGGACCAGCTTAATGGCCTATTTCTTTCTTTCTTTCTTTTTTTTTTTTTTGAGATGGTGTCTCGCTCTGTCGCCCAGGCTGGAGTGCAGTGGCACGATCTCGGCTCACTGCAAGCTCTGCCTCCCGGGTTCACACCATTCTCCTGCCTCAGCCTCCCGAGTAGCTGGGACTACAGGCGCCCACCACCACGCCTGGCTAATTTTTTGTATTTAGTAGAGACGGGGTTTCATGGTGTTAGCCAGGATGGTCTCGATCTCCTGACCTCGTGATCCGCCCGCCTTGGCCTCCCAAAGTGCTGGGATTACAGGCGTGAGCCACCGCGCCCCACCTTGATGACCTATTTCAAGACTGTTAACTTGTGTTCCCAATGCTCTGTGCTATGGCAGTGGATGGTCTCTTACCACAGATACGTGCATGGAAGTTACTGCCTCGAGCCTGTGCTTAGCAGTCGTTTCGGAGGATCAGTTACCTAAAGTAAACATGAAATTCCATTATTTCCTTATTTTCATGGCATGCCACGTGCTTTCACACTATCTGCTTTTACCTGAGCTCCTTCCCGCCCCACCCCCACTCAGCACCTATGGAAACCCCATTTCTTCCTCTTTAGGGCATAGCTCAGGTGCTGCACCTTCTGAGAACCTGTCTGATATTTTCAGGTTGAGATTGGTCACTGCTTCCCCAGATTCCTGTACTCTTTTTTTTTTTTTTTTTTTGAGACAGCCTCTCGCTCTGTCATCCAGGCTGGAGTGCAGTGGTGCGATCTCAGCTCACTGCAACCTCTGCCTCCTAGGTTCAAGCAATTCTCCTGCTTCAGCCTACCAAGTAGCTGGGACTACAGGCATGTGCCATCATGCCCAGCTAATATTTGTACTTTTAGTAGAGACAGGGTTTCACCATGTTGGCCAGGCTGGTCTGGAACTCCTGAACTCAGGTGATCTGCCTGCCTTGGCCTCCCAAAGTGCTGGGATAACAGGCGTGAGCCACCGTGCCTAGCCCCAGTACTCTTTTGAATGTACACACATTATAGTACTTATTTCATCTTACCTTATATAATTACTTTTATACACCCACACCTACAAAATTATAAGTTCTTGAGGGAAGAATCATGCCATTCTTTTTCTTTTAATCTCCTCTTAGCAACTATCACAGTTATTTATACTGAGTAGGTACTCAGTAAATGTTAGTAAAATGTATAAAGGAATCCAAAAGGTAGAAGCAACACAAATATCCAACTACATGTGAATGGATAAGCAAAATGTGGCATATGTACTCAATGGAATATTACTCAGCCTTCAAAAGGAAGGAAGGCCAGGTGGGGTGGCTCATACCTGCCATCCCAGCACTTTGGGAGGCCAAGGTGGGCGGATTACCTGAGGTGAGGAGTTCAAGACCAGCCTGGCCAACATGGTGAAACCCATCTGTACTAAAAATACAAAAATTAGCCAGACATGGTGGCTGGTGCCTGTAATCCCAGCTACTCAGGAGGCGGGGGCACAAGAACAACTTGAACCCAGGAGGCGGAGATTGCAGTGAGCCGAAATCATTTCACTGCACTCCAGCCTGGGTGGCAGAGCGAGACTTTGTCTCCAAAAAAAAAAAAAAAGAAAAAAAGGAAGAAAAGAAGGAAATTTGGACTTATGCTACAACATGGATGAAACTTAAGTACATGATGCTAGTGAAATAAGCCAGTCACAGAAAGCAAAGCTGTAAGATTCCACTTACACGAGGCAGCAGGGGGAGTCAGATTCCCAGAGACAGGAAGTGGAATGGGGTTGCCAGGGACTGAGGGCAGCAGGAACGGGGATTGGTGTTTAACGAGGACAGAGTCTCAGTTTGGGAAGATGAAAATGTCCTGGGGATGATGGTGGAGAAGCTGCACAATGATGTGGAATGTACTTAACACAACTGAGCTGTACACGTAAAAAGGATTAAGGTGGTAAATTTTGTTATGTGTATTTTTCCACAATGAAAACACTTTTTAGGCCAGGCACAGTGGCTCACACCTATAATCCCTGCACTTTGGAAGGCTGAGGCAGGAGGATCACTTGAAGCCAGGAGTTTGAGACCAGCCTGGGCAACATAATGAGACCCCATCTCTACTAAAAATACAAAAATTAGCTGGGCGTGGTGGCACATACCTGTAATCCCAGCTATTTGGGAGGACAAAGCAAGAGAATCACTTGAGCCCAGGAGTTTGAGGCTGCAGTGAGCTATCATCGCACCACTGCACTCTAGCCTAGGTGACAAAGCAAGACCCTGTCTCAAAAAAAAAAAAAAAAAAAAAAAAAAAAAATCGAAGAAAGAGTGAGTAGTATTCCTTTTAGTCAGGTGGTAGCTGAACACCTTTTTATGACTAGGGAAAGCAGACCTAGGGAGTGGGGAGGATCTTAAACTTCTGCCAGCAGTTCTTCATAGCTATTTTCTCTCCTCTCAGCACAGGGAGACTGAAAGTGCAAACCAAACACTTGCTGATTTGCTCAAGTAACCCAGACCAGATGTCCAGACCTCCCACCTTGTCAGGGCAATACGCCAGGCACTGAGAAATTACCAGGCAACCACAAGTCTCTATGTCCAGTCATCCTGAAGGTAGACGAGGAACTGCTAGGATCAGACTTTTGTTCATGATAATAATAATAATTTTATTATTATTATTATTTTATTTTATTATTATTATTTTTTGAGATGGAGTTTCGCTCTTGCTGCCCAGGCTGGAGTGCCGTGGTGTAATCTCGGCTCACTGCAACCTCTACCTCCCCGGTTCAAGCGATTCTCCTGCCTCAGCCTTCTGAGTAGCTGGGAGTATAGGCGTGTGCCACCACGTCCGGCTAATTTTTTTTTGTATTTTTAGTACAGACGGAGTTTTGCCATGTTGGCCAGGCTGGTCTCGAGCTCCTGGCCTCAGGTGATCTGCCCGCCTCGGCCTCCTGAAATGCTGGGATTACAGGCGTGAGCCACCGCACTCGGCCTTGTGATATTTCAATTCATGGATACAATGGGTAATAAATCAGGGTAATTAGCATATCCATCATCTCAAACATCTATCATTTCTTTGTGTTGGGAACATTCAAAATCTGCTCTTCTAGCTTTTGAAAATACACAATAAATTGTCATTAATCGTAGTCCCCCTATAGTGCTATAACTAGAGCGTATTCTAGCTGTAATTTTGTATCCACTTAAGATAGGCTTTAAAGTACATATATATATTTGGGGTGAATTAACAGATGAAATGTCGGGAGGCTGAGGCAGGAGAATCACTTGAGCCCAGGAGGTAGAGGTTGCAGTGAGCCAAGATCACGCCACTGCACTCCATCCTGGGCGACAGAGTGAGACTCTATCTCAAAAAACAAACAAACAAACAAAAAACAGATGTGGCCGGACATGGTGGCTCAGGTCTGTAATCCCAGCACTTTGGGAGGCCAAGGCAGGCAGACCACTTGAGGTCAGGAGTTCAAGACCAGCCTGGACATATTGTGAAACCCTGTCTTTACTAAAAATACAAAAGTTGTGGCTCACGCCTGTAATCCTAGCACTTTGGGAGGCCAAAGTGGGTGGATCACGAGGTCAAGAGATCGAGACCATCCTGGCCAACGTGGTGAAACCCAGTCTGTACTAAAAATACAAAAATTAGTTGGGTGTGGTGGCGCATGCCTGTAGTCCCAGCTACTTGGGAGGCTGAGATAGGAGAATCGCTTGAACCCTGGAGGCAGAGGTTGCAGTGAGCTGAGATCACACCACTGCACTCCAGCCTGGCAACAGAGCGAGACTCCATCTCAAAAAACAAAACAAACAAACAAACAAAAAAACCCCATAAAAATTAGCTTGGCGTGGTGGTGCATGCCTGTAATCCCAGCTACTTGGGAGGCTGAGGCAGGAAAACCGCTTGAACCCGGGAGGTGGAGGTTGCAGTGAGCTGAGATTGCGTCACTGCACTCCAGCCTGGACGAAAGAGTGAAACTCCATCTCAAAAAAAAAAGATGAAATGTTACAGGTTAATGAAGAAAATATACAACTTTAGTACTTACTTATAAAGTTTTTCTAAGATGTCATCTTGTAAAGGATAAAGTTCAACTATTGTAATAAAATTTTGTTTTTAAGTAAATAAGATGGGAAATTCATGGCCACTGCCTCTTAGGGACAGTAAATTTTGATCTATATGACCAAGGCTCCACCACTGCTGCAGGGTGGTGACATAAGAGGATTTCAAGGAGATATTTATTTCTGATTTTGTCATCAGGAAAATTAATTTACTCATTTTTACAGGCAAATGGCATAACTCTGAATGATTTTAACCTCTTATAAAAGCTTTGTTGTTTCCATTTTCTTTCTTTTTTGTCATCAGCAAGAGAACACTCAGTCCTGGAGAGCGCTCTGGGGACAGCATCCTCAACACCGCCCTCTTCGTTGGCCTTGACCTCAGCACCCCTTGATAAGTTTTTATTCCATGTGCTTGAGCCCTGACTCTTCCTGCCTTTTCTTCCCCGCTTCTCTCTCCTTTTCTCTGACACTCTCCAGTCAGTTTGTCCTTATGTCCCTCATCACTTCCCACCAGCTGGCAACTGAGTGGGTTTCTAGAAGCCACAGGTGAGAGTTTCCATGGAGGATGCTTCTCTTTCCAAGGCACCTTGGGTTAAAGCAACTGCGGGTTCGGTGCCTACTGAAGCTGAACGTGTGCATAGCTCTGCCTCTGGGATTCCATTCCTGAGTCTGAAAAATGAGTCTATGTCCATCAAAGGCATGTACAGGAGTGTTCATGGCAGCTTTATTCATAATAACTCAAAGCTAGAAACAATGCAAATGCTCATCAACAATGAAATAGATACATTGTGATCAGTCACATCATGGAATGATATACAGCGAAGAAAAAGGATGAATTACAGGTCGAGCACGGTGGCTCATGCCTCTAATCCCAGCACTTTGGGAGGCTGAGGCGGGTGGATCACGAGGTTGGGAGTTCGAGACCAGCCTGGCCAATATGGTGAAACCCCGTCTCTTCTAAAAATAAAAAAATTAGCTGGGCATGGTGGCACGAACTTGTAGTCCCAGCTACTCAGGAGGCTGAGGCAGGAGAACCACTTGAACCCTGGAGGCAGAGGTTGCAGTGAGCTGAGATTGCACCACTGCAGCCTGGGTGACAGAGCAAGACTCTGTCTCAAAAAAAAAAAAAAAGAAAAAGAAAAAGGATGAATTGTTGCTATATGCACCACCATCCACCAATGAATGGCAAAAACAACAATGAGCAAAAGAGGCCAAACACACAACTAATGCATATAGAGATGTCTCCATAAGTCTGTCTAGCACTCTGTTTCCATAGGTACAAATCACACAGGCAAAGCCAATGCATAGTGATGGAGACTAGAAGAGTGGTCACCTCTGGGGGATACTGACTGGGAGGGGCACAAGGAGCCCACTGGAGTCCAGAAGCGTCCTATGTCATAATGTGGTTGGTGGCCACATGGGCCTATACACATGTAAGAAACTGTCATGACTTGTACACTTTACTGTATGTAAGTTACACCTCAATCAAAAAGTGAGAAAATATTCTCACACCCATAATCCCAGAACTTTCAGAAGCTGAGGCAAGAGGATTGCTCGAGCCTTGGAGTTTGAGACCAGCCTGGGCAATATAGCGAGACCTTGTCTCTACTATTTAAAAAATATATATATTGAGATCATGCCACTGCACTCTAGCCTGGGCGACAGAACGAGACTCCGTCTCAAAAAAAAAAAAAAAATTAAAAAAAAAAATATATATATATATATATTTTTTGAGACGGAGTCTCGTTCTGTTGCCCAGGCTGGAGGACAGTGGTGCGATCTTGGCTCACTGCAACCTCTGCTTTCTGGGTTCAAGCAATTCTCCTGCCTCAGCCTCCTGAGTAGCTGGGATTACAGGCGCGCGACACCACACCCAGCTAATTTTTGTATTTTTAGTACAGATGGGGTTTCACCATGTCGGCCAGGCTGGTCACGAACTCCTCACCTCAAGTGATTCCCCCGGCCTCAGCCTCCCAAAGTGCTGGGATGACAGGTGTGAGCCACTGCGCCCGGCCTAGTTATTTCCTTTTAAAAAGGAATTTGGAAAAAGCTCAGTTTTGTTTCATCAAACACATTTCCTGTTAATTTAGACTCATGTACATTACCACATGGAAATTTGATTTTTAAACTGCATAGCTGTCACTCTAAAAGTTAAAAAAAAATAAAGAAATAACGCCTGTTGAGGTTGTGGTGTGGCAGGCTTGCTGTTTTCTCCCCAGGAAAACAATTTACAGCAACGCTGGCATTAAGTACAGAAAAGATTTACTCCAGCTGAAAATCACATACAATTTCTAAACAGCCTCCATTTATATACACAGTAATTTACAAAATGCCTCGTGGTGGGAACGCTGTTGTGGGAGATTTGTTTCATTTATCCCGTGTGACCCGCAGAGAGAGGAAATGCAGCTGGGGTGTGGCTGGGGGGAGAAGTGAGGCCCCCTGAGGGAGGCTGCCAGGGCAGGGAGAGGCCTGCATGCTGGTGAGAGACAGGGTTGGGTGCAAGTTACCTTGGGGACTGCAGGATGCAGACCACCTGCCTCTCCTTCAAAACAGTAGTCTTCTCTGTGCCCACACATCCTTGTCTTCCTCCTTCTTTTTTTATCCCCACCCTCTCTCAGTGATTCCCTCTCTCTTCCCAATCTTCCCTCACATAAAACCTCAAGGCTGTGGAAGAAAGATCTCACAATGCTTTACAGCATTCTAAGTTATTTTCTTTTAAAAAGGAATGTGGAGAAAGCTCAATTTTGTTTTACAAAACGCACTTCCTGTTCATTTAGACTCTTGTACATAATGGTGGAAATTTGATTTTTAAACTACATAGCTGTCACGCCAAACGTTAGAGTGTTCAGTATTTGGAAGGAGAGGCCACGCCGCATGGCATGATGGGGTGGGGTTGCCAGGAGGAAGAGTAGGGGACCCTCTGGTGGCTCCACTCAGCCTTTCCTCTGTTGCCCTGAGGATTCAGGTATCACTGCAACCTGGCCCAAACCCTGCATTCACCGGGCTCTGCTCCACCCTCTGCCTAGTAGCCAGGGGTATGACTCATCCACTGTGTCTTACTATCTGCTGTCTATGCTCCTTTCCCCAGGAAAAGAGCCGGAAGTGAAACAGTCTCACCTCATTTTGTGTCCAGTAAGGTATCTGCACTCTTTAGAGATTGATGTCTGGGCCACTACAGTTGGCTTAGCCTTTATCGTGTTAATTTATTTTGAATTTTTTTCGTAGAAACAGAGTTTTGCTAGGTTGCCCAGGCTGGTCTCGAACTCCTGGGCTCAAGTGATCCTCCCACTTCAGCCTACTAAAGTGTTGGGATTACTGGCCCTGGCCCAGGCTTTAAATCAGCCCTGCGGGGAGTTTTTGCTGGAGCATTTAAAAAATCCCCAGTAAGAATAAAAAATCTGGTCACTTACCCTAATTATCAGTTCCCAGATCTTCAAGATTAGGGTGAGAATACTTAACACACAGGGTTGTTTTGAGGCTAAATGAGATACGAGGCCTGGTATACAGCAGGTGTGCAGTCGCGGTCGCTCCTCTCACTCGCATCGCACTCCCCCCGTTCCACGCCCCTTAAACAAGATGAGTTGCTAAGTTTATTTCAGACTGCTTGGCCGGCAATTAAGAGACACTCCCCCAACATGGGCAGAGCCAGCTTGGTTCCAGCCTGATGGAACTCCCTGGAACTCCATATTCTACTAGATTTGTGACAGCCTGATGCAGCTGCTTTGATGCAAGAGCATTTTTGATACAGTTTTAAAAACCATCATTGTTTTTGTTTTTGTTTTGTTTTTGAGGAGTCTCGCTCTGTCACCCAGGTTGGTGCAGTGGCGCGATCTCGGCTCACTACAACCTCCGCCTCCTGGGGTTCAAGCGATTCTCCTGCTTCAGCCTCCCGAGTAGCCAGGACTACAGGCACGCGCCGCCATGCCCAGCTAATTTTTGTATTTTTTAGTAGAGATGTGTTTTCTCCATGTTGGCCAAGCTGGTCTCGAACTCCTGACCCCAAGTCATCCACCCACCTCACCATCCCGAAGTGCTGGGATTACAGGCGTGAACCACCGCACCCAACCCATTGTTATTTACCTTAAGAAACATTACGAATTGTAAACATTCTTGCTCCTTCCCTGAGATTAACCCTATTGAAGACATCTCTGCTCTCCTATCCCCGGATGGATGTCAGTTCTGCAGTAATCCCTACCCTTCTACCCCAAATGCAGCTGAAACTTATTTTTTATTTTATTTTATTTATTTATTTATTTTTTTTTTGAGACGGAGTCTCACTTTGTAGCCCAGGCTGGAGTGCAGTGGCACGATCTCGGCTCACTGCAACCTCTGCCTCCCGTTTCAAGCGATTCTCCTGCCTCAGCCTCCTGAGTAGCTGGGATTACAGGCACCCACCACCATGCCTGGCGAATTTTTGTATTTCTAGTAGAGACAGGGTTTCACCATGTTGGCCAGGCTGGTCATGAACTCCTGACCTCAAGTGATCCGCCCACCTCAACCTCCCAAAGTGCTGCGATTACAGGCGTGAGTCACCTGCAGCGCCTGGCTGCAGCTCAAGCTTTTTACAGTGGTTTGCCATTATGGTATTCATTCAGATAATGTTTTCCTACTAGGAATTACAAACTTGAAACACTTTTTAAAGCTCAAAAATATTTAAAACAGGTCAGGCGCAGTGGCTCACGCCTGTAATCCCAGCACTTTGGGAGGCCGAGGCGGGCGGATCACGAGGTCAGGAGATGCAGACCATCCTGGCTAATATGGTGAAACCCTATCTCTACTAAAAATACAAAAAATTAGCCGTGTGTGGTGGTGGGCACCTGTAGTCCCAGCTACTTGGGAGGCTGAGGCAGGAGAATGGTGTGAAACCGGGAGGCGGAGCTTGCAGTGAGCCAAGATTGTGCCACTGCACTCCAGCCTGGGTGACAGAGTGAGACTCCATCTCCAAAAAAAAAAAAAAAAGAAAAAAAAAAATTTAAAACAAATTAAAAGGATCTACTAATCCTCACATTTTTTTCTTTACTAATCATTTTGGATTTCTTCCTTTGAATTATTGGGCAGGGAAGATATTTAAATATGGAAGATTATTGCTCTAATTTGAATGAAATAAATGTTTATTAATGAGAGGCAAAAAAAAAAAAAAAAAAAGTGGACTTGCAGCTAAGTTCATCCATGGGGACCAGATAGTGTTTTACAGACTTAAAAAAAAGTTACAACTCTTAATAACACTTATTTGTGTAGTATAATCAAAACTGGCCAGGCATGGCGATTCATGCCTGTAATCCCAGCACTTTGGGAAGCCGAGGTAGGAGGATCAGTTGAGGCCAGCAATTAGAGACCAGCCTGGACAACACAGTGAGACTCTATCTCTACAAAATATAAAAAATAAAAACTTAGCCAGTCATGGTGGCATGTGCCTGTAGTCCCAGCTACTCAGGAGGATCACTTGAGCCCAGGAATTCCAGGATATAGTGAGCTATGATTGTGCCACTGCACTCCAGGCTGGGCAACAGAATAAGGCCCTGTCTCCAAAAAAAAAAACAAAAAAACAACAACAACAACAAAAAAACCCTATGAACAAAACCCAAACATATTTCACAAAAGAATACTTTTTGTTTTTTTGAGGCAGAGTCTCACCCAGTCACCCAGGCTGGAGGGCAGTGGTGTGGTCACAGCTCACTGAAGTCTTGACCTCCCTGGGCCCAAATTCTCCCACCCCAGCCCCCCAAGTAGCTGGGACCACAGGTGTGTGCCACCACGCCCAGCTAATTTTTGTATTTTTTGTAGAGACGGGGTTTCGCCATGTTACCCAGGCCAGTCTCAAAATCCTGGGCTCAGGCAATCCACCTACCTCGGCCTCCCAAAGTGCTGGCATTACAGGCGTGAGCCACTGCATCCAGCAACAATACCTATTCCCCCACCACCCCACACAGATATTTTCCATTCCATTCTATTTCAATTAAAAGAAAATCCAGGCCGGGTGCAGGGGCTCACACCTGTAATCCCAGCACTTTGTGAGGCCGAGGCGGGTGGATCACCTAAGATCAGGAGTTCAAGACCAGCCTTGTCAACATGGCGAAACCCTGTCTCTACTTAATAATAATAATAAAAAATTAGCTGGGCATGGTGGCAGGCACCTGTAGTCCCAGCTACCTGGGAGGCTGAGGCACAAGAATCCCTTGAATCTGGGCAGTTGAGGTTGCAGTGAGCCGAGATCGCGGCACTGCACTCCAGCCTGGGCAACAGAGTGAAACTCCATCTTAATTTAAAAAAATAAAGAGAAAGAAAATCTTAGGCTGGGCCTGGTGGCTCACACCTGTAATCCCAGCACTTTGGGAGGCTGAGGCGGGCAGATCATCTGAAGTCAGGAGTTTGAGACCAGCCCGGCCAACATGGTGAAACCCCACCTCTACTAAAAATACAAAAATTAGGTGGGTGTGGTTGCACATGCTTGTAGTCCCAGCTACTCGGGAGGCTGAGGTAGGAGAATTGCTTGAACCCAGGAGGCGAAGGTTGCAGGAAGGCAAAGGTTGCAGTGAGCCGAGATCGCGCCACTGAACTCAAGCCTGGGCAACATAGCAAGACTCTGTCTCAAAAAAAAAAAAAAAATCTTGTTTTGGCCCACTAAGCTTATTCTACTTCCTGCTAATGGATTAGGATACTCTTTGAAAACTAGTAGGCTAGAATGAAGAATGGCTCTGCGAAATAGAGAAAAATACATGTATAGTTCTTGGTGATAACTGAGAAAAATCACAGGAGGAGGAGAGGTGGGAAAGGGAAGCGTGAGGAGAGCTGTGCAGATGTCACAAGAAAAGAGCAATAAGGGGGCAAAATGACCAGGAGTCATTGGCTACCCGAGGGACTTTTAAACACAGACATTTCTGATGTCTGTTTCAAGCTGTTTGCCTTGAAGCATTGTGACCTACTCTTTTTTTTCTTTCTGTGAGCCTATGGATTATATTGAAAGATCTACTCTCTGTTCCTTAACATCAGCTAAGTCTATTCTTCACACAAATGCCTCTGGAAAGTAGGTTTTAGGTGGAAAAGTGGGGGATGGCTGAGTCTCATTTCTGGGTCAAGGAAGTACAGAACCCAGACAGTACTTACAGGGCCTGGGTGAGATCCATCAGCTCAACTCATGGTGGGAGCAGGGCTCACACTCAGGAAGTCACAGAAATGAATGCAAATTCCTGGGCACGCGATGGACACTCTCACCAATCTTATTTGGAGAGCAAGGTTATACCAGCATCGTCAGACCGAAGAACCCAAATCCTGACTACTCAGTGACAGTTTTGAGAGCAGCAGGAGGCAGCCAAATGCCTGGGCAGATAGGGGTGCATCCCCCATGAAACCCCACCTGCAAGCTGAAGATAGCTTAAAGCCAGAAAGCCAAGCTACAAGTGAAATCCTCAGACCGGATTAAGAACCTGTCATCCCGCTTGGCGTGCTTTCCTCTGATTAATCCCACGCTTCACCTATTTGACATATACCTACCCTTTCCTAACTGGTTTCCTACACTGTCATGCCCACCTTTGAGTGGTGTCTTCGCTTTAACCATTTTGGCATACTCACAAACCAATCAGCAGGCATTCCCCATCCTGAGTCCATAAAAGGCCTCGGACCCAGCCACACAGGGGGACTTTCCCGCCATCGGATAGGGGAACTACCCAGCGCCCCCGCTCCGTGTCCCCTCTCTGCTGAGAGCTGTTCCATCGCTTAATATGATTCTTCTCTGCCCTCCTCACCCTTCAATGTCCAGCATATCCTCATTCTTCTTGGGTGCGGGTATAAGAGCTTGGAAACCACTGAACGCAGGTCCAAGCAGTAACACAGGTGAGCTGGGGCACGCAAGTGTGGCTAACCGAGGCCCAGGCGGAATGTTACCGGCTGAGGTTCCCCGGCTTGCAAAGTGATCAAGAAGAAAAATCCGACATCGGTTTCATACTCAAACAAGAGAGAAGGGCAGAGGAAAAAGGAGAAAGGTATGTGAGGAGGGGGAGGCCCTTCAAGACAGAAGGAGCACTCATGGCTAATGGACCTAATAAGGAGCTCTCTTCTGGAACCAAGAAGGGTTGAAATAGAGACTGGATGAAACCATATGAGGGGGTGAAGAGAGCCATGTGGGACAGAGAGGGATGGGTGGAAGCAGGGAAGATGTGAGGGTCAGAAGAAAGATAGGCAGGGATGGATGGGACTCAGAGTGGAAGAAAGGAGAGAGTATGAAGGGAGAGAATGAAGCAGAAATAATGATAATATTAGGAAAACCTATCTAGTGACATAAAAACTGGCCGGGCGCAGTGCCTCATGCCTGTAATCCCAGCACTTTGGGAGGCCAAGGTGGGTGGATCACTTGAGGTCAGGAGCTCGAGACCAGCCTGGCCAAGATGGTGAAACCCCATCTCTACTAAAAATACAAAAATCAGCCTGGTGTGGTAGTAGGCGCCTGTAATCCCAGCTACTCGGGAGGCTGAGGCAGGAGAATCGCTTGAACCGGGGAGGCGGAGGTTGCATTGAGCCAAGATCACGCCATTGCACTCCAGCCTGGGTGACAGAGCAAGACTGTCTCAAAAAAAAAAAAAAAAAAAGTTGTCCTTAGACAGACAAAGAGGCACTCCAATTTGAGTTATCACTTAACCCCTGAAGGTCAACGTAACTTTTGCCAGTCCCTAGAGGTGAAATAAGGAAACTACTTCATTGGAGACCGTGCCCCCTGGGTGTTGTAGGCACGGCTTTCCCTGCTCTGTGCTTCATTACTGTACCTTTTCCTCTTACTGTACCAAACACAGTGTCAATGCAAACACACAACTATCTGCTGGGTGGAAGAATCTCAGCTCCAGACATGCTAGGTTATGCAGGTGGCATCCTCAGAGTTAACAGCTTTGACTTTTTTCTCTGAGTCCATTTAAAATTACACATGTGTTTGGTCTTGTTTTATAACTTTGAAACAAATCTTTTTAGGACAACTGCTTTGTGCTTGGCTTCCAGGAACTGCAATCATTTTACTGACTCTTAGTTATAGTTTTTGTCTGGATTGTTTTTTATCATCTTTACTTCTGGCATGGACAGCTGGAGATTCTAACACAGAGTTACCTGTTTCAGCTTCAATGCTGTGATGTTCATATTGTGTTGGTTCAAATGTCTTTGAGAACTAAGATTCATTCTTCCCAGAGATTCTTATCAGTTACTTTCCTTTCTGTCCTTGCTCCTTACCTAGGCATCTGAGAATGCTTCCTAGATGAGCACATGTTTACTGCATTTGAAAATTAAGCTAGTGTCTAAATCTCTAAATATATCTCAAGATGTAAAGGTTTCACTTATTTATTTATTTATTTTGAGACAGAGTCTTGCTCTGTTGCCCAGGCTGGAGGGCAGTGGTGCGATCATAGCTCAGTGCAGCCTAAACTCCTGGGCTCAAGTGATTCTCTGGCCTCAGCCTCCTGAGTCACTGGGACTACAGGCATATGCCATCATGCCCAGCTAATTTTTCTTTTTTTGTGGAGATGGGGGTCTTGCTATATTGTCCAGGCTGGTCTGGAACTCCTGGCTTTAAGTGATCCTCCCACCTTGGCCTCCCAAAGTGCCAGGATTACAAGCATGAGCCACTGTGCCCAGCCCAGATTTTCAACAGACCACAATGACAGCATCGTGTCAACAAAAATACCAATATTTCAACACTGAAAAATAATACAGCATACGGGAATATTTATATGCCAAGACATCAGAACGCCACAAAGTGGGGGTGCAGTCTGTACCCTTGAATGTCAAAGGGGTGTTCTCTGTAATTGTTGAGGCAAATCATGAAAAGTCTCGCATTGCTCAGCAGCACAGTATCAGACTCTTCCTTTTTTCCCCTGCCTCTGCAGCCACCTGTCCTGGCGGCCCCACCGCCTGCTGAAAGCCAATCCTGTCCACCGACTGGAATTCTTACTCACCTTCCTCACCCGAGCAATATGCAATCTGAAACAGCGACGCTAGGGGGAGCCGTTACGCTCCAGATGCCTAAGTAGGCCATCCTCGGGAACTTCCCATTAACCGGGTTCCTGGGGGGCAAAGTGAATTGTCATAGGCAAGTCAAAAGCAGACTGCAACTATCCTCATAAAAAAATTTTTTAAAGGAAAAAATATCCAGCTAAGTGGCTTTTAAAGTTAGGAACATAGGAAGTCCTAGCCAGAGCAATTAGACAAGAGAAAGAAATGAAAGGCATCCAAATAGGAAAAGAAGTCAAAACTCTCTCTCTTCGTTGACTGTATGATTCTATGCCTGTAAAACCCTAAAGACTCCGCCAAAAGGCTTCTGGAACTGACAAAAGACTTCAATAAAGTTTCAGGATACAAAATCAATGTACAATTAGCTGGGCGTGGTGGTGCACACCTGTAATCCCAGCTACTTGGGAAGCTGAGGCAGGAGAATCGCTTGGGCAAGGGAGGCAGAGGTTGCAGTGAGTTGAGATTACACCGCTGCACTCCAGCCTGGGTGACAGAGCAAGACTCTGTCTCAAAAAAGAAAAAATCAATTTACAAAAGCCAGTAGCATTTCTATACACCAATTACATTCATGCTGAGAGACAAAGCAATAATGCAATCCAGTTTACCCACACAAAAACAAAATACCTAGGAATACATCTTACTAAGGAGGTGAAAGTAGGAATACATCTAACTAAGGAGGAGAACTACAAAACACTGCTGAAAGAAATCAGAGATAACACAAACAAATAGAAAACCATTCCATGCTCATGGATTGGAAGAATCAATATCCTTAAGATGGCCATGCTGCCAAAAGCAATCTGTAGATGCAATGCTATTCCTATGACACTACCAATGTCATTTTTCACAGAACTAGACAGAACTATCCTAAAATTTCATATAGAACCAAAAAAGGGTCCAAATCACCAAAGCAATCCTAAGCAAAATGAACAAAGCCAGAGGCATCACATTACTCAACCTCAAACTATACAACAAGGCTACCATAACCAAAACAGCATGGTACTGGTACAAAAAAAAAAAAGAAAAAAAAAACCAGACACAGACGAATGGAACAGAACAGAGAACCCAGAAATAAAGCTGCACACCTACAGCCATCTGATCTTCAACAAAATCAACAAAAATAAGCAATGGGGAAAGGAACCCCTATTCAATAAATGGTTCTGGGATAGCTGGCTAGCCAAATGCAGAAGAATGGACCCCTACTTTTCACCAGATACAAAAATTAACTCAAGATGGATTAAATATTTAAATGTAAGACCTCAAACTATAATAATCCCAGAAGAAAACCTGGGAAACATCATTCTGGACATAGGCCTTAGGAAAGAATTTGTGATTAAGTCCTCAAAAGTAATTGCAACAAAAACAAAAATTGAGAAGTGGGACCTGTTAAACTAAAGAGCTTCTGTACAGCAAAAGAAACTATCAACAGAGTGATCACCTGAGGTCAGGAGTTCAAGACCAGCCTGGCCAACGTGGTGAAACCCCATCTCTACTAAAAATACAACAATTAGCCAGGTGTGGTGGCATGTGCCTATAGTCCCAGCTACTTGGGAGGCTGAGGCAGGAAAATTGCTTGAACCCAGGAGGCAGAGGCTGCAGTGAGCCAAGATCACACCACTGCACTCCAGCTTGGGCAACAAAATGAGACTTTGTCTCAAAACAAATAAACAAACAACAACGAAAATAAAAAAAACCAGAGTGAACAACATATAGAATGGGAGAAAATATTTGAAATTATGTATCTGACAAAGGTCTAATGTCCAGAATCTACAAGGAACTTAAACAATTAAACAAGGAAATAACCCCATTAAAAAGTGGGCAAAAGACAGGAACAGACACTTCTCAAGACATACAAACAGCCAAGAAACATATGAAAAAAAAGTTCATCATCACTAATCATCCAAGAAATGCACATCAAAACCACAATGAGATACCATCTCACACCAGTCAGAATGGCTATTATTAAAAAGTGAAGGCAACAACCTATTTCTCTGGGTGCCTTTTTTTTTTTTTCGACATGGAGTCTTGCTCTGTCACCCAGGCTGGAGTACAGTGGCACTATCTCTGCTCACTGCAACCTCTGCCTCCCAGGTTCAAGTGATTCTCCTGCCTCAGCCTCTCAAGTAGCTGGGATTACATGCACATGCCACCACACCTGGCTAATTTTTGTATTTTTAGTAGAGACAGGGTTTCACCATCTTGGCCAGGCTGGTCTTGAACTCCTGACCTTGTGATCCACCCGCCTCAGCCTCCCAAAGTGCTGAGATTACAGACGTGAGCCACCGTGCCTGGCCTCTTTCTCCTGTTAAACTTATACTACAAAAAAAAAAAAAGTGAAAAAACAGATGCCAGCAAGGCTGTGGTGAAAGGGAGCTCTTGTGCACTGTTGTTGCAAATGTAAATTAGTTCAGCCACTGTGAAAAGCGGTTTGGAGATTTCTCAAAGAACTTAGAACTACCATTTGACCCAGCAATCCCATTACTGGGTATATATCTCAAAGAAAATAAATTGTTCTACAAAAAAACACATGTACTCCTATGTTCACTGCCATTTTTCCATAAAATAGATAACATGTTTCTACACTCCAGGGATCCAGGAGCCCTAAGTGAACAACTCTTGGTCTAAACAGGGCTACAGAGAAGCGGAAGACAAGGGAAGGAGGCAGAGAGGCAGAAAGATGGAGAGACACACAGAGAGAGCCAGAAGGAAAGCGAGCAAGCAGCAGGGAGGGGGCCCAGCAGCCTCTTCCCTCCCCCCACCCCCAGTCACCTGCCCCGCCTCCGCATGTGCCTGAAGCCCTTGCAAGGCTAAGCCTGGGCTCATCTCTGAAGATGGGCTTCCCTCAGTGCCTCTCTGTGTCCCCTGCCCACCTCTCTCTCCTTATCAAAGCTGGCTCCCCACAGGAAAGGGAGCGCCATACTCACCGAGGTGCACCATTCGATTGCAACAGCAGGGCTCACAGCCCTGCGGTCTGTTAGGCTGTTTTACCTTGGCTCTCAGGTCCCCTGTTTACCTCTCAAGTCCCCTGTTTCTCATTTGTACAATGGAGGATTCACATACAGATGCTCCTCAATGAGGACAGGGTTACATCCCCATTAACTCATTGTAAATTCAAAATATCATAAGTCGAAAATGCATTGAGGAGGCTGGGTGCCGTAGCTTACTCCTGTAAACCCAGCACTTTGGGAGGCTGAGGCGGGCAGATCACTTGAGGTCAGGGGTTTGAGGTCGAGTTCCACCAGCCTGGCCAACACGATGAAACCCCGTCTCTACAAACAATGCAAAAATTAGCTGAGTGTGGTGGCGGGCACCTGTAATCCCAGCTACTCAGGAGGCTGAGGCAGGAGAATCGCTTGAACCCAGGAGGCAAAAGTTGCAGTGAGCTGAGATCATGCCATTGCACTCCAGCCTGGGAAACAAGAGCGAAACTCTGTCTCAAAAAAAAAAAAAAGCGTTGAATACACCTATAGAACATCACAGCCTAGCCACGCCTGCCTTAAATGTTCTCGGAACACTTATGTTAGTTGATAGTTGGGCAAAATAATCTAACACAAGCCTATTTTACATAGAGTGTTCAATACCTCATGTATTTAGTGAAAATCAGAAAAGTTGTATGGATGGGTGCTGGAAGTATGGTTTCTACTGAATGCATGTTGTTGTTACCACCATCGTTAAGTCAAAAAATTTTTAAGGTGAACCATCCTAAGTCGGGGACATCTGTAGAGGATAATGGACATTTTTGAATGAATACGATGTCAGCTCAGAAGCACAGGGGGCAGTGGGAGTCAGGGTGTCATGGACAGACAGCAGGTGCAAAAGCTGCCAGGAAGACCAGCTAAGGCTCCCTCTCTTCTAAGACCTGTGGGTGACAGGAGCAGGGGGGCAGAATGAAGGGAACCTCCCTCTTTTGGCGGAGGGAGGGACCTCCCTTTTTGCATTTCTGCATAGTGTGGTGCTTTGTTTTTTTTTTTAGATGGAGACCTCAGGTGATCTGCCCGCCTCGGCCTCCTAAAGTGCTGGGATTACCGGCGTGAGCTACTGCACCCAGTTTGCTTAGTGTGGTCTTGTGATTAAAGAAGGTGGTTACTGCAGCGAGGCCATCAACCTTGTGTCTAAATCTGATCTCTGCCCTCGGCCTCTTCCCTTTCCTTGGGTGTCAGCTGGGGGATGGCCCAGAAGGGCATTTTGGAACTGACATCTATAAATTCCAACTTAACTTTTAACACTAAATATCTAGGCTTGGCTCTAGAGCTTTCATTCTAGAGTTCTTGCCAAGAGAAGAAGAGCTACAAGAAAAAGTCCCGTCGGGGATTTGAAGCAGGGCTAATGTAAGGAATAAAGTGGCTGGATTAGGCCCGCCCCTTTACAGGAATAAGGATTGCTGACATAATCTTCTTAACCTCCTGTTATTTTCTTATGGGTTATGTTTCCTAAGCATCTGGGGGCTGGGGGGCAGGTATTGTTCAGAAGAACAGAGACTTTGTTTTAGATGACTTGGGGCAAACAATGTTCCCATTCAAGGGATCAAGGTGGGAGTAATGGATGGAGGAAGAAAGGAATAGATCAAGTGTGAAAATTCGGTGCCAAACAACTTCCACAAGCTTCCTTCCAGCTGATCTGACCCTTTTCAGTGAGATGTGTGAACTACACTGTTGCTTTGAGATCTTTCCACTGAGGTGAACGTGGGAGCCACAGGCATTCCTTCATTTGCAATCCTACAAGACAAGGCTCTGGGCCAAAAGCGAATAATGAGCTCCTCCCCTCCAGTCAGTCAACAGGCAGTGCTCATTAGGAAAGCTCCCTAGAGAGACGCCCTCCTGGGCTTGCCGGCAGGTGTGTCTGCACACTCCCCACCTGCTCCCCGTGGCTGAGGCCAGCTGCTAAAGAGAAAGGGCTGCTGGGGCAAAGGGGAAGGGGGAACAAATCAAGAGGCACTTTAAAGACATCTCGTCATCACCTGCTTACTTGTCTGTCTGGGATACAGAGGGTTTGCTTGTTGCCCAGGCAACTCAAAAATCCATGATGTGGGGGGACTGGACACAGGGGCTCATGACTGTAATCCAAGCATTTTGGGAGGCTGAAGTGGGAGGATCACTTGAGCCCAGGAATTTGAGATCAGCTTGGACAACATGGCGAGACCTCGTATCTAAAACACAAAACAAAAAACAATAACAAAAACAGCCGGGTATGGTGGCGTGCACCTGTGGTCCCAGCTACTTGGTAGGCTGAGATGGGAGGATCACTGAAGCCAGGGAGGTCAAAGCTGCAGTGAGCTATGATTGCACCACTGCAACCCAGCCTGGGCGACAGAGCGAAACCCTGTCTCAAAAAAAAAAGAATCTGTGATGTGGGGAAATGTTTTTTAAAGCATGATCCCTGGGCCATAGAGGGCAGAATCATGTGTGCTTTTAAAATTCAGATTCCTGGATCGTACCGCAGACCTACTGAGTCAAAAATCCCTTAGGAATCTGTTTTCTCATAATTGTCCCTCACCTCTCTGGCCTCCAGGTGATGTTGATGCAAAGTAAAATTTGAGAATCTCTGTTCTAATAGAAGGAGCTCTTCTCTGAGACTCACAGGAAGTGGATTTCTAGTCCTGGTTTTCCTTCAAGCTAACGGGGCCTCAGTTTTATCATCTGTTGGTTTGGATCAGGGGTCAGCAAACCACAGCCCTTGGACCCAATCTGGCCCACAGCCTATTTTTGTAAATAAAGTTTTATTGGCGCATAGCCTTAGCCTTACTCATTTGTTTCTGTATTATCCATGACTACTTTTGTGCTACAACAGCAGAGATAAGGGATTGTGACAGAGACTGCTGTGGGGCCCTAACAAATCAATAAGTTAATAGGAACTAGGAAGGAGCCAGGCTAGCAGAACAGGGACCTAATCCAGGGAGCTAACCCTGTTTGCAACCCCTTTGTGTGAAAAACCACAGCCACTATCTTGCAACTCCAGAAATGAAGGTATGTGAGTTGCAAGGAGGCTAAGATCAGCAAAGTGTTTCCCTCAGGGACCTGGAAAGGCCTGGCAGTTATAATTCACCCCAACATATTCTAAGTGTATATAGCCAAATCTTACTTGCACATAACCCCTTCTAGCATGACCTTGTACAGCTTCCCTCTGGCCCCTCCATCTTTGCAGACAGCCCCTTCTCTGCTGTGCTGCCCCTTGCATTCTTGCAACTTATTCTCATCCTTTCTCTAATATATCTTCCTTTCTTTACCCATGACTGTCTTGGTAAATACTTTTACCACCCGTGACGACACGGGCCCCAGCAGTCACACCCAAGAGAACTGTCACAATTAGCCTGAAATGTTAACTGTGTGCCCTTTACAGAAAAAGCCTGCCAGTCCCCAGGTTGGATGATTTCTAAGCACTTTTCCAATCCTGAGATTCTTTTCAGAAGGATGAATTCCTCCCTCCGTAGACATATTTATATTGTTCCTGCGTCAAGAATTTCTTTTATTTTTGACATGGCCAGGGAGAGTGAGGAAAACCAGGGATGGAAGAGGAAGACAACATTTGGAGCTTGAGAATTAGGCGATTAGTACCACTGAAAAGACGAAGGGGGAATTGAAGAGAAGGCAGGATTCCTTTCTCAGAGTTTGTTTCAAACCAGTGAAGAGTGGTCTGGTCTAAAACTGTGAAGTATTGGGTTAGTACAAAAGTAATTGCGGTTTTTGCCATTACTTTTCATGTCAAAACTTGCAATTACTTTTGCACTAACCTAATAGATGAAATTGGTTTTGGTGCCTACAACCTTTCGCCTAGCCTCATTCAGAACACTTTCCAGGCTTAGAACTTACATCTCCAGACCGAACCCTCATATTTCCTTCTACCTTACAAAATTTCCTATATTTATCTCATCCATTCCGAAATAAAGATGTTAATCTGTAAATTCATCCATGCTGATAAGCTAATGGGGAAGAGAAAAAAAGCCCACTCTCAAGTAGAAAAAGGAATTTTAACTGCATTTCTGTTGTCTAATGGTTAGACTCTAACCTATGTGCCACTCTGATGTTGAGAATTTCAGTGTAATAAATGAATTGAGCATCTGCTCGGTTCTAGGACTTGGGCCACGTGCCCTGCCTCCGTGAGGAATGCACCATCCATCTATAGCATTCCCCCCCATTTCTTGTTGCAACGTCTCTTCACCACTCCCTCTCCCTCCTTCATGCGCTACAGACTGCAGCACCTGGTCCCAGGTTTCTTCTGCAACCTGGTTCCTGCCGCTGCCTCAGCAGCTTCAAGGTCTGTGCCAACAATACATCCAACACTGAAGCCTCTTGGTTACCTGATACCCTCATCTCCAATGACCATCTCCTACGCTCCACCGTGGTCACCGTCTCCCACAGTCAGACCTTGGACTTCTTATCTCCAGAAACTTGAGCCAGAGTCACTCAAAGCCAGGAGTGTCCACTCACTGCCCCCCAAGCCCAACACATACCACTGACTTTTTTTTTCTTTTTTCTTTTGTATTTTTAGTAGAGACGGGGTTTCACCATGTTAGCCAGGATGGCCTCGATCTCCTGACCTCGTGATCCGCCCGCCTCGGCCTTCCAAAGTGCTGGGATTACAAGCATGAGCCACCGCGCCCGGCCCCAACACCACTGACTTTTTAACTCACACTACTCACTTTTTAAGCCTGTTGTTAACTCTTCCTAGGATTATGACTTATTGCAGGCAACAAGCCTAGGGAGACAAGAGGACCCAAACAGAGCCTCGTAACCATTAGTTCATGACAGAATCCAAGATATCCCCAAATATTGCCAAGGGGGAAGAGAGCTGAGTCGGCAATCTGGGTCTGGTTGAGGGACCTTGGGAGGCCCCACAAAACTATTAGATGCGGAGAGAGATGGTTGGGTTGGGCACTGAAATAATGGGTAGCGCTAATAAAATACATTCATATATAGAGATATTTTTAGATGGAGTCTCACTTTGTCGCCCATGCTGGAGTACAGTGACACAATCTTGGCTCACTGCAACCTCTGCTCCTGGGTTCAAGCAATTCTCCTGCCTCAGCCTCCTGAGTAGCTGGGACTACAGGCATGTGCCACCACGCCTGGCTAAGTTTTGTATTTTTAGTAGAGATGGGGTTTCACTATGTTGGTCAGGTTGGTCTCGAACTCCTGACCTCAAGCAATCCACCCGCCTTGGCCTCCCAAAGTGCCGGGATTACAGGTGTGGGCCACCGCGCCCAGCCCATAAATACATTAATATGTTTAAGTTCAAATAGCATTTTAGGCCAGGCGCAGTGGCCCATGCCTGTAATCCCAGCACTTTGGGAGGCTGAGGTGGATTATTTGAGCCCAGGAGTTCAAGACCAGCCTGGGCGCCACATAGCTGGGTCCTGTTTCTACAAAAAAATTTTTAAAAAATTAGATGGGCGTGGCAGTGCATGCCTGTAGTCCCACCTACTCAGGAGGCTGAGCAGGAAGGATTGCTTGAGCCTGGGTGGTTGAGGCTGCAGTGCACCATGATTGCACTGTTGCACTTCAGCCTGAGTGACAAAGTGAGAACCTGTCTCTTAAAAAAAAAAAAAGAAAAAAAAATTAGCATTTAAAAAATAAGAATTTTTAAAATACTTATTTTGTGGAAAACAGTTTCACAAAATTACAGATTACTTTAACATTAATTATAAGTTACAGCCTAAGGTATAACAGAAAGTAAACAGGCTGGGCGTGGTGGCTCATGCTGAGTCAGGAGGATTACTTGAGCCCAGGAGTTCAAGACCAGCCTGGGCAACACAGCAAGACCTCATCTCTACAAAAAAACCAAAAACTCAGCCGGGTGTGGTGGTGCACACCTGTGGTTCCAGTTATCAGGAGGCTCAGGTGGGAGGATTGCTTAAGCCCAGGAGGCAGAGGTTTCAGTGAGCTGAGATTGCATCACTGCACACCAGCCTGGGGATACCCTGTCTTAAAAAAAAAAAAAAAATAGTGTAAGGAATGATAGAATTAGCAAAATCAACTATTTGGCAGCTGTCATAGTAATACTTTGCTAACATTTATTCAGGTAAAACTCACAGAAGGACGTGGGTAAAAAAAACCAAGTGGGTAAAAATTTGTTGAGGAATAGAATATATACATGGGCTCAAAGTATCTGTTCACAATTTGAATGGGGTGCATGGATTACATGGTAGTACTGTATCAATGTTAATTTCCTGATGTTGATTGCTGTAACTTTTATCATTTTCTTCTTTCTGCTTCCTTGGGGTTTAGTGTGCTCTCTTTTTTTTGGTAAAAATTTAGGTTATTGATTTGAAAACCTTTTTTTTTCAATGTAGTTTACAGCTATAAATTTCCCTTTAAGCTATAAATTTCCCTCCTTTCACTACATCCCATAAGTTTTGGTATGTTGTGTTCTTATTTTCATATATTTCAAAGTATTTTCTAATTTCCCTTCTGATTTCTTATTTGAGCCATTGGTTATTTAGTTCTTGTATGTTTAAAGCTTTTTTTTCTAAAGCTACAATACTTAAAGGTACACCTTAGCTGAATATAAAATTCTTACTTTTCTTGAGTTTCCTAAAAATGAGGCTTTATGTTGGCCTTGCTTTGTATATTGCTTTAGAGAAGTTTAATGCCAGAATAATTCTCTTGTCTTTTTAAGTTAGTTGACTTTTCTTTTTCTTCTCAAGACTCTCAGGGTTTTTTCTGTGTCCCTAAAGTCTAATCATTTTACCAGGTGCTTTAGTTAACCAACCACACCAAAACTTAGTGACTTAAGACAATAATGATTTATTATATCTCACGATTCTGCAACTTGAGTTGGAATTACATGTGCAATCCTTCTGTTACTCATGGTCTCTGTTGGGACACTCATATTTATTGCCTTAGCTAGCGTGGCTAAAACACAGGGTAGTTGGGCCTCTTTATATGGGGGCTCATGGCTCCAAGTAGGAGCATTCCAAGAGGACAACCCCTAATACACAAACACTTAACAAGCACCTGCTTGCAACATGCTGATGTCTTATTGACCAAAGCAACTCACATGGCCAAGCCAGAGTCAGTGTGGGAGGAGATTACAAAGGACGTGAATGCCAGGTGGTGTGATTCATTTCAGTTACAGCCACAGTTTACCTTGCCAGGATACGTTTCAGAATTGATAATTCCAAATCAGTTTTCTCAGTACCCAGTGGACCCTATCAATATGTAGACTCAAGTCTTCTTATATTTCTGGGTAGCGTTCTGTTTTGGTTTTTCTCAGCTTTGCAGATATTATTTTTCGGCTGTGGTGATGGAAATTTTACCGGCCAAAATCTTTTGCTTTTCTTTTTCTGTTTCTTTCTTGAAGTAGGTTTATATAAGTGAAGACTGTTTACATCTACGCATTTCCTGAGCAGGGTTGGTGGTGAGTTTGGGAGCATCCTCTTCTGATGGTGTAGTAAAGTATATTTCTTCAATGGGCAGCTTTTGGGAAGGAGTCAAGGGAAGAGTTTAGCTGTCCTTTGACTTTTTGGTTTTCTTTCATTTTGCAAGATTCTGAAACTTCCCCTCAGGATTCTTTTCCCCTTTACTACTCAGTTTCCACAGGGCACTTCTGCCTCTCCTACTCCCCATTTTTTTGCTCTCTTTGCCCTGAGAAGATGACTACATCCTCGAATCTTGCATGTACTCTTAAGGTCCTGTGACCTCTAACCTGACAAGACTCTTCCAATATTTTCATAATGTTGAGTGGAACTTTGATTTTAGCTCAATCCTCTTTTCTCTTTCTCTCTCTCTCTCCATTTTTGTTTTTGTTTTTGTTTTTGTTTTTTTATTTGAGACAGAGTCTTGCTCTGTCACCCAGGCTGGAGTGCAGTGGTACGATCTTGGCTCACTGCAACCTCTGCCTCCCCGATTCAAACGATTCTCCTGCCTCAGCCTCCCAAGTAGCTGGGACTACAGGTGTGCACCACTATGCCTGGCTAATTTTTGTATTTTTAGTAGAGATCAGGTTTCACCATGTTAGCAAAGCTGGTCTCGAACTCCTGACCTTAAGTGATCTACCTGCCTCAGCCTCCCGAAGTGCTGGGTTTACAGGCGTGAGCCATTGCGCTGGGCCCCTTTTCTCTCTTAAGTGAAGTTTTTCTAGACCTTCTGGCTCTCTGCAAAGTTTGGCAGTGGGGTCTCAAGAGAAATCTCTGCTGTAGGACAGTGTTTACTTTCCTGCTTTAGGTAATTTGAAGTTTGCAGTGTTTGTCTTCTTGTTATGCTAAAGGTGTGTGATGAGTATGGTTGTATTCTTTTTGTTGAAAAACAGTAAGAGGTAGATATGGAGGGACTTGGGGTAGGTGGCCACAGTGATCTTGGCTACCCAGATCATTTGAGCCCTCATTCTTTTTTTTTTGAGATGGAGTCTTGCTCTGTCACCAGGCTGGAGTGCAGTGGAGCCATCTTGGCTCACTGCAACCTCCGCCTCCCAGGTTCAAGCAATTCTCCTGCCTCAGTCTCCTGAGTAGCTGGGATTACAGGTGCGCGCCACCACACCCAGCCAAGTTTTTTGTATTTTTTTTTAGTAGAGACAGGGTTTCATAATGTTGGCCAGGTTGGTCTCGAACTCCTGATCTCTGGTGATATGCCTGCCTTGGCCTCCCAAAGTGTTGGGATTACAGGCGTGAGCCACCGTGCCCGGCTGAGCCCTCATTCTTGAGAGATAGTTTAGCTGGCTGATAATTCCTGGTTTACAGTTGCTTTTCTTTGAATAAAGTAAAATATATTCCCGAATCCTGACTTCCGCTATTGCTGTAAAGAAACCAGCCTTTGGTGTAATTGCTATTCCTTTATGACTGATCTGTCTCCATTCTGGCTGCTTCATTTTTTCCCTTCTGGTATTCTTCCATTTTCCTATAAGGTGTCCAAATGCACGTAAAAAAATTACTCATCTTAGCATTGACTTGGCTCCATGGACTTGATGATCAATATCTTTCAACAATTCTAGAAAATTCTTAGCTCTTAGCACTTGAAATGTTTCTTTTTCCCATTACTTTTTCTAGAATGCTGATTTAATGTCATTTCACGTCTATTTCTTTGTCTTTCTGTGCTGCATTTGGGATAACTTCTTCAAATTAATCTTGTGTTAGTTATTTATTGTGGCATAACAAATTACTCCAAAAGGGAGCAGCGTAATGCAGCAAAGGTTGATCATTTCACAGTTTCTGAGAGTCAGGAGTCCAGGCGTGGCTTGGTTTGGTGGTTCTGGCTTAGCGTCTCACAAGGAGCCGTCAGCCAGGGCTGTGGTCGTGTGAGGGCATCACCAGGGCTAGAGTAGCTGCTTCCAAGGCCTTGGCTTGCCCCAACGCCTTAGCTCCTTGTCACCTGGCCTCTCCACAGGGCTGCTGGAGTGCCCTCATGACATGACAGCTGGCTTCCCCAGACAGGGATCCAAGAGAAACAGCAAGAAGCTACTGGAAGCTACAGTGACTTCTATGACCTTATCTCCAAAACTGTAGAGCTTCACTTCTGCTTTATTCTATTTGTTAGAAGCAAAAAGCTAAAGAATTCTGGACATTTAAAAAAATCACTTCTTTATTTCACTAATCTCTCATCAGTTGTTTCTTCTGTTGTTTCTAATTAAATTATTAAATTGTTCATACCTATTAATTCTATTAGGTCTTTTTTTTTTCCAAATCTGCCTTGCCATTTTTCATAGTATCTTGTTCCTTAGTTATACCCCTGATACCTTCTTTTATTTCTTTAAATATATTAAATTATTTTGTATCCTTTATTAATTTTAGAATATGGAAGTCTTTGGAGAATAGGCTCTCACTCACAATGTCTTGTTCTCATTTGTGTGTTTTGCTAGTTTTGACTACGAACTTTTCATTTACCTTGCAAATTTCTCTGTGGGAATTCCTTGACACCGGAACTGAAATTGCATTCCTCCAAAGAAATGGTGCATTTGTTTCTTCCAGTTGCATGAAATCACAGTCATCCAGGACCCTTGGAGTTATATTCTTGGCTTCAGGTTCAAATCACACAGAGAAAAGTGTATATTTGGAACAAACAATGTTCATGGAGGCAGTTATGGTTACAAATTCTCAGGGGGGATTCACCATACTCCTGCCAACCAACGCTAAATTTGAAGCAATAAAGTTTCTTTGATGTCCTGTTCTTCAGGATTTCTTCTTTTTTCCTCCCTCACCTTCACAGTGAAAGTATATCCCTTTGGAAGCCTCCTATTACATTCTGTAATTGGCTGGAGCTTAGGCTCAATCTCTCGCCCCCCATATGCTGTGCTGTCTTTGGCGTTCAGCAGAAACTCTCACAGCAGAAGCTGGTGCTGGTGCTTATTACCAATGATTTTTGCTTTCACTTTGTTTTTGACTTTTATTGGTAAGATCAGGGCAGCTTAGCAATGCAAATTACAAAGATTTTCATACATAGTCCAGAATTTGGGCTGTTTTCATTGGGAAGGTCACTGAAAGTATCTAATCTTCCAAGTGCTGGAAATACAAATTCCCCAGTTACTGCTCAATCCATTTGCAATTGCCTTTACTCCCATCCACTGAAGTTGTTCTTTTCAATAACCTCCATGATGTCAAATCAAATTGTCTGAGTCATCATCTTATTTGATTTTTTTTTTCTTTTAAAGACAGGGTCTTGTACAGTGGTAGCATCATAGCTCACTGCAGCCTCAAACTCCTGGGCTTTAAGTGATCCTCCTACCTCAGCCTTCTGAGTAGCTCAGACTATGAGCTAACCACACCTGGCTAATATATATATATATATTTTTATATATATTATATATGTAACAAAATATATATATGTGTATATATATTTCTTTTTTGTAGAGACAAGGGTCTCACTTTGTTGCCTAGCTAGTCTCAAACTCCTGGCTTCAAGCAATCCTCCCACCTCGGCCTCCCAAAGTGCTGGAATTACAGGTGTGAGTCACAGTGTCTGGCTTTATTTGATCTTTTTTTTGAAATGGAGTTTCACTCGTTGCCCAGGCTGGAGTGCAATGGCACGATCTCAGCTCACTACAACCTCCATCTCCCGGGTTCAAGCGATTCTCCTGCCTCAGCCTCCCGAGTAGCTGGGATTACAGGCACCCACCACCACGTGGAGCCAATTCTCTGTATTTTTAGTAGAGACAGGGTTTCACCATATTGGCCAGGCTGGTCTTGAACCCCTGACCTCAGGTGATCCACCAGCCTCAGCCTCCCAAAGTGCTGGGATTACAGGCAAGAGCCACTGTGCCCGCTGCCTTATTTGATCTTTAAGGATCATTTGATGGGTTGAACTACTCTCTCCTTTACAAATCACCTTTCTCTCCTGGCTTCCCTGATAACACATCCCCCTGACTGTCTCCCTATCTCACAGGTCTCTCCTTCTCTGCTTTCCTGACCTTTTGTCCTTTACACAAATTCTCTTCACTACAAAGTCTTCTCCAAGGTAATCTCATGTAGCCTGATGGCTTTAAATACCACCTAAATCTTGATGATTCTCAAGTTTCTATCTCAGGTCAAAATCTCAACCAGAGATCCAGACTCATATGCCTACCTGCTTACTTGGGATTTCCACTTGGATGGCTAGCAGTCACCTAACATCTAACCAGTCCAGAATAGAACACATGATTTTTCTCTCTCCAGCATCTGCTCTTCCCCCAGTCTTCATTTCAGTAAGTGACACCATAATCCATGAGGCTGCTCTAGTCAAAACACGAAGTCATCTATTATTCATACCCTTTCCTTCATCTGTCACATCCAGTACATCAGTAAGTCTAGCTCTACTTTCAAAATACTTCCCTTTTTTTTCATCTCTACAACTTTCATCTGAGTCCCAGTCGTACTATTATCTCTAACGTGTACTAGCATAGTTGCTTTTTGAATTGGTCTCCTTGTGTGCTTTTTTTTTTTTTTAAATACAGGATCTTGATCTGTCACCCAGTGTGGAGTGCAGTGGTGCAGTCTTGGCTCACTGCGACCTCTGCCTCCCGGGCTCAAACGATCCTCCCACCTCAGCCTCTCAAAATAGCTGGTGGGGCCATAGGTGCACACCATGACGCCCTGCTAAGTTTTGTATTTCTTTTGTAGAGTTGGGTTCCACCATATTGCCCAGGCTCCTGTGTGCACTCTTGGTCCTCATAACCCATTTTCTATGGAGCTGCCAGAATAATTTTTTTAAAAAATAAAATTATGTCATGTTAATCCCTTAACTAAAACCACTGTTTAGTACTTTAAACAATATCCACATTGTTTTTGAAGACCTTTAGGGGTCTTTTATCAGACAGTGTTACAATATTTATCACCATCTGAAATTAATGTTTATTGTCTATGTTCTCCCTTTAGATTCAAAATTCTGATTACAGGACTTCAACAGAACAAGTGCATTTTGTTTCCTGATGTAATCTCAACAATCAATAGGTGGTCAATAAATATTGATTGACTTTTCCATATTCTATAAACCCCTCTGTACCCTCAGTCCTCATGGCAGAAGTAACTTCTTCCACATGTGTGCCTCCATGATGCTTTGAGCACAGCAGTATTGAAGTACTCAGGTGTTTAGGAGCTCATCTCCTCACAAGAGTGTGAGCTTTGCAAGAGTAGAAACCACGTCATTTTCTCCTTTACATGCCTAGGGTCTTACAGAAGAGGTAGGTAAACAAATGAGTATTTACTGAATAAATGAATGAATGAATGCTATTGAATGGTTACAGATACTTGAAACATCATTTTTAAAGCAATTTTCATCAACAGACGAGGAACAATATACAAATGACCCTTGGCTCTGAAAAAAACTAAAATTATGACAGCTAAAACAGGCTTACAGTTAAATATGTCATGTAAAGAGCCTTTATCAATGAACAGGACAAGGAGAAGAAAGGAAGGATTTTTCAATATTTTCTCCCCCAAAATAGGATGTCAAGGATTTTTCGATTAAAGGATTTAGCTTGTTCTCACCTGAGAAGCTCTGGATTTGCTAATTTTAGTGCTGCAGCAGTGGCTCCAGAAATAAGCCAATATCTGGCCCACACATTTTTGGAATTTTCAGAAATGCTTACCATCACGCTGAGAATGCACGGGAATCTCTGTCACTATAATAAGGGTTAATTTGGAATCCACCAAATTGATGAGTGGAGGCCCATGCATTACCTGTGCCCTAGGGGGCTGTTACCAACAGTTCCCCTAATCTGGCTCAACTGTACCCAATCTGCTGTCAGAGAACAACTTCCCTCCTTCTGCCTTTCTGGTCACTTGGACATGTGAGAAATCAGAAGCTTGCATACATAGTGTATGAATATATTTCCCATATTTAGCAAACACTTTTCCAACAAGTCTGGTGTCAAAAAATGATTCACTTCATATGGAGTGTTTAAATTCTTCTGCTGTTTTTATTATTGTACAGTAGCTTGTCTAATATTATTTGAGGCTGATGAGGACATTCCATTAGCCCCAAAGGGCTTTTAGTCTTGAGCTGTCCAAGAGATAGTAAAAAGAGCTCAACATAATTCTTCGGCTGCAGAATAGAAGACAGTGACTCATCAGTACTTTAGTAGAGAGCTTTTGTTATTTTCAAAATATTTTTGAGTGCCTGGTGTTATAGCTTTTGTTTGTTTAAATAAGTGGATTTGTGTATAACTCTCTTTTGTGTATGTTCACGGTCTCAGGAGAACCCAGAGACTGGATACTAAAGCTGTGTACCCTGACTTTTTAATAGTTGGTACATGTGAAAATCTCATTTTCCCAAAGCCTAAGTTGCTCCTCATCTCCTTCTGACAAATGGGTGCATTTGCTGGTGGAAGTGTGAGGTTGAAAAAAAAAAAACCCCACCATGCTTGATTAGATTAAAGAGAAAAATGAAGGCCATATGGAAATAAATGAAGACTGAAAAAATAATGATAAAAAAAGAATAATAAAAGAGATGAAATCAGAAGAAAGGCAGCAGGGACTGATTGCTCTTATTAATCTCAATTTCTCCAACCTGCCTCCACCCACCTCAACAGTCTGTTTCATGGCGACTGGCCAGCTCTCTGAAATGTTTCTGACTCTTAATGGCCTCCTTGTGCCATTTTCCATTACTCATTTGTTTACTGGCTACACTTTGCGGATGTGGAGGTGTGAGGCTTAGTATATTAGTTTTCTATTGCTGCCGTAAGAAATTACCCAAATTTAGGGGTTTAAGCGACATGAATTTATTATCTTCCAGTTCTGTAGCTCAGAAGTCTTGACGTGGGCCTCACTGCCTTAAACTCATGTCTGCGGTTCCTTTCTGGAGACATTCAGGAAGGATTAATACCTTTGCTCATTCTGGTTGTTGGCAGAGTTTAGTTCCTTGCAGTTGCAGGACTGAGAGCCATATTTTCTTGTTGGCTGTCAGCTGAAAGCCATTCCCAGCTTTGAAAGGCTGCCTGCATTCCTTAGCTCATGGCCTCTTTCCTCCATCTTTAAAGCCAGTGACCTTGGGTTAAGTCCTTCCAATGCTGAATCTTTCTTAGCCTTCTTCCATTGCCACATCTCTCTCCGACCACAGCTGGGAAAAGTTCTCTTCTTTTAAGGAATGATGTGATTAGATAGGGCCTCCATGGGTAATACAGGATAATCTCCCCATTTTAAGATCAGCAACCTTAATCACATCTGCAAAGTCCCTTTTGCCATATAAGGTAAGGTATTCTCAGGTTCTGGGGATCAGGGAGTGGACATCTTTAAGAGGCCATTCTTCTGCCACACTCGTAGTAGGAGTGCTGAGCAATTTGACTTCTGAATTATTGCTCCTGGGGAGCTTAGAGTAAGTGGGGGATTGGGAACAGGGAGAATGTGAGGGCTATTTTCTAAAGCATATTAGCAGTGTCTCGTTTTCACTGAGAACACCCAATTAGGAGGGCCAAGTAAGAATCGAAAAATTCCCGGGTAAGATACTTTTACCAAGAGTCTCTTCAAAACAAATGCTAATTGTTCCTTTAAAATTAACAGAAAGGAAAGGCAGCTAGAAAATGAATGGGGCATTAATCAGAGAATTTTAGAAGGGACCTAGAGATCATTTTAATTTACCAAAAAATGTTGCTACACTTTTAAATTGTAGATTTACATGCATTTAAAGAATACCCATACCCAGTTTTCCCCAATGGTTACTATGATATCAAAACCAGGAAATTGGTATAATCTATATTAATCAGATTTCATTGGTTTATATGCACTCATTTGGGTGTGTGTATATACAATTCTGTGCAATTTTATCACATGCAGATTTGTGTGACCGCCACCAGTCAAGATACAGAACAGTTTAGTAATTTTAAAAGTGGGCTCTTTGAGCTCAAAGAGTTCTGTCTAGGTGCTTCAAGGGATGCTGTAATGGAGGGGGGCTAAGAAGGGCTGGGCCAAGTAAGTGGAATTCAGGGACCTTACATTCCTTTTAAACAAAAGGGTGCTTTTATCTATTTTATGTACTGAGACTACATATACTATTTTATTTGATGAAAGATCCCATAGCTAAAAACCATTGGCTTAGCCCAATACTTCCATTTTGCAGATGAAGAAACTGTGCATATATGTACCTCTGTGCTCTGGCACACACATTGATTAATCCTCAACTGGCGAATGACCGGCATTTGCCCACCAAGTTAGCCAATAATCAACATAAAACACTCAAAAATACCCTCCTCCCTTCCCTCAGAGGCGAACCTTAAATTTAGCAACAATCATTTAGGATATTTTTCCATCTTAATTAAGTCTTTGGTATATCTTAAATTGTCAGGAGATTAGGGACTTTATTTTGTTCACTGCCTGGCACATAGTAGATAATCAGTGCCTCAGGGAAATATTTGACTTTAGTTGACAAATATTACAGTTTGGACAATTAATAAATATGTATATATACATATCTTCATCACATAAATGGCTAGACCCTTCAATGGTTAGAGGGAGATGATTGTAAAAAAGGGCTCCTGTTTTTCTGCATAAACTTAGAATTAACAGTAGTGTACAGAATATAATGTACAATGCAATCTTCACTGATTTTACAGCATCTGGAGATGAGTGTTCAGTTGTCTGGAAGACTTTAAGAGGAATATTCACAACTGGAGTATTTCGGAGAACTAGGGTCTGACAGGATGCCATAGGAGAACTGAAGAATAGGAATTGCAGAATAGGACATATTTTGCCTGCAGAGATTTGGAGGAAACAGGATGCCTTTTTTTCAAATGTCTACTTCTGTGATAGAATTATTGTATATCTGTAGAATAGCATCAATGAGTGAAGGTACAATTTCCACTCAATAAATAGAAAGTCTTTTATAACAATTAGAGTTGTCTCAAAATGAAATGGAAGGCCAAACAAAAAAAAAACAAAAATATAAAATAAAAATGAAATGGAAGGCTTTACATAGTGAGCTTCCTGCTACTGAAATCATTCAAGCAGAGGGTTATAAAGGATGGTGTTTTGAAGAAGGTCTGCACCAGGTTAAGCTGGACTTAGGATTTCTAAGGTCTCCCAACAAAAGACTGTGTGATCCAGGCAAGACATATGCTAATATATACTACTAATAGTTTAAATCCTCTTCTGCCTTCCTGTGCATGAAAATAAATCACCTGATAGTTTATTTGCTTATATGGGTAGGATTTCTTATTGGGAAATTGATATAAATACAATACTTTAATGTATTTAACAGATATTTATTGAGCCTCTAATATGTGTCTAATAGCGTAATGTGCTGAAGATATAACAATGAACAGAGATGGGTTTTATCTGCATTGACAAAACAAGTATGAGAAAAAAGGGATATAATATAGGATGGTGTGTGTTTATTTCTATGTGGCAGACTCCTATGATTCCTACATTATTATATGAAAAACTTACAATATGAAAACATTTAAAAATGCAGTGCAGTAGTGTTAAATAGACTGTTTAAAGGGTCTGGAAGATGACAAAGAAAATTATAATTAATCAGGTACTAATGACAGAAAAGAGAATTATTTAATTTTATTAAAAATCTCCAATTTATAACCAAAATATACAACCACTACATTTAAAATCAGTTTGTACACTCACAGTTAAAGTGCTAAGAAAAAACATTTACAAAAACTGACATCAGTCTACTGTAAACAAAATAAATCTACAAGAGCAGAGTGCAAAGCACATCAGAGAATGTGAAATTCCCAGTTCATGCTCTAACCAAGTGCACTTGCCCTGTACATCCCAACAACAGCAACTTTTCCACTCATTTGGAAGTGAACAATTTTAATAAACATATAAAAAAGAAACATGAAGAACTAATGCCACAAAATACAAGTCTTTAGCATAAACACTTTCTAATTAGATGTTTATATGATAAATCAACATTAGACATTTAGAATCACCTCAGCAATTTGATTCAGAATAAAGTTTGGAAAACTAAACTGCTAAGTGCCAGCTATTTAAAAATGACATATTTTTTAGAATAATGAAAAGGAATACTTTTTCTACCTTTATAGCTCTTGAAAAATTGTAACAGTAAAATGGGGAAAGACTTTTTTTTTTTTTAACAAGCATGGATAGTATTCATATGTAAAGGTAGTATCAATGAGAAAGAGCTGGAAGACAGACCTAGCTGTCTGTCAGGTAGAATGAGGGTGAAGGAGATCTAGGATGCTTCAGGCATTGCGCTTGAACTTAAAAAACAGGATCAGCAGGCCCTGACTTCATAAGGCCCATAAATACAAATGACTAGCTCCCTTTCTCAAGGTCATTGAAAATATACAGTAGTTTCAGACATCACATGGGTTTGGGCAAAGGGGGCAGATTTCCAAGCTAGGTCACTTAATGGTATCTCTTGCCTCAAAATAGTCCCATCAACACTAATTTAAATTATTTCCACTTTTGTTTTAAAGCTTAAGATTCTACTCACTGACATTAATTTGAGCTAACAGCAATGTGTTTGCTTTTAATGCAGATTTCTCTTTAAGAGAGATAAAAGGGCTATAGTCACTAACACTTTAATATAAATTAGTTAAAGCAAATTTCTAACACTTGAGATAGGTTATATTTTGGAAGTATTGATAAGAATGACTAGGGGATAGAAGGCAGGTAAGGAAGTTTTGGAGAATGCAGCATTTGAGGAATAGGTCACATGAAGAGGGTATCATGAGCATATTGCCTAGGAAGAAGTGTACCAAGCAATTATTGAGAGATCAAAGTAACCTTTCTCCACTATAAAAATTTATCCAAAACCAAGACACCTGGAGTACCTCTATGGGGTGTACTAGATTAGCTTTTGTTGGCTAATCTTTTACCCTTATTATTCATAATATTATTTATATGATGAGATGTAGTCTGAATTTGGAACAACTCTTTTTACAACCTATTAAATCACAAAATTGGGGATTTCCTGTGTAGGAGTTTCATATTTTTTATATGATCTTCAACTCATATACTTTTATAATGAAATAAAGGTAAAAAGAAAATCCTTAAATGGCATTTTATGGCAAATTTGTTTACTACACCACATAGCAGTATTCATTAATTTAGAATGCCTACCAAGAGGATAACATTCCAGTTGCCAAAATTTGAGTCCACATTAGATGTGAGGGGGAAATTATTTTGCCTCTAAATGATACTTACAGATGAACCCTTTTATATTAGGTTTGCACAAACCTAATACATAACAATATCTCAGATTATAAAAGCTTTACGCACAGATTTAGTGAAAGTCTTATGTAACATATATACTTCCAAAAGGTATTTGCTTCAATTATGAAGTCATTTTGATAAAACACTTTTAAAAACTGGGAAATTTAACAACAAAATAAAGGATAACTTTTTTTAAGGAGAATTTTCTTGATAAGATTTGTGGTTATCTGTAGAGTCTCCTTCATAAAGCCTCTGATATATTGATAGGGTTAGGATGAGAAGTTAACATACCTATTCTAAAAGATCTTTTAAAGTTTGGTTCCTTCTTGAATATATCTATTATGAAATTGCTAGCATCTGATCATTTTTGACCAATAAAACCAGCAATTTCAGATAGTTCAGAATAATGCTGTATTATCCAACTACGACCATGTAGCAAAAACCTCCTTGTCCTGACTCTAAGAGAGAACAGCTGATCTACAGGAGGAGCGATCCACATGCCGAGATGACCGCGATAATCTAACAACACTGTAAAAAGTTAAGAAAACAAGATAAAACAAAAAAGCCTCAAAAAACACCTCACATTAAATAAATATGAATCTTGGGTATCACAAATTACAGAGAGTGAAATAACTCATAATTACTATTAATTATGATACATTTACATAAATAATCCCCAAATTCACTATCAGATTAAAATACAAAAAAGTATTTTTTTGGTAAAGTATTTTAATTTTGACGAAACAGCTTCCATTGTTCTATTAAATAACAAGATAAGATAATTTAATCGTTTTTGAGTTGTCAAACTTTTCTTTCTGGGGCTAGAGGAAAGGATGGTGGGTGGTATCAATATCAATCTTTACTATGCCAAAGTAAATGTCTAAACCAGCCATTCCTTCATATATGTGATACTTTTACACTTCAATGAGAAAATAAAACACAAAAATACAATTTGACATTTGAAAATAAAAGCAGAAAAGTTGTTGGAAGTTGGGGTTAAAGACATGAAATGGGGTGATTCTAGGGAAGTTAAATATTATAAAAAGATGAATGATACGAAATTTGGATTTAGTCTAACTCACAGCTAAGGTAGAAATAGCACCTGATGGCAAGAGAATGTCCAGACTAATATTTTCACATTGGGGAGTCCCATATATGATTTTAAAAATTTTAAGTTCATATAAAAAGAAAATAGAGTATTTTTAAGTATACATTCACCTCAGCTCAATGTAAAGAACTACTGTGTTGATCTTGTCTCAGAAATACAGAATTATTTCACATTAAATGTTTCTGCTGACAAGATGAGTTCAGGGAAAAATTATCTGAGGCAGGGATAAAGGAAGACATTTGTTAATTTCCTTTTAAAAATGGAGAATGGGAGGAGTAGAGAAATAGGAAAATGGTGGATGGCTAAACATAAAGTAAATCACTCTAGGATTACTTGCTTTATCTTACAGAATATCCCATTATCAAAACCCAGAAAATATTAAATGAAATATTTGAATCTCAGATTCAATTTAACAAATGTGATCACAAAGACTTGCAGAGGCAGAGAACTAAAAACAAACCTTTTCTTTTTTTTTTTTTTTTGGTAGGCAATCGAAATAACATAATAATACAGGCATCTCTGAATGAGAAAGGCTGGGCATCTAATATAATTTCTGAAAGCCAGGACAGTTACATGATCCAGTGAAATGACATAAGACAAGGAATAAATGTAGCTAAAGAATCACACCAGAAACCAGTATACCTTCCTATATCAACTTTCCACTATTCTCTACTCATCAGATCCTAACCCAACACCCAGATTTGAACCAGTGTTCAAAAGACTGATATGAGCTAATGTAGACAATCAGAGCAAACACAATGATTTTCAAAGGTAACAGGAACTTCCTTGGCCTAGTGCACAGAGAACATTTAATCTACCAGAGAACTCTGCGGAGATATGGAACTAATGCAATCTCTACTTTTTTTTTTTTCTTTTTTTTTTTTTGAGATAGAGTCTCGCTCCGTTGCCCAGGCTGGAGTGCAGCGGTGCGATCTCAGCTCACTGCAAGCTCCGCCTCCCGGGTTCACGCCATTCTCCTGCCTCAGCCTCCCGAGTGGCTGGGACTACAGGTGCCCGCCACCATGCCCAACTAATTTTTTTGTTTTTAGTAGAGACAGGGTCTCACCATGTTAGCCAGGACGGTCTTGATCTCCTGACCTCGTGATCCGCCCGCCTCGGCCTCCCAAAGTGTTGGGATTACAGGCGTGAGCCACTGCGCCTGGCTAATTTTTGTATTTTTAGTACAGAAGGGGATTTGCCATGTTCATCAGGCTGGTCTCGAACTCCTGACCTCAGGTGATCTGCCCACCTTGGCCTCCCAAAGTGCTGGGATTACAGGCGTGAGCCACTGCGTCTGGCCTCAATCTCTACATTATATCAGATGACAATTAAGGAATTTTTCCAGAAACATTTTCTGTATAGCCAGAAAAAAATTAAAAATAACAAGCCACATTGATCTCTAATAATATTTCAAATGAAGACATTCACTTGCCCATGGCAATCTGGCAACTATATTTATGTAATAAACCTAAGAATGCAGTTTAAGAATAATTACTGAACAAAAAATTTTCAATCAACTCCTCTGAAATTTCTTTTACATTTTATAATTATTTTAATATTGGTAAATTGAATTGCTTTTAAATTAGCCATACGAACCATTGCTTTGTTCACTAATTTGATCTTGAATACATTTTGTGTAAATTTTAGGCTAACTAGCTATATTCATATTTAAGAGAACAAAGACCACAAAACGTTATGTCATTCTTTTCTATGTATCAATTTAAGGTGCTTATATTGGTGCTTAAGAAGACTTTCCCATTTAAAAAAGCCATGTCCAATATTTATAACTTTCTTTCATTTTTATTATCTGTAATATAATTTTCCTTCTTTAAAATTACTTAAAATCACTAATGGAAAAACAGTTGATAAAATATCTGAATCCCATCAATTTACATGTAAATGACGTTAATAATACAGGTTGATCTAGTAAAATAATACAAGTTGATCTAGTTCATGGGATGAATAAGAAGAATAAAAATGAGACCAAAATAATGATTATAAAATGGTCAAATGAGAACCAAATGAGAGCTGGGCGGAATTTTAGACGCTACCTAAACTAATTCTCTTGTTCCCTAGAGAATGAGAAAAATGGAGGCACCACGAGATAAAATGCCTTATCCAAAGTTACACAGCTAACTGCAAAAGAGAGGCAAGAGTAGAAGTCAAGTTTCCTGACTCAAAATCCTATTGTATTTTTAAAAATAAAATAATACAGTTTTACTAATCATTAAAAAAATCCTGCCAATTTAGAAAATAGATTTTTTTGTTTAATTTTAGACTCCAGGATAGAAAATAGAAATTATTAAGCTCTAAGTTAAAAAAAAAAACCAATAAGCACAACACAAAGAAATATCTGCAATTTAGCATATACAAACAAGCTGACTTATACAACAAAAAACCTTAAAGCTACAATAATAATAAAGTAATCCATCCTACTCCAGGAATATGATAAAATATCAACCTTAAAAAAACTTTAAAAACTAACTTTACTAGTTAATGGTAATTAGCAAAATAATGAAACAGTGAATCTTCAAAATCTGAATTATTTCAAGGTAAAAAACATTTTTAATCTTTATCGGGAAAAACTGGTGACAGTGACCAATAAAATGAGCATAAAGTATAAGCAACGCTTTCACACCAACAAAAAAATTCAAGAAAGAATTTCCTGAGGCAGATGATGATTTAAAAAGTAATCTGAAGGAAATTATCCTTCAATGCCTTTCAACAGATTGAACTACTGTGTCTTATAGGAAGTAAGTAATGCAGTGGTTTGGTGTTTGACTAAAATATAAGTGAAAACTTTCTTTTATATTTATGGCAACAGAATTTTACTTTCTAATTAGAGATCACAGAATAAGAAACATGTTTAACTCATATTAAATCTTTATATATTAAATCTTTATAAATCAACCAAATAGAAATGTCTACAAGGATGGCTGGTTCTGGGTAGACTTCAACATTTTCATTCTTAGAAGACTTGGATCCTGAGAGAAAATTGTAATCCTATATCAATTTGATGACTAAAGAAGCACAGGATTAAGATTAAATTAGTAAAAAACCCAGGAGACTGATTACAATCAGACGGAAGGCATGCGATACCTAGTCTTCCTACTCCTTTCCCAAATTCATCTAATCGGAACAAAAGAAGGAGAGAAGAGAATTAAATTATGAAGAGATGCCAATACAATTATTTTCATATAAAATAGGTCAAAATTATATAAGAATAATGTGTAAGATTATACAGCTACTAGGAAATACAGCTGAATTAAATGTAAACATTTTTTCTTAATCAGCTGTAAAACGACACAAAAGCATTGAAAAGAATCACAAGTTCCTTTGTAAATCTAGGTTCCATAAAAATGCTATCCTTTGTGAGTGAAGAATGGAGAAAAAATCCTTACTTTACATACTTTAAAAAAATTATAAATGTGTACAAACAATTCTCATAGTGTGATGACTTAAAATTTAAAGTTTTGCCACAATGAAAACCAACAAGTGAATCACTTTTTCAAAACTTTTTCTCAATCAGAAAAAATGAGGTACATAAAAGCCAAAAAGTCAAAGACAAAAAACATTATAGGGTCTACATTCTTCTTCATATATATTTTTTTTTATAATTTAAGTCAAGCTAATGTACTTATACAATTTCATATAAAAGGAAAAATAAAATGAATATCCCCAAATTTGTTCTACAAATTCAACTACATAAAATTTGAGGCATACTCTGGTATAACACATATTAAAGAACCAATACAATTTAAGAGCATAACCTACTTTTTAAAGGTTAATTGGATGACCGATTTAAAGACTGTACCAAATGAACACTGGTCTAATTGCCTATTTTGTTGTTATTGCTAAAAAGAAATACTAATGAAGACTGTAACCTTGTTTTCTATAGCCCCCCCAAATTCTAACAAAACCAAATGGTATCAGTAGAACAATTTATGGATCAGGCATGGTGGCTCATGCTTGTAATCCCAGTGCTTTAGGAGGCCAGGAGTTCAAGACCAGCCTGGTCAACATAGTGAGACTCATCTCTACAAAAAATTAAAAAAATTAAAATTAAGCCAGGTGCAGTGACTCATGCCTGTAATCCTAGCACTTTGGGAGGCTGAGGTGGGCAGATCACTTGAGGTCAGGAGTTTGAGACCAACATGGCAAAACTCCATCTCCACTAAAAATACAAAAACTAGCTGGATGTGGTGGCACGCACCTGTAGTCCCAGTTACTCGGGAGGCTGAGACAGAAGAATCACTTGAACCTGGGAGGTGGAGGTTGCAGTGAGCTGAGATTGTGCCACTGCACTCCAGCCTGGGCAACAAAGCCAGACTCCGTCTCAAAAAAAGAAAAAAAAATTAAAATTAGCCAGGTGTAGTGGTGCATGCCTACAGTCTTAGCTACTTGGGAGGCTGAAGCTGGAGGACTGCTTGAGCCTAGGAGTTCAAGGTTATAATGAACTATGATTATGCCACTGCTCTCCAGCCTGTGTGACAGAGCAAGACCCTGTCTCTATAAAAAATTTTTTTAAGTAGAATAATTTATGGGTTACAGAGCATTATAATAAATACTATTTCATTTGATCCTTACAATATCCAGTGAGGGAGGCTAAAACCAAAAATTACCTTATCCACATTTTACATTGAAGAAACAAAGACTCAGAGAAATAAAATGACCAGCCCAGTTGACATCATGAGTCTTAAAATTCCAATCCCAGGGGAATTTTCATTACACCAGACTATGTAAGTCATCCAAATATGGTAATATGTAAATGTACCTTTGGCATGTCAAAAAGCAATATAAATATCATCATAATGAAATTTTGGTATGTTAATATTTTCTAAGCTCCAGCAAATGATTCACTAATTTATATAAAAAAAATTAAGTGGTTCCTTTCATTTCACAGAGATATAGCCTAACTAAGATGGGTACAGTTTGAGTTATTTTCAGCTATTATCACAAAGAAACTGATGAGGTAGGTTAAAATGTAGTAAATTTTTCTAATTTGAAGACATTCTTAGGATTTTTATAAATCTGCTCTAAGAGCAGCAGAAAAAGAAAGGTTGATTTGAAGATTCATTTACTCAGCTGGTCCACAAAGATCTAACAGCATAAGACTAAAAGGAGTCTAATTACTCACTTCTAAGAATCACTGTTCATCTTCTAAAATTAATTAAAAGGATTGGTACATGTCTGTACATATATTTCTTTAATTATAATAGTGATATGGACTGTTATCTATGCAAAATATGTTTCATTTGGTGTACTTTACATATTTATTACCTGCCACATATTATTCTGGTAAAGCAGAGACTTCATTTCACATAGGTTATAGATCTTTCAAATTTCTTTGATGTGAGACTCAGTACTAGGGTAAAAGCAAGTTGTGTGACATGAATTGTTCATTTAAATATTTATTGAAAAACTGTGTATGAATCCCTGTGCCAGCTGAGTTATTAACCAATTGTTCTTTGAAACAAACTGTTTTGAGTTTAATATTATCTTAGATCTTTTGTCTAGTTATTGAATAAAAAAAGTTGCTGAAATCAAAGTACTTTTTGAAAACCTTTTGATAATATATTAACATGTTAGAGAGAACTATTATTTTCTCAGTTGTCAACTGAAAAAAGAAAACACTAAACATTATCATATGCCAATCAAAGTTAAACATATGGTAGGAAAACTGTCCAGACTTATTCAGATTGGTTTAAGCTAGTTAGACTTAAAACTGCTGCCCAAACTGAATACTGTTGTTTAAAACCATGGATTAATATTACATAAATTTTGTGGGACAAAATTAAGATACTTACTGAAAGTAACTGAAAAGTCAATATAGTATTCCCATACATACCCACAATTTAATAGAGAAAATACAAATGATTATCTAAAAATCTAGAAGCACAAAGTTAAGATTTTCATAGTGATGTTCACTTAACTGTCTATACTTGGCCCACTTGTAAAAGAAAACCAATTAACATTTTGGCAGTTGATAATATAATGCAGATGGCAATGGATGACAACATCTTCGAGCCCAAACTGGTACCTTCTATTTTAACTTATTTTTGTTTGTGAATGTTTGTTTTAGTTCTCTCATGCTGTTTGCAGGAGAGATTCTCAGACAAAAGCTTCATGAATTATTGATAAATAAGTTGTTATATGTTTGGCTTTCAGAGAAAATGTTTACTAATTGTCGGTTATGAGGGAATTCAGACCTGCCTGCTTTGAGCATTAACTCCAGCTCCAAGGAGAAAGGCAATGAACACAGAGAAAAATGAAAAACATTTTGGGCCAAATATTCAAATATCTCTCATGAAGAATAAGTCATATTATCATACATGTACTTTGAAATATATAACATAATAGACAAATTATTACTATCAGAAAACTGACTTTGCTGCCTGATGAGAATATTCTTTTTCAACACCTAATTTCTTGGCAGTTTGTTTTAAAGGGTAAGAAAGAAAGTATACATGAATTCAACACACGTCAAGGAATGTACTATAGCAGTCCTCACACCTCTTAAATCCACAATAACCTAATCCCTTATCATTCATAATGCTTTACAGTTTTCAAAGAGCTTTCACATAATTTTTTTCACTTGATCTTAATCTGACAGCTTTGTGAGGTAGGTAGAGTACGTATTTATCTTCTATCTTCATTTACAAACAAGGGAACTGAGGCTCGGAGAGTTAAATTGTTAAAGGTCATAAACTATAATAGCATAAGGCAGAGCCAGGCCTCTTCAGAGTCTAGAATAATTCTTCAAAGTATGATTCTTGGATTACCTCCGTAAGAATCACCTGCGGTATTTTTATAACTACAGATTTTAAAGTCCTATCACTTTGGCCTTACTGAGTAAGTCTCTCTAGGAGTACAGCCCAGAATTTGGCATCAGGTGCAGAACAACTGAATATTAGATAATGATATAAAAGCGAAAGACAGAATCCATGTGGATGTTCATGTGATATATGATGCCGACAGATCATCAGGGGCAAGTTAAAGTAGTGAGTTTCAAGCCAGGCTGCAGATTAGAATCACCTGGAGCGCTTTTTTTTTTTTTTTTTTTTTTTAAGAAAGCTACCAATTCTTATTTGTATGAGAGGAAGGTGTTAGGCATCTGAAGTAACCCAAGTGATTCTTATCTGCAGTCAGGGTTGAGGACCCTTGTTTAAATATGCTTTTTACATAATACATCAAGCATGTTCCAGCATTTTTCTTTCTCTTCTGATTGATTTCATGCCTAATAAGTTTTACAGTTTATATTGTAAATTATTTAAACATTATCAGATAAACATTTTTACTTGATTTTTTAAAGATTAAATGATATTCATACTAAGACTAATCATGCTTCATTTAGCTACAACAATTTTCAAATACTCAAATCAATCACCACTTTGGACTGAGGTTATATATATTTCAGTTGTAAACAAGAATGATCCAGAATCTGAAAATAAGGGTGTGGGGCAAAAGCTGTAGCCTACTGGCTATTGGGCAAGGCAAGTGCAGACAATCAACTCACTACAGGAGGGCCTGGAAGCCAAGGTCTGGTGGCTTTGGCAAGATCACATCTCACTGTAGAAAAATACAACAATGAATACAGAGAAAATGTTTTGCCATTTTGTAATTGTGGTTACCTTATAATGTATGATGTTTATCTTATTACATGCCTCCACAAAGCAAATTTTGAACATTAAGTTCTCTATGAATCAATACTATTACATGGGAAAAGATGGCTACAAATTAAAATTTTTCCATCATGCATATGGATAAGTTATAAAAACACAGCCAGAAAAAGTAATATTTACAAAAGTTATAAAAACAGCACAATTATAGGGGAAACAATGCCCATCTCTTTATTCCACTGCTAATCCAAACCCTGAATATCTCTGCATGAAGATTATTTCGATAGAATTTTAAGAGAACCTTTCATAGACTAATCAAATTCTTCTGTTGCACTTTTATTCTATTAGCTAAAATACCCTTGCTGATTTATTAAATTCTCCTACAGTTTAAAAACACAGTTCTTTTTTCACTTAGTGGAAATAAAACTACAAAGTCCTACTGTTCATCTGAGAAGTAAACCTTGCATAGAAAATTTCTTTAATTCTGAAATTGTTTTATTAACTGAGCTACCAGAATGTTATCTCACAACTAGTTTATAGTATATGAAAGTTCACTACAAAGCAGTCACCACACATTTAGGATTTTTCTAAATATAAAATGAGTGGGTTTATAAAAATGCTTACCAGACAAATAATTATCTCTTCATAACCTAGAAAGACGAATTATTTTTGTGATGATAGAATTCTTAGTGTTTTGGATGCCTTGATGTTCCAAGTTTGATGCAATATAAAAAAGCAATCATTTACCTTTCCAGTGGACACAATCTGTACTTGACTGAAAGCATGTTAACTGTGAGTTACAGCTATCAGTCATGCAAAAGGCAAAGAATAAAATCTGCTTTTTAAACAGCACAAGATTTCCACCTTAGACAAGACAAATTAAGCACTGGTTCCATCTTCTTCAATAACCCGATTCATGCTGGTGCCATGTGTGATATGAGTCATGGGATTATTACTGAGATCTCTGATGCTGCTATGTCGTGACTGTTCATTGAGCCGATGAGAACTACTATGCCTGGAGTGATCTGTTAGTCGTGACATGCTGCCATGAGGTAGTCTCTCCTCCATTCCTCTGTAACTGCAGGGCGTGTACCTGTCATGAGAGTTTATTTTGAAGTGGGTAACAGAACACACTAGAAAATATAATAACACTAATAATTTTCATAAAAATGCCTCAGTAAGGGAAATTATTAGGAAACCAACCATGAGAAAGTAATAACCAACTTTTGATTGCTTAACTTCGTTAACACTGTAGAATTATTGACATGGCCAACAAAAGAGAAGAGATAATCCAATCAGAATTAAGGTTCCATTCTCTGCAAAAGGACAGAAGCTAAGATTAAATAAGGCTGACCGATTTGAAGCTGCACTCGATATGGATACCTTTCTCATTCAAAGGAGTTTTGAATGGGTGGGTTCAGGGAGAGGGGTAACAACAAATAGAAGAAATGTGGCATTGCCCCTGGCAGCCAAGAAGAGTGGTTATAATCAGTAGAGGGGTACATTCAAATTTTATTAAGACTCTGACTGGAAGAGGGAGAATATGAAATCAGAGGAGAAATTGGAGTAACCTAAAAAAAAAAATGAATAAACTGGCAAGCAATGATGACAGTATGTGCCGAAAGCTGCTTTCCAGATAGCCCAGTTAACAACTGAATTAACTACCTGTAAATTATCTTAATTACTTCTCATCAGGGCTTGAGGCTGTGAAGATGCTCCTTCATGGAAGCTACATCTGCTTGGAAGTTACATCCTAACACTCTGTAACCTATATTCTGGCTAAAGCAAATTCTTTGTACCTTCAGCTCTAGACCCAGCTTGGAGTATGTGAGCTGGGCTCCTCTGCTAACTGCAGGCTATCTCCTCTGCACTTATCTTGAAAAGCAGCAGTGGGGCTGTTAAATTTTCTTTTGTTGCAGTCCTGACTCACTGAGCTTTGCCATGAGGAATGAGATTAGCTCTAGGCCAGTCAAGGTCAGGAAAATCAATTATGACTTTTATATTAGGCCTTTGCTTATGGAGCTAGCATGCTACTTATCAACGATTCTGGCTTTATAGCGTGCTCTTTCAAGGTAAGGACCATATTTTATCTTTTAATCCCTAGTGCCTCAAGAAGTATTTCTCTAAAATACTTTTTGTTTATACTTAACACCTATATATATGCCATTCTGTAAAAGTATTTGATTTAGGATAATAAACCTCAAAGAAAACTTAGTATAATTTATAACTTTAATTAAGTTTTAAGTAATGTTTCTAAAAATAAAATATAGCAGGCTAGGTTTTTTTTTTTTAAACAGTCATCAAAAAAACTAATCATAAGCAGCTGCAGATCTGTTGGCTGTCAGAAAGCGTTAATCCACCATTCCTTCACAAAAATAATTGTAACAAATTTCATGACTCAGTGTGAATTATTTATAAAATTTAAAGATAGATTCATACACCACAGAGGTGATCTTCTAGTCACATTTTCATTAGATCAGAGTTTAAAACTTGAGAAGTCCTTTGAAAAAAATTTTTTTTTAAACACGTCTTTTGGCCGGGCGCAGTGGCTCATGCCTGTAATCCCAGCACTTTGGGAGGCTGAGATGGGCAGATCACTTGAGGTCAGGAGTTCAAGACCAGCCTGGCGAATGTGGTAAAACCCTGTCTCTACTAAAAATACAAAAATTAGCTGGGCATGGTTGCGGGCACCTGTAATCCCAGCTACTCGGGAGGCTAAGGCAGGAGAATTGCTTGAATGTCGGAGGCGGAGGTTGCAGTGAGCCGAGATCGTGCCATTGCACTCCAGCCTGGGTGACAAGAGCGAAACTCTGTCTCAAAAAACAAAAACATGTATTTTGTTTCAGGAAAGCAAAAAAGAAAAGTTAAATGTGAAAAGATAAATATTTAAATATTTTAAACATTTCTCATGTTAATGGGTAAAAAGTTATTTAATTCTTATTTATTAAAAGATACTTCATATTTAGGACCTTAAACAGTTTTAAATTTGTTCTGCATGTTTTGGTAAATAATGACAATGTTTGCAGATGAAAACATTTCAGAATGGGCTTGTTATTCTAGACTAATAATTATTATTTTGCATAATGATTATTGCCTTAAAACTGAGTAGAAGATTATTCCAAGTTTCCAAATATGACTTGGCTGCTGATTTGGAGATCTTTCACCTCTCAATGGCTTCCCAAGTATCTGTCTCAAATAAATATGGCAAATGAAAAGAGCAAAATATGATGCGGTTTTCTAGTAATGATATAAAGTTATCTTTTAAAAATCACTATATAAAAATATAAGCTGAGTATTTTCTAAAATGAAATATAAAGCTTTGAGTTACAAAAACTCAAATAATATATTTTTCATAGAAAAATTTACTATATTGAATAATTTAATCTAAATTCCTTAAGTGACACATATGGCCATCCACAAAACATTTTAGAATATGAACAACCTGCCCATGGATAATTAAGAGTCAACTACATAGAAAAATAAATTTAAATATACTGTTTAATCTCAACTGTATATGTAGGAATTACCAAGTTTATTTTCTGACAGTCATTTAAACCACTGTGACCACTGACTGTAATACACAGTGTGAAAATGTAAATTAATTTTAATATAAGCTTAGGCAAAACAATTAGGATGGTTAATTTGCTGCCGTTGTCAAAAAATACTACAGTGCCTTCCAAAGTCAACATAAAAAAACCTTGAAGATGATTTACTCTTTTTGAGTGTCCATACTATTTGCTATCACTAATCTAAATAACTGAATTAACTGTAGTTTTACTAATACCTCCTTATTTACTCCCTAGCTTTTTCTTGTCATGGCACCCACTTACCAACCTAATCATTCATTCCCAAACCTCCACCTACCTACTTATCCACTTCCTTTTTCACTCACCCTCTCATCTAACCACCAATTACTTATTCTTTGAAGCTGACATATATGTGTAGGTGTATTCACCTCAGCCTATTTTGTTTTATATAGCACAGAGATCAATAATTATCCAGCAAAGAATCTGGGCCAGAGTGAGTATTGGGAAGTGGGTATGTGTGTGATCCCACAGCCAAGATACCATGAGATGATTAGAAAATGACCACAACATAGTGTTGACACACAAAGTTAAAAACTGACTGAAGCAGAAGGAAATCTCCATGAGATGGCTTTTCAAATTATGAAAATCCTTGTTCAGACTTCTGGTTCACCACAGTCTTGGAATCTCTCAAATCTGCCCTAAAGTTCTGGGTACAGCCAAGAGTCCTACAGTATTAGTATTCATGTGCCACATTACAGAACACCTTCAGTAGGGTGCCACTGTCATTCTGGCTCTTGCATTTCTGGGAAACATCCACATTATTTCTAAAGTCATTATTTATTTGATAGATTTGTTAATCCCCTACTATATATATATATGCCTAGTACTGTGCTAGATACTGTGGAGGAATACGGTGTCACCTAGTTCTTATTCTCTAGAAGCTGCAAACTTAGCTGAGGAAAGACAATTATGTGGAAAATAGATAGTAACAAAAAGAATGATAAGCAATTTCTCTGACTCATATGCCCACTGTTCTTCTTCCTGTATTATTATTACTGTGAATATTTCCCAAGGTCTTGTTTTTGGCCTGTTGTTCTTTTCTTAATAGTGACTCAAGGGATTCTAGCTCACAATTTTAATTGCCAACTACCTTATATTGATGATTGTAAACTTTCTTATCTAAGCTACAGCTCTATTCAGATGAGAGTGGCTGAAGTCTATTTTTAACTGCCCTCAGAAATCCTCTACTTAATATAAACTCATCTTTTACTGTTCATTCACCCTACGTATCTCCTTTAAGATACTTTCACGAACCAATCTGACCTTTCTCTTTCCTGCAGTTCTACATCTGTTATCTTTAACACTCACTGTCTTAATTATATTCCTGGCTTGTGCTATTAACTGGTTCATATGTGTATGTCTTATCTTTCCTATAAGGTTATATGCTCCTAGAATGCATAAATTACATCTTACTTCCATATACATCTTATCTTTCCTATAAGGTTATATGCTCCTAGAATGCATAAATTACATCTTACTTTTCTTCCATATACATCTTTATACACAGTATGCCACGTGCATAGGTATTATACTATAAATAATTATTCATTCATCATTGAAAGGATAAGGCCAGGCCGGGCACAGTGGCTCATGCCCGCAGTCCCAGCTCTTTGGGAGGCTGAGATGGGCAGATCACTTGACGCCAGGAGTTCGAGACCAGCTTGGCCAACATGTCAAAACCCTGTCTCTAATAAAAATACAAAAAATTAGCTGAGCGTGGTGGCACATGCCTGTAATCCTAGCTACTCAGGGGGCTGAGGCATGAGAATCGCTGGAACCTGGGAGGCGGAGGTTGCAGTGAGCTGAGATAGTACCACTGCACTCCAGCCTGGGCAACAAAGTGAGTCTCTGCCTCAAAAAAAAAAAATAAATAAATAAAAGAAAGAAATAAAGAAAGGATAAGGCCAATAACGTCAAATAAAGCTGGGTTCATGGAGGGTGATGACTGATAAATATATTCTAAAAGAACTCTGATTCCCTCCCTCCTTATCAGTATTTTCAGCTGGGACCCCTAAATTACTGTAGAAACTTCCTAACTAGTCTTACTCATAATCTCCTTCATTCCGATGCTATTGCCAAGTGATTTTTCTAAAATACAAATCTGATTTTCTCACCCCAATGCCTGAAGTCCTATGATAGTTTCTCACTGCTGCCCAGGAAAAATGCAAACTCCTCAGTATGAATTCCTCTCCTTCAGTTGCCAAAACATGCAGTCTATGCTCTAGCCATACCCACGTACCTAACTGCTTGCCTGTCTTCCTTGCCTCTGCATGTGCTGTTACCTTAACTCCCAACTGCCTCCTCTGAATCCTATTCAATGTAGAAGTGCCATCTCTTTTGCGAAGCTTTCACTTTCTATGATTTATTAAATGGTTTTCTTCTCTGAGATCCCAATGCACCCTGTACATATTTTTACTATACCTATTGAAGTGTATTGTAATTGATTGTTTACTCTTCTGTCTTCCATCTCTGCATCCCTAGCACTTAGAAGAATGCTTCTCATATAGGAGTGCTAAGTGGAACAAAAGAAGGAAGGAAGGAGAAAGATCCTTGTGGTTAAAATGAAGTCACTGGTGATGTTAGAGGGTACAGTTCAGGCAGGTAGAGAGGAGAAAAAGACTACACTTTCAAGGCATAAAGGATGGATTAGGGAGAAGAAAAATATTCAAAATAGTCATTTCAAAAATCTAGCCAGGAAAGAAAAAGGAAATGGATAAAGGATAAATCAGCACAAAGAAAGACTGCTGCTCTTTTAAACACAGGGTAGCTGAACAACAGAAGGTAAAAGAAAACAAGTTGAGAGGAAACAGACAGAAGATTAAAAAAGAAAAGTACAGAGAATCGGATTCTACACTAGGAGGACAGGGAGAAGACTGAGACTGACAGGATAGAAACAGCTGTGGAAACAGATGTTTTCAAGTGAACACAGAATCCTGTCAGTTTCAGGTATTATAATTTTCATTCTTTCAGTTTCCCAAAAGAAATCTTAAAAAAAAACACCCCAAAAAATATTTAGCACATTCCTTTTCTCCAGCTGCTAATATTAATTTCTTACCAATCTCTATCATTTCTTCTTCTTTTTTTTTTTTTTTTTGAGACAGAGTTTTGCTCTTGTTGCCCAGGCTGGAGTGCAGTGGCACGATGTCAGCTCACTCCAACCTCCACCTCCTGGCTTCAAGTGATTCTCCTGCCTCAGCCTCCTGAGTAGCTGGGATTACAGGTGCCTGCCACAACACCCGGCTATATAATTTCTTCTTTCTAAATATCTTTCAGGTCAGCTCTTCCTCTCTTCCCACTGCCACCATTCTCCTAGAAGCCTTTATCATCTCTCAAAAGAATTACTGAAAAGCTCAAAGGCAGTTTCTAATTCTAGTGTCTCATTTCTCAAATTTAACAAGAAACCCACAGCCAGGCTTCTCTCAAACATTTTCTCTGTGAAACCAACCCCCTCCCTAGCCACCAGAATTAATCACTCCCTCCTCTGTGCTACTACTGTACCTAGTAAACAGGGGTTGGCAAACTAAGGCCTGCTGGCCAAATCCTATTTTTGCAAATAAAGTTTTATGGGAATGCAGTTATTTCTATTTGACTACATATTGTCTATGACTGCTTTCATGCTACAACAGCAGACTCAAATAGTTGCAGTGAAGACCATATGGCTCATAAGGCCTAAAATATTTACTATCTGGCTCTTCACGGAAAACGTTTGCTAATTCCTGAACTATACTGTCATACTTATGTGTTAGTTCAATTGTCAATTACAATAATAACAGAAGCTGATATGAGGTACTCACTGAGATAGGCACTGTTCCAAGGAATTAGGTATGCTATCTCATTTAATTTGTACAAGATTATTAAAGAGGCAGATATTAATACTATTTTCATTTTATAAATGAGGAAGCTGAGGTTTATCATTCTAGATCCATGTTCTAAACCACAAACTGACTACACTATCTTTCTAAATAGACTGTGAGCTTACCAAGAGCAAAGATCATGCCTAAGTCATCTTTGTATTCTCAGGGCCTAGCAAGAGTGCTAGATGTAGTAGGTGTTCCATAATTGTTTACTAAATTAATCTTACTAAAATAACCACTTTTACCCTGTCTTTTCCCTGCTCAATCCCCTGCAATAACTCCCATATTGCTTACTCCATCAAATCTAAACAATTCTGACTGACTTTAAGTCTGACCATAGTCTGGGACAACTCTATCTAGCAAAGTTCAAAGGCTTAATTATGTTCGACTTCTATTTCAGAATTGGCTGCTCCTCTTTCTTAAGCTGTATGGTCATAATTCAGCTTATGAAATAAACTACACTACTAACAAAACTCACCTGCCATCACGTGATCTGTGGAGGCTGCCGTGGTAGCTGCTCACTTTGCTGTGGATGCTTCCTGCTTTGCTTCTTTGATCATCCACCATAGCCAGCTGAGTTGAAGAAGCATGGGTGGATGTTCCTTGAGTGGAAGTTCCCCTTGACTTTCTTATGATAGGAGTATTTGGATCCCTCAGGAGAGACTGAGCAAAATCAGGTTCCTGGAGTACCTGTCGGCTCTCATTCACTATCCTAGACAACAAAATAGTAAGTTTAAGATACATACCAATCTTCCTTCAGACCAATAAGCAATACTTCTCTGAAACACTGATATTATTCTTGAAATTAATTGCTTGCCAAATTAGATCTATAGGACTGACATGAAGAAACATTGTTGACAGAGGAAAGAATAGAACAACAATCTATGTCAATCTGTCCCCTAAGGTGGTATGATGGAAAAAGGCCTGTGTTAGAATAAGGAAATCAGGATTTTAGTTCCAACTTTATCAATAAAAATGTGATCTTAAGCATGTCATTATCTCCTCTTTCTTTCCTTCATTTCTTCATCTGTAAAATGAAAGTATACAATTTCATCATTTCTAAAAGGTCCCTTTCAGCCAAAGAAATCTATCATTCTCAAGACACTGAAATATTATGAAGATATAACTAAAATAGAAAAATTGTTTTCTTGCATGGTTTATAAAACTAGTAGAGGCTTCACTGTAGCATGGATACAATATTTTTTTAAGTTGTAAGAGCAGTTGTTTTAGTCTACGAGTTAATTTTATGCAGAAGCAGTTGTCTAGTGCTGGAATAAACATGAGCAGTCATAATTAGAACAAAACAAAATGAAAAATTAAAGTTACAATTAAGTCTCAGACATATTAGAAGCTTAAAGGGAAACATTTAGGGGAAAAATTATGGTTAAGAACAAAAAATTTTAACTGCTATCAAAGGACTAAGTAGACAGATGGTTTACGATGATGAACAAGGCAGTAATTAAATTAATACAAGAGCTAATTAAACAGTTGTAAAGGTTAGTGTCTTGGATTATGTAAATAAAGGACTTACTATGAAAACTCATAAAGTTAAAATTAGATAATCAATTTCATTTCAAAAATAAAACTCCAGCATGTTAAGATTGGATCATATATTGAGAAATTACATATATTATAAATTCTCATATTACAAAAGGATTGTCATTATTGCTGTTGTTTTTCTTGTTGGGGTAGATGGGCTGAAGGAAGTCTAGTATTTATTGAGTACTTTATATATATTCTCCTTTGAATCCTCTTAATAATGTCATCATTACAGAGATTCATGTCCTAAGAGTGTATTTCTAAGGGAATATTGGATATCTATTAATAATAGATATTGTAATCCCCATTTCATAGACAAAGAAACTAAAGTTTTAAGAAATTAAAGAACTTTCAAAAAATCACACAACGAAACCAACAGTCAAGGATCAAACTTAAATTTAAAGTCTTAGAGGCTAATCACAAGGTAATGATAAAACAGTGTTTACATATATCTGGAAAACAAAGTGCCAAAAACATGACAGAAAAAAGAACAAGCCAAAAATAGTAAAAAAAATAAAAATCTGGATTCGTTCCTCTGTAATCAACGGCCTTATTCATATATATGTACATCCCACCAAGTCATTCTTGGTTGTTGACTTTATTTTCTAAACTTGGTTAAAACTGACTTCTAGTTGTTACAAAAATTTAACTCACCTCCAAATGGTGAAGGTTTGTCCCCTCATTTTACAGATAATGTCCAGAGAAATTAAGTGAAATGACCCAGGTAATCCAAAAGAGGATTTCTAAAAATATTTAAATCTATGTCAGAATTATTAGCATAAGTATGGTCTTAAATCTGGCTTCACTTAAGGGGAGAACATTAATTTGATTAGCACAATGTTAGAAACCAGTCTACAGCACAGTGTAACAAAGTAGTTAAGAGCAAAGCTCTGGAGTCAGACTGGGCTTGCATCTATATGTTAGCAATCACTTGTTATGAAATCTTGGTTCTATGCCTCAGTTTCCTTATCTGTAAAATGATGTCCTCCATCACATGGCTGTTTACAGCGTTAAATGATTTAATGTGTAAAGTGCTTAGAACAGTGCTTTGAGTATTAAATGTGCCCAATAAATTAGTACCCATTATTATTATCTTATAGTCGTTTCCCAAAGGCTAACCAGACAAATGCTAGAAATAGCCAAAGGGTGCCCACGCTCTTGAATGCCAGAATAAGGGGCTGCCACTCCAGCCCAGAGCACATTCTGGCTTGGAAGATCACAATGACTGTTGGTTGGGAATCCACAGCTGCAGAAAACCAAATGGAAGGGCCCCTGAGAGTTTTAACCAGTTTCAAAAGGATTTCGGCCCAACCAGTATCCCCGCAAACTAACTAGGATAAATCTCTATAAGGAAAACTTCAGTTTTAGCTCTATCTGGAATTTCTAATGCCACTCTATCACAGAATTATTTATATATGGCCCAGAGGTATCCAGGAATGTTTAATTCAAGTCCTTTCCTCAGCATTGTGTTTTACTGTGATTACAATACAGTTTTCCAAAGAATACACAAATAAATCACAGTAAATCCCATAAGGGAGGACACTCTAAGAAAGCAGGGTCTTGGCCTGTTCTGTTTGCTATCAAATCATTGGTATCCAAAAGTAGTTGGTGGCACATAGTAAGCATTCAACAAGTCTTTCAAAGAATGAATAAATGCCTAGAAGACGAATTTTTTTTGGTTGCTATTGAGTGAACTCATCCCCTTCTTTCCTTCTCTGCTCTACAAAATTATATTTAAAGGAGAAATGCATTATCTGATATCACTAGTAGCAGTCTCAGATATCACAATAAGAAATGTATACAATCATCCCTCAATTTCCTCAGGAGAGTGGTTTCAGGACCCCCTGTGGGTGCCAAAATTCGAGGATGCTCAAGTCCCTTATATAAAATGGTGTAGTATTTGCATACAACCTCTTGTATACTTTAAATCATCTCTAGGTTACTTACAGTACCTAATACATCACTTTATTTGCATAGATTCAGTGTAGTGCTCAGCATGCAGCAAATTCAAGTTTTGCTTTTTGGAATTTTCTTAAATTTTTTTTTTCCCAAATATTTTTGATCCATTGTTGGCTGAATCCACTGATATGGAACCGCCAGATACAAAAGGCTGACTGTATATTAAACTGTGATGTTAATATAATTTGTATAACAGAAATTGTTAATTACTGGTATTTTAGTAAATATAAACTTTATTAGTGAGGCTGAAACTAAAGTAACTTCAAATTGTATAAGAAAATGACATTAACCAATACAAGGCGCATTCTACATATAATTTTAAAATATTTACAGACTACCCACAAAAAAATCATTCTTCCATGGATCCTAGATTAAGTAAAATCATAAGAAATATAGAATCCACTAACTTAGAGTTTGTGATAATTCAGACAGAGATACCTATGAGACTTAAAACTGAGTAGAGTTTGAAATCATTTGTTCCACTGTGAAAACTGAAGGGTCTTGTTTTGTTTTTGTTTTACAAACTAAGGTACAAAAATTTAAAGATTCCTTAAATATGCCCTTATATCACACTGTAATATGCAGTATGGCCAACTATGAATTACAATAACCTCTAACACATTTCAATTAATCTACTAATATCATTTTTCTATTTGGCTTTAACGTACTATATTAGAATGGAATAAGAGTATTTCTTTATATCACTTTTGGTACACTTGGAAGAACAATGGACAACTGGAGACAGAAGTTTATCTAGCTCTTATCAGTAAATACCTGTGTGACTTTGGCCAAGCACTTAACCTCTATCTTGGTTTTCTCATTTGTAAAAGAGAGATGAGAATATATGTCAACCTTCAAAGGAATATCAGGAAGATCAGATAAGAATGTAGAGAAAAGCATTAATTTGCTTTTAAGAAAATTACAATTTGAATTTTTTTCACAAAGATTGGACTTCCTTCAAGTATTCTGAATTAGTACAGGAGGCCTGGTCATCTTCTGGACTACTTGGCCATCTTCTCAAAATAAGTTTTTAGTTTTAAATTAAGACATGCTACTGTGCCAATCATAACTGGATACTGCTGAAAATGTTAGTCTTGTTTGAATAATTCTCCAAATCCAAGTCATTTTAACATAAGCAACACAAAAAAATTTACGTAAATGTGAGGTTTGTGAACACTGTGATCATTTATTTCAACTTACTCTTTTTTCCTACGACCATGAAAAAAACTGGCCCATTCAAAGCATGTCTTTTTGCTTCCAACCCAAAATACAGAGGGAATGCCAACTATGAGAGCCATCAGGTATTTCATCAGAAAGAGAATCAAGTCTGGACGACTCATTTGAGTAACCTGGAAGAACAGAAAGAAAAGCATCTTAAATATATAAAAATAACTTTCTATTAAAGGCCATTATGAAATCTTTTTCTTTTTCTTTTGAGACAGAGTTTTGTTCTTGTCACCCAGGCTGGAGTGCAATGGTGTGATCTTGGCTCACTGCAACCTCTGCCTCCCAGGTTCAAGCAATTCTCCTGCCTCACAGCCTCCCAAGTAGCTAGGATTACAGGTATATGCCAATATGCCCAGGTAATTTTTGTATTTTTAGTAGAGACGGGGTTTCACCATGTTGGCCAGGCTGCAGGTGATCCACCTGCCTCAGCCTCCCAAAGTGCTGGGATTACAGGCGTGAGCCACTGCGCCTGGCCCAAAATCTTTTAAATAAAATAGAGTAAAATAATTCTACAAATTTGATGTTTTCATTTATAAGGTTTTATAAGTAATTTTCTTATGTGGAAAAAATATACTCCTGAAAATTTGGCAATAAATTTATACTCTATACATTGAGCCATATCTATCTATCTATCTATCTAGATAGATGATAGATATTTGGCTGACATTAGTCATCTTCTAAAATAGGGAAGAATGGACAGCATTTGTACAATGGCGGGAGAGAGGCAGTGGTGATGTAGATGAACTTCTTAAAAGAGTAATGTGAAAATAAGATGCCATAGAAGGAAAACAGTGATAGTTTTGATTACTAAAAATTTAAAACTTCTATAGAACAAAAAGCCTTAAATCAAATTAATAGAATAATGACTAATTAGAAATATCAACTGTATTATCAATCAATAAAGCAAACCTAAGGAAAAGAAAATGAAGAATAGGCCAGGCGTGGTGGTTCATGCATGTAATCCCAGCACTTTGGGAAGCCGAGGCAGGCAGATCATCTGAGGTCAGGGGTTCAAGACCAGCCTGGCCAAGATGGCAAAACCCCATCTCTACCAAAAATACAAAAATTAGCTGGGCATGGTGGCAGGCACCTGTAGTCCCAGGTACTCAGGAGGCTGAGATAGGAGAATCGCTTGAACCAGGGAGGTGGAGGTTGTAGTGAGTCAAGATTGTGCTACTGCACTCCAGCTTGGGCAACAGAATGAGACTCAATGTCTCCAAAAAAAAAAAAAAAAAAAAAAAAAGATAAAAGAAGAAATAAAGTATTTGTAAGACAAAAAAAAAAAAACAGCAGAACTAATAACCCAAAGTTGGTTATTGAAAAAGGATAGGCCAGACTCCAGTCTAATCAAAACAACAAAGGGAAGAAAACAGCAAACACACAGACACAGAATGCAAATAGAGAAAAATTAAAGAATCTTAAAAAGATTACTTTACTCAATTCCATGCAAATAGACTTGAAAACCAATGGAAACAAATGATAGGAAAATGTAATTTAACATAATTGACTCCAGAGGAAATAAAAAAATTTAAACAGATATATTATAGAAGAAATAAAGTTGTCAAACAGCCACCTCCTCAGAAAGCACTAGACCCAAAAGTTTCATAGGAAAATTCTAATAAACCATTAAAGAACACATAATTTCAAATTGTCTGAAAACACAGACAAAGAAAACGATTAAAATTATTTATATAAAGCAAGCATAAAATTGTACTTAACAAAGCCTCCATAAAGAAACTTATTTATTTATGTCTCATTTAGGAATCTGTATGCAAACAGAATTCAACAGCAAATTAAAAGAATAGGCCAGGACCAAACAGGGGAATGCAAAGATGGTTCAATATTAGTAAATTTATTTATAAATTCAACATATTATTAGATCAAAGGGAAAACATATGATCATCTTCATAAATGCCACAAAGGCATTTGATAGAAGTATTCATTCTTGATTTTTAAAAGCTGTAATAAAATACAGATAGATGATGAAGTACTTAAAGACACTATGTATCTATATCTCAATCCAAAAGCAAACATCATGCTTAATGGAAACACCAAAAGCCACTAGAAATATTTTCATTAAAATATGGAATACAAGAAAAGTATCTACTGCCACCACTCTTAGTTTAACCATTTCAACAGCTCTAGACTGCAATTAGATAAAAGAAATAAAGCTTATAAAAACTAGAAAGGAGGAGGCAATGTGATCATTATTTATAAATAATATAATTTTATACCTGGAAAAACTAAGAGAATAAAGTAAAAACTATTATAAATTATAAGCTGGGTGGCTAGGTATGAAATTAAATACACAAATAACTTTCATGTATATAAATATCAATTAGTAGATATAAGAAAGAAAATTCTTCATTTACCATTGTTATGGGCTAAACTGTCTCCTCTATCCAAATTCATATGTTGAAGCCCTAACTCCCAGTACCTCAGAATGTGACTGTATTTGGAGGTGGGGCCTTCAAAGAGGTAATTAAGGTTATGTGGGTAGATCCCAACCCAATCTGGCTGGTATCCTTATAAGAGGAGGAAATTTGGACATAAAGACACCAGGCATGTGTACACACACAGAAAGGCCATGTGAGAACACAGCAAGCAGGCTTCCATCTACAAGCCAAGGAGAGAGACTTGAGAGGAAACCAAACCTGCCAGCACCTTCATCCTGGACTTCCAGCTTCTAGAGCTGTGAGAAAATTAGTTTCTGTTGTTTAAGCTACCCAGTCTGTGGTCTCTCATTATGGTAGCCCTAGCATACTAATACAAACTATAACAAAAGAGACAAAACACCTAAGAATAAATTTAATAAGAGAAATGATCTGTTTGAAGATGTTTTAAAACACACCCCACTTCAAACATGTTCTTAGTTAGAAATAATTTATCATAAGAATGCAGATTCTCCTTGATTTAGTTATTAAATTTGACACAATCCCCAAATTCCAAAAAAAATACCAAGAGTTATATGAGAATTAGACAAGTTGATTTTAAAGTTTACATGGAAAAACAATCAAGAACAAACAGGAAAGTCCTGAAAGAGAAGAGAAATACATCATTAAGCTATAATAATTAAAACTGTGTAATTATAGAACACAGTGTTTAATATAAGCAGTATTTAAGTAAGTAACATTTCAAATCATTCAGAAAAAATACGTTTATTCAATAAATGGATTCTGGACAGGCTTCTAGAAAAAAATAGAGCTGAAGCCATACCGTATTTCATACCTAGATGAATTTCTAAAAGATCAAAAATTCAGGCCAGGCGCAGTGGCTCAGGCCTGTAGTCCCAGCACTTAGGGAGGCTGAGGCAGGTGGTTCGCTTGAGCCCAGGAGGCAGAGGCTGCATCGCGCCACTGCACTCCAGCCTGAGCAACACAGCAAGACCTCATCTCAAAGTAAATAAATAATTAAATAAAAACAAAAAAACAAAAATTCAAATGTAAGAAAAAAATTAACAACAAAAAAGAAACCATAAAGTTGTAGATGAAAGCTTTATTTCAAGGAGAGAGATGGAGAGTGACTTTCTAACCATGACATAAAACTTAGAAGCCATCAAAAAGAGACAAGTGAGCTGGGCACGGTGGCTCACACCTGTAATCCCAGCGCTTTCGGAGGCTGAGGCAGGCAGATCACCTGATGTCAGGAGTTCGAGACCAGCCTGACCAATATGGTGAAACCCCGTCTCTACTAAAAATACAAAAATTAGCCAGGTGTGATGGTGGGCGCCTGTAGTCCCAGCTACTTGGGAGGCTGAGACTGAAGAATTGCTTGAACCTGGGAGGCACAGGTTGCAGTGAGCTGAGATCATGCCACTGCACTCCAGCCTGGGTGACAGAGCTAGGCTCCGTCTCAAAAAAAAAAAAAAGAGACAACTGTGCTACATAAAATCCCACATTTCTGCATGGCCATAACTTTCATAACAACAGCCAAAAGACAATAAAAAAGCTGATATAAAATTGTTGCAAATTATATGGCAGATAAAAGGGCTAATTTCGTTAATGAATAATAAACTCCTACAACTAAAAAAGCCCATGACCCGAAGAAAAATAGGCGAAATATATCAACAATTTACAGAAAACAAAAGACACACCTAGAGCTCAGACTCATAGTTAAATTATATGCTGGTACTATTTTTTAACCTATCAAATAGGTAAGATCCAAAAGTCTGACAGTATATTGCATTAGCAAATGTGTGGACGAATACTCTCATATATTGGTGATGGAGAGGTAAATTCATAAACCTCTATAAAAGACAATTTGGCTATGTCTATCAAAGTTATACCCTTTGATTAAGCAACTATTTTAAAAATGTATGCTACAGATATATTTATATGTGAAATGATGTATGTTCAAGTATTGTACACATATCATATACCAATTGTAAAATATTAGAAGCAATATGATTTATCCACTCAATGGAATACCATGAGGGCATGAAAAGATACTGAGGAAGACTTTTCTCTTTTGGTATTGATCTCCAAAATATATCATTAAATGACAAGAGCAAGGTAGGGAAGTGTGTATGGGAGCTACCAAGTGAGTAAAAAAAGAGGGAGCAAAGGAATATACTTGTTTGTACACGCGTGAACATAACTGAAAGAGGATATATGAATTCCTTATAAAATTCCAAGTTACCCTTGAGAGGGGCACTGGGAAGCTGGGAAACACAGGCAGTGATAGAAGGGAGACTTTTCCCATATACTTTCGTAGCTTTTGGGTTTCGAACCATTAAAAACTTTTTTTTTTTTTTTTGAGACGGAGTCTCGCTCTGTCGCCCAGGCTGGAGTGCAGTGGCACGATCTCGGCTCACTGCAAGCTCCGCCTCCCAGGTTCATGCCGTTCTCCTGCTTCCCAGAGTAGCTGGGACTACAGGTGCCTGCCACCATGCCCAGCTAATTTTTTGTATTTTTAGTAGAGACGGGGTTTCACTGTGTTAGCCAGGATGGTCTCGATCTCCTGACCTTGTTATCCGCCTGCCTCAGCCTCCCAAAGTGCTGGGATTACAGGCGTGAGCCACTGCGCCCAGCCTCGAACCATTAAAAACTTCTAAGAATAAAAAATCCCAGAATTTAAAAAAATATACGTATGAAGATTCTAAATATAAAAATAAGTGCTGGGTGGGGCATTGGGAAACACCCTCACTGTTGGTAAATTGGTATAACCTAGCAATTCTATTTCGAGAAATAACATTCTAAAGAAATAACAGGTCAACAATAGGGGATTGTTTAAATAAATTATGGTACATCCAAATTACCAAATATACAGTCATTCAAACAATAATAATGTAAATGAAAAAAGGAAAATACAGACAGTGGTGTGCTGGTAAATGTTTTAACAACTGGCTCTCTGGGTCAAGGGAAGCCCTGATTTGCAGCATCTGCCTATTTCGATGGTCATTTTCAAGCAACCAGTGTGATATCACTGAAGGTGGAACTGCATCTTATGGGCCCGAGAGCCAGCTACAGCACACAACTAGGTGTAGACTGATGTGCCAAATATGATCACCATTTATGTTTCAAAATTATACAGTCATGTGTCACTTGACAACAGGGATATGTTCTGAGTGATGTGTTGTTAGGCAGTTTTGTCATTGCGCGAATATCAGAGTGTACTTAGACTAAACCTAGATGGTATAGCCCACTACACACCTAGGCTTTATGGTATAGCCTATTGCTCCTAGGCTACAAACTTGTACAGCAGGTTACTGTACTGAATAATGCAAACAATTGTATTACAATATTAAATATTTGGGTATCTATTTAAACATAGAAAGGGTAAAATAAAAATACAGCATTATAATCCTATGGGACCACCATAGTCGCATATGCGGTCTACGGTTGACTGAAACATTGTTATGTGGTGCATGGCTGTAATATCTATAATATTATTTATACATATATTAAATATGACTTTTGGTATGTTTTTTAATATACCAATATGCACTGTTCTGGCCATCTATGACTGTGTAAAAAGCTACACCAAAACTTAACGGCTTAAAGCAAGAATTTATTATCTCTCACAGTTCTGTGAATTGACTGGGCTCAGCTGGGTGATTCCCACTTGGGTTCTCACATGTAGCTGCAGTCAGATGATGGCTGGGGCTGGAATCATCTGGATGTTAGTCTGAGCTGGACATACATACAGGATGGCTTCTTCACTCAAATATCAGCTAGGATGGCTGGAAAAGACGGGAGCTGACTGAGAAGATCTCTCCCTCTCTCTGTGATTGGTCTTCTCAATCACCTTTCTCTCTTTCTGTTTCCCTCCCTTCATGAAACCTTTCTATACAGCTTAGGGCCAGCCTGGGCTTCCACACATCTTGTGGTCTCAAGATAGTCTGACTTCTTACTAGAGGCTGACCTCTCCCAAAGCAAGCATTCCAAGAGATCTTAGCAAAGTCTTGGGGTCATACAGAATCACTTTTGTTGCATTCTACTAATCAAAGGCAAGTCACAGTGCCAGCACAATTTGAGGAAAGGGACTACTCAAGAGCAAGAGATGTGGCTCCCTGGTTGGAGGCAGGGGGCTGCATCTCTCTGAAGAGTAGCTACCATAGTGGTTGCTACATATGGTTGGAATGTTTGTCCCCTCCATAACTCACAATGAAACTTAAACCTCAGTGGGGGAATATTGAGAGGTGGGGCCTTTAAGAGGTGTTGGGTCATGAGGGCTCTGCCTCATAAACTGATTAACGGGTTATCACAGGAAGAGGACTGGTGGCATTATAAAAGGAGGAAGAGGGACTGAACTAGTACACTGAGCCCTCTCGCTACGTAACGCCCTGCATCAACTCAGGACTCTGCAGTTCCCATCAGGAAGAAGACCCTCACCAGATGCGGCCCCTTCAACCTTGGACTTCTTAGCCTCCATAACTGTAAGAAATAAATTCCTTTTCTTTAAAAATTACCCAGTTTCAGGTATTCTGTTTCACTCAACAGAAAACAGACTAGACACATAGGGATCAAAAAGTATGGAAAAATGTAAATTGTGGTTATATTGATTTGCAGGGGTAAGGGGGCTTTTACTCTGAGTATGTTTTATCATTTTCTTCCCACATATTTTGGACTTTTTAAAAAGTGGAAAAGACTATACGTGCATAATCAAAATTGACAAAACATTTAACCAGGAAAACTTTTACTGTATTAATGGAATGCCAAAAGTTCATGAGATACAATGTAAATTTATATTATGATAGATATCAACAAATGTTCTACAAATGAATTGCTCTAAGAAATTATCAAAAATTATACTGATATTTAATATCTACAGTATATAGTGAATATCATAAATATGTAAAGTAAGCTATATAAATAAATCAATGATCAACTAGATAGAAAACACAATAAATTTCTAAATGAATCAATACCTAGGACTTATATTCTGCATACACAAACACATCCTTTCTTACATTTTCCAATATGTATTCTCCGATATGGCATACTACTACTTCTTAAAGGCAGATATTCATATCATATTAAGGAGGAACACATGAATGTAGCAGATAAAACAGGTTGAGAAGCTTAAAGTACTTAGAACTGTGTTTGACACCTAATAAATATTCAAAAATGTGTTTTAGGAGCACTACTATCCCAGAAGATATTAACAGGTAATCCATATTTTATCCGATTTTATTTTACCGCAGAGTATCATACTCTGCGGTAAAATAAAATTTGGGTATTATGAGCCTCCTCCCCACCCGGAGGGATTATACATTAATATATTCAAGGTTCTGAGAAGTCCTGAAGAACTGTTTATTTTTGTTTACCTCAGTGTTTTCTAAGCTGATAGATACATCTCCCCCACTGAAAATTAAGGAGTTGGAATAGGTAAATTCTAAGGTTTATTCTAATAGCCTATGAGCCTATTAAGCTGGAAAAACTTTACTGGGGAATTAGAGACTAGTTTTGCTACAAAAGTTATTTTCCTTTTCCATGATTAAAAAATCTATTATATTAGTTAAAATATACATGTTAACCATGACTGTATACATTTTTTTTTTTTTGGCTTACAAAAAGAGAAAATCTCATAAAAGTAGAGTGTGGGCCAGGCACGGTGACTCATGCCTGTAATCCCAGCACTTTGGGAGGCCAAGGCGAGCACATCACTTGAGGTCAGGAGTTCGAGATCAGCCTGGCCAACATGGCGAAACACCGTCTCTACCAAAAATACAATAATTAGCCAGGCGTGGTGGCAGGTGCCTGCAATCCCAGCTGCTCGGGAAGCTGAGGCAAGAGAACTGTTTGAACCTGGGAGGCAGAGGGTGCAGTGAGCCGAGACTGCGCCACTGCACTCCAGCATGGGTGACAGAGTGACACTCCATCTCAAAAAAAAAACAAAAACAAAAACAGTGGAGTGTGGCAAGGCAAAGAATGAGAGCTGGGAAGCAGACTTCAAATCACACTGGCTTATACTCAATAAATGGTGAGAAAACAAGGACTAACTGAAGAAAAATAATTATTTGTAAAGAGGTGACTTACGTAAGTAATACGATGAAGAGGATGAAGGCAAAGAACATAAAAATTAAAACTAAGAATTGTAATGAAAAAAGATAAAGAGAGCTAATCAGAGTTGATTGCAGAATTAGAACAATTGTGTGATGTGAAGACCACTGGCCTGAGCAACGTGACATAAGTCAAATCACTTTTTATAAAATAAGAGGCTTGAACTTCATGACTTCAAGGTTGTCTTCAATTCTAGATGACTGATCATCTAGAGTCTAAATCCTATCCTTAGAGATACATCCTATCCTACTCATCCCTTTGTTTACAGATGCAATCAAACTCTAGGGAAGTGAACTGATCTGCAAGGTCACACAGCTAATTAACTCAGTCACTTAAATACTGAGTGCTACCATGACCTTGTACAAAAGACATAACAGCAAATAGTCAGAAAATTCTCTGCCCTTGTTGAACTTACACTGTAGAGCAGGGTAAGGGTGCAGTGCTATCAATGTATAGGAACTAAAGAAATCTTACAATTTCAGGTAGCAATAAGAACTAAAACACAAGGTAGGGGATAGCGTGTGTGGGTGTGGTGTGGTAGTGGATGGGCAAGCTATTTTATTTTATTTATTTCATTTTTTGAGACCAAGTCTCACTCTGTTGTGCCCAGGCTGGAGTGCAGTGGCAGGATCTTGGCTCACTGCAACCTCTGCCTCCTGGGTTCAAGCGATTCTCCTACATCAGCCTCCCGAGTAGCTGGGATTACAGGCATGCGCCACTAGGCCCAGCTAATTTTTGTATTTTTAGTAGAGATGGGGTTTCACCATTTTGGTCAGGCTGGTCTCGAACTCCCTACCTCAGGTGATCCACCCACCTCAGCCTCCCAAAGTGCTAGGATTAAGGAGTGAGCCGCAGCGGCCGGCCAGCAAGCAATTTTAGATCAAAGTGGTCAGTAAAGGCTTCTTCAAGGACATGACATTTAAGTAGGGATTTAGGCAGAAGAAACAGCAATAACAATAATCCTGACAGAACAAGTTTGCTGTCTCTGAAGAACAATAACAAAGAGGCCAGCAAGGCTAAAAGTGAGCATGGATGGAAGAGAAATGGTAGGAGACGAAGTCAAAGAAGGAGGTAGGGGTCCAGTCATATATGGCACTGCAGGGAGTAGTTAAAAAAAAAAAAAAAAAAAGGATTTCATTCTAAGAGTAACAGGAAGCCACTGGAGGGTTTTGTACAAACCAGCAACATGATCTCGCTTATGTTTTTAAAACTTGCTCTGGCTACTGTGTTGAAAATAAACTAAAGAAACAAAAGTAGAAGCATGAAGTTGAATAGGAAGGCCATTGTGAATTACTGAATGGCTTGGACTAAGGTAGAGGTGGAGGTACTGAGAAGCTGAAGGATTGGATCTGAGATATGTGAGAAAGAGAGGGTCCAAAGATAGCTCCAAATCTGGATCTGAACAACTAGCGGATAATGATGCCATTTACTGAATGGAGCAGAACTGGGAACGCGATGCAGGAAGCAGATTTGAGAAAAATTCAGAGCTGTGTTTTAGACATACTAAGTTTGAAATGCTTTGTAGACTTTCAAAAGAAAGTGTCATGTAAATAGATATTTTGGAGCACAGAAACAAGGTTGGGCTGTATAGTCTGAAACATGGGACTGGATAAGATTATACAGAAAAAAGGGAGAAAGGAAAGAAAACAGAGAGCCTAGGAGAGAAACCCTATCTTCCAACTTCGATTCTTTAGCACCTTAAACTGCATTGTCTGTGTAAATTAGAAATATTGTTCACGTAACATAAATGCTTGAATAAGAGGGAAGGAGCGCTAAAAACAAAATCAGGAATAGCAACAATCAAAACCTCCAATTAGGCAAGAAGATTTGGAAGACAGCAGGGATGTAACACAGAACATTTTGCATTACAGGGTTCTGGTTAAAGCCAAAATTCCAGAAAAGACAAGTCAGCACTGCCCATGGCAGGGATACAGTGTGAAAGCAACTCAAATAACACCTGTTTTTTGAAGATGCCACAGGCAGAGTGTTGGAGCCAGAGGGCCAAGACACTGAGGAAGAAGAGCCAAGCTACTGCTATAAAGAAGGAGTGTCCCCTTATAAATGAAGAACAAAGAAGAAGGAGAATACATTATTATCTACTTATAAATCACACAGAGACACAAAAATAGTGAGGTAGTTAGTACGTAAAACAGGCCATATACTAGCTAGAAAGGCAAAGCCTACTAAAGAAAAATATTTGAATAAAGGAAATGGGATACAGTGTTTAGTTTTTATTTTTAAAAAGCCCTATAATAAACTGAATTTTATTTATTTATTGAAAGGGGCTCACTCTGTCGCCCAGGCTGGAGTGCAGTGGTGCAATTCTCGGCTCACTGCAACCTCCACCTCCCAGGTTCAAAGGATTCTCCTGCCTCAGCCTCCTGAGTATCTGGGATTACAGGCACCCGCCACCACGCCCAGCTAATTTTTGTATTTTTAGTAGACACAAGGTTTCACCATGTTGGCCAGACTGGTCTCAAACTCCTGACCTCAAGTAATCAACCTGTCTTGGCCTCCCAAAGTGCTAGGATTACAGGTGTAAGCCACCACACTTGGCTATAGAATTTTTAAAGAAAAAACTCACAAAATATTTCAGTTCCTTGCATAATTAAAATGGACAAATAAGAAAACTGTCAAGTATTCTTTTTAAGTGTTCCTGAAAACGTTATATTCCTATTGATGTTATATCACATTTGCAATTGGAAAAAACTTACCTGATGTATCCCAGCACTTTGGGAGGCCGAGGCCAGTGGATCACCTGAGGTCAGGAGTTCAAGGCCAACCTGACCAATATGGTGAAACCCTGTCTCTAAAAATACAAAAATTAGCCTGGTGTGGTGGTGGGCGCCTGTAATCCCAGCTACTCGGAAGGCTGAGACATGAGAATAGCTTGAACCCAGGAGGCGGAGGTTGCAGTGAGCCGAGATCGTGCCATTGCACTCCAGCCTGGGTAACAGAGCGAGACTCTGTCTCAGAAAAAACAAAACTTACCTGATGTATTTCTTTGATCTACCTGGAGAATACCTGGCAAAAAAGGGAGACATCAGCATCTACTTGCTGTAAGCCCTGGGTCTTGAGGACTGTCCCTGTTCTACAACAGCCTGGCTAGCTATAAATAGCCTACATTCACTATCTTCTGAATCACTGATCTCCACTAACACTGCTTGGATTTAATCTACAGAGTTGCAATAACTCCTTTCAACCACCATATAAAAACCATTTACCTGCGTTTTGATTTTTCTATTTAGATACACAATCCACCAAAGACCCCAGGGCTTAAATTATTTTTAATTAAATAGAAAAAAAACTACTCATGCTAAGGGTGAAATACCCTGCAAAAAAAGAACACTTGAGGTATTTTTTTTTAATTATTGTGATGGCCTAAATTCAATACTTGTTTTTGAGACCTTAGCTTTGAATCAGGTTGGCAGAGTCCTTGGCTTCTTTCCCTATCAAGAGGAATCTATACTTTACTAATAGAAGTACATATTGCATTGGGTTTGCTTTTATTTTTTTAAATAAATTCATTGCAAAATATTGACTTATATCAAGCCTATGGTCACCTAAAGCCCACATAAAAATGAACTATTCATCAGGTTCATACAGAGTCTGTCATACAACTGGTAAGTGACAACAGTTCCTGAATGGAGGTCTTCTGATTCCCACTTTTGCGTACTTTTTAACTACACTACACTGCTTAGCAACCTTTACTGTTATTATGCTTTGAAAAGTCACCCACTTGTCCTATCAAATATAACGGCTTATTATGTTATAGTAATTAAGACAATGTAGCACTGGGACAGAAAAATAGACCCTCAACTAGGACAGCAAAACAAATTTCACATATGGGAACTTGATATATGACTAAGGCAGTATTATAGATCAGTGGAGAAAAGATGAACTAGTCAATAAATGGTGCATGCAACCTAGATTCCTCACATGCACAGCTCACAACAGGGTTCGCGCTCCTATGAGAATCTAATGCTGCTGCTTACCTGTCAGGAGGCTCAGGCAGTAATGCAAGCGATGGGAAGTAAATACAGATGAAGCTTTGCTGGCTCACCCACCACTCACTTCCTGCTGTGTGGACCTATACTGGTCCATCGCTCGGGGGTAGGGGATCCCTGATATAGGGTATAACTATCATATTCCTGAAGGTATCTTTATTTTTACTAGGTTTCTCCGTATTTTTTTAAGAGACGAGAGAGTAAGAACTAAAAACTGTTCTTTAGTCACAGAACCATCTGATTTCCATGTTTATTTTCTCTTACTAGGCTATGAACTGTAGGGCAGAGGCTGTATTTTATTCACAGTTGCTTCTCCAGCAACTATCAATATGCCAAAATATATTATATATATATAAAATATATAACATATATAACAAATGGTTTTGCATTAATGAATGAATTTTATAAAAGGGGAAAAACAAGTTGTGGTTTATGGGAGAATAGTTTCTAGATTCATTTAATATTAGACCTGAGAAAAAACCCCTACAGATTATTCAATCCAATCCCCTAAAATTTTAGAGATGAAGAAAGTATAAACTTAGTGACTAGCCTAAAGACACAAAACTAGTTAGAGATATAGCCAGAACTATATGATGTCTCTCCAAATACTCAGACCTGTGTTTTTTGCATATGAAGAGGTGTAAAATGATGTTAAGTCTGTAGGCTTTGGAATCAGTTCACATCCCAGCTCTGTAACTTACTGTATGACTTGGGATAAACTGTATAAATATATGAGACTCAAGTTTTCTCATTTGTAAAACTGAGTACAATATAACTTACTGGGCTAATGTGAGGATTAAATGAGATGATGTGTGTAAATTGTTGAGCATAGGACATGACACACAGCATATAACTTAAAAAACTAGAAGCAACTATGATTATTAAACTATGTTGCTTCTACTCTACTATTCTCATAAAATACTAAAATTATTTCCTTAAATTGGTATGGTAATGCCTTCAAAGATTACTGGAAATACGTCTTATTTACATGTGTTTATTATAGTGATAGGTTAGAATTCATTTTTATTTATTTATTATAGTGATAACAGTACTAGATTATATTGAATTATTATTATTATTATTATTATTATTTTGGAGACAAGAGTTTCACTCTTGTCGCCCAGGCTGGAGTGCAGTGGCGCAATCTTGGCTCACTGAAACCTCTGCCTCCCGGGTTCAAGTGATTCTCCTGCCTCAGCCTCCTAGGTAGCTGGGATTACAGGCGCCCGCCACCACGCCCAGCTAATTTTTGTATTTTTAGTAGAGTCGGGGTTTCACCATATTGGTCAGGCTAGTCTTGAACTCCTGACCTCAGGTGATCTGCCGACCTCGGCCTCCCAAAGTGCTGGGATCGCAGGCGTGAGCCACCACGCCTGGCCTATATTAAATATGTTTAATACTATTATGCAGTAGAGTAAAAGGCTGAATCCTCAAAAGTAGAAATGAGAATGCAACAGTGACAATTTATATGGGACAGAAAAATGTCATAGGTCACCAACCACTGTTATAAAAGAATGATCAAAGATGACATAGAATAATACTTGTCAACAAACTACAGCCTGAAGGCCAAATCTGTCGCAATGCCTGTTTCTACAAATAAAGCTTTATTGGAATACTTCCTTCCATTTGCTGACTTACTGTCTATGGCTGCTTTTGTACCATAGCAGCAAAGCTGAGTAGTTGTACCATAGCAGCAAAGCTGAGTAGCTGCAGCAAAAACTAATGGCCAGCAATGTCTAAAATATTTATTATCTGATCTTTTACAGTTTGCCATGCCCTACTGTAGATAATGGCAAGTACATTGAATTTTCTCCTAAAAATGTATAAACTATTTGCATATCAGGTATTTCTGCAGTGGAGACTTAAACTGAACACACAACTTAGGTTATTCTGTTTAACAGAGGCCAGAATAATAACTTGTATATTTTATCATATTTATCCAAAAGTGTCATTTGACAGTATTTTACAACCAGGACATAACAGTATTACAGTTTCTATAAATTTCTATAATAGTCTATGTTTCCTTCATGTCGTATTCTGTAATATTTTCTGGCAAAACAAGAGATATAGAATATTTTTTCAGGGAATTCTCATTCTTTTCCTCTATTACAGAAACTAAATAATTTTGAGGTTTGGCCCTAGGAAGTCATAGGTAGGCAGGATATTTACCAATTTAAAGATTAGTAGAAAAACAAAAAAAAGGTTAGTAGTACTACATATTTATACAAAAGAATTACTCATTGTCTAATGTTGGCAGCGTAAAACATACCCATTTCCCTCATGGTCCTTTCATAAACAATTCTGATTCCTTTTGGAACTGCCTGGTAAAGGGAAAGACTCATCAGAAAATGAAGCTAAAATCATAACAAATTAGATTTAATGTTATTCTGCTATTTTTGTATTTTTCTGAATCAAGACTAGATAAAACAACAGATGGGATGCCTTGTGTGCTCAGAAGAACAGAAATAATATTTTTTGTTTGTTTTCTATAAAAATAATTTTTTTTTGAGACAGGGTCTCCCTGTCGCCCAGGCTGGAATGCAGTGATACAAACTTGGCTCACTGCAACCTCCACCTCTTGGGTTCAAGCAATTCTCCTGCCTCAGCCTCCTGAGTAGCTGGGATTATAGGCGTGTGCCACCACAGCCCGGCTAATTTTTGTATTTTTAGTACAGATAGGCTTTCACCACATTGGTCAGGCTGGTCTGGAACTCCCAACCTCAGGTGATCCACCCTCCTTGGCCTCCCAAAGTGCTGGGATTACAGGCATGAGCCACTGCGCCCGGACTATAAAAATAATTTTTAAAGAATTCTACAAATGGCTGTAATGTGAATTTGACAGTCTTGGCTAAGCTGCCTGTACTATGGTAACACATTTCTGTTACCGAAATAAATGTTCTATTGTCAAAATTCCTTGGGACATACTGCATTAAATTAGATGGATGAAAGAGATGAAAAAAATGAAGGGGCATTTTAGGAAAGGAAGGAAACATGTGCTTTTCAAAATCGATGTTTAAAAGAAAAAAATGACTCTAGTACAGAGTATAGGATAATCCTTTGTAAAGCCTCAAGAATTATGTACTTGTAATAACAGGAGTTAATATCGAAATTTTACTTTGTGCAAAGCACTCCGGTAAGAGGTTTATATTTCTCATTTAATCTTCATTGCCACCCATGAGGTAGATATTACTGTATTTAACATATTATTTTCTGCATTTTACATGAAGGAATGGTAGCAACAAGTCATAAACCCAGCCTGTCTGATTTTAAAGCCCACATTTTTAACGAATATTATGCTAAATTCAAAATCTTTTCTAGAAATATCAAGAATCTTTGAAAACTGTAACTTTCACAGGATACTCTGAAACTCTTAGAAGGCACTAAAAATAGAGGAAATTATTATTAGACCAAAAAAACCCAAATATCTGTAAAATTACTGATCTGTTATTTTAAAATACACAATATAAAAAAGTATTCTAGAAATAAACCAGTTTTTAAATTGTGAAATATTACTCTGACTACTCAGACTATATTTCATAATTAATTCAGAATTTAGGCATTCAATACTACTTTTCAAGTATTATTTAATAAACATTAAAAATGAGTGTTCTTGCTAAAAATGGTTGGTATAGTATTTTAAAATCTAGGTAGTGACATCAAAAACAAAGAGAGGCTGAAAGACTGTCATAGCCAAGAGGAGGCCAAGGAGACATGACTACTACATGTCATCTCCTGGATGGGATCTTAGAACAGAAATAGGACATTAGATAAAAACTAAGGAAATCTGAATAAAGTATGAACTTTAGTTAATAATAATGTATCACTATTGGTTAGCCAATTATAACAGATGTACCATAGTGATATAAGATATTAATAACAGGGAAAACTGGTACAAGGCATATGGGAACTCACTGTGTTATCATCACAATTTTTCTGTCAATCTAAAACTGTGCTAAAACCTACAATTTTATTTAGAAAACAGAAAAAAAAAGCCAGTGAAACTGTTTTCAGCGAGAACACTCATTTTAAAATACTTTACACCCAGCCAATTTTTCTTCAAATTATGAATTTACATTCATGCAATTTGCACTAAACCCAATTGGTATTTTGAAAAAACATGATAAAAAATTCAGGAACTAATTTTTTCAGATATTTGAAAGTTTCTGTAATGTGAGAGATAACTGTTAAGCAACCTTATTGGTTTTTAAGCAAATATATTCAAATATTTTCTCTAAGTCACCTGAGGAGACTGCTCCATCATTGCTTAAAACATTTAAAAAACTTCTTATTAGGAATTATCATCAGCGCCTACTAAGTGTTCTATAAGGCACACTCAATAACAGCAGATCTTTATTCAAGTATGTGTGGTTATTACTTCAATATAAAAATTTCACATCACTGGTGCTTAATTCAGAAGTCTGTATAAGATTCCTCTAAAAATAAATTCTGAACAAAAACAAATATTAATATCCTAATATCTGAATATTAAAATCAAAGTAGGGCAAATTATTGTATAATTCCATTTATATGAGATATCTAGAATTAAATTAATAGAGACAAAGTAGAATGGTAGTTGACAGGGGATGTGGGGAAGAAGAATGGGGAGTTATTGTTTAATGGGTACAGAGTCTCACTGATTGATTGATTGATTGATTTTTATTGAGATAGGGTCTCGCTCTGTCACCTAGGCTGGAGTGCAGTGGTGCAATCACAGCTCTCTGAAGCCTTGACCTCTTGGGCTCAAACCATTCTCCTGCCTCAGCCTCCCGAGTAGCTAGGACTACAGGCACATGCCAACATGCCTGGCTAATTTTTACATTTTTTGTAGAAATGGGGTCTTACCATATTGCTAAGTCATCTCAGTTTGAAAAGATGAAAAAGTTACTGGAAATGGATGGAGGTGATGGTTGCACAATGTGAATTTACTTAATGTCACAGAACTGTACACTTAAAAATGGTTAAAATGAGAACGTATACATAATGTGTGTGTGCGTCTATAAAACTACAATTAAAAAAACAGGTCGCTGGTCTTCTAGTTTATCTGTAGGCTACAGTTCAGATGGGCTATAGTTTGCTGATCCTTAAGCTAATGTAACTATGTAAGACACATTACTTCTTTCTGCTTTAAATGCTTTTGAATGGCAGGAATGAAGCCATACTATCTATTTGAAAAGGTTGTTGTGGATATCAGCAATCACAGATTTTACCCACAATGAAGTCTATACAAATAAGAGTTCATGTTTATAGTACTTTATCTTTTTTGAACAGGCCAGGTTTAACTCAACATCTATTTATGGAAGCAAGATTGGAAAGCACAAGAATCACAAAGGAATTCATGGGACTCACATATAGAATAAAACTTTAGCCACACCAGCACTATCTTCCAGAACAGTCTCTGAATTATTATGCTAAAGAGAAAGGAAATCCTAGAAAAAAAAATACACGTTGGAGGGAATTTTTAAAACGTATCCAAGTGTTACTAACCCATGAGATGTTAGGGTAAAAAACATCCCTTTCCATCAGCTTTGTGAGGGGACCTTTCTGTGAAGAACAAAAACCCAGGGATACCCAAACTTCAATAAATAAAGGTTCTCAAACAAAACAAAACAAAACAAAACAAAACAAAACAAAACAAACATAAAGTTACTTAAAGTTAAGTTCAGAAGACAGAATGAGTGTGAATGACCAACCTGGTTAATAATGGTCTTTTGGTTAAATTTAAAGTAACTATTAAATGTATTTTTAAGATACATTTTAAAACATTGACAATAAATGAGTTAAGCTTTCAATTCAAGAATCTAGAAAAACAAAGTAATTCTAAAGAAAGCAGTAGGGATGAAATAAGACAAGAAATAATTGAATTAAAAAGATAATCTTTGGTGGGAGCAGTGGCTCAGGCCTGTTATCCCAGTGCTTTGGGAGGCTGAAGAGGGAGGATCCCTGAGGCCAGGAGTTTGAGACCTGCCTGGACAGCTAACAAGACCCCATCTCTACTAAAAGAAAAAAAAAAGAAAAATCCTTTAACAAGATTGATCATGGGGGGAAAAAAAGAACATATTTATTAGGAGCAAAAACTCAAATGGTAAAAACATTTTAAAAATGAACAAATTTATGCTAATGTATTTAAAAAGTTAGATGAAATGTTCCAGAAAAATATAAATGACAAAAAATGCCTCAAGAAGAAATAAAAGACCTGAATAAAACCATTAGTATTGAAGAGATTAAATGGTAACTTACAAAAATCTACTTTCTTAACCAACTTCTTTCCTTTTACTTCAAAGATATGAGGACAGAGTTTTACAGGAGGATGTGCAAATCCTTTCCAAGAGTAGGCAGCTCTTACATGAAATATAGAAATTGGAAAGCAAGTGAGACAAATTTGTCCCTATTTGCAAACAACATGATTTCTAGAAAGAATATCTAAGAGAATCCATACACAATCAGAACTAATAGGAGTTCAACAAGGATGTTTGATATAAAACCAATACACAAAATAAATCAGGCCAGGCACAGTAGCTCACACCTATAATCCCAGTCTTTAGAAAGCCAAGGTGGAAGGATCACTTAAGACCAGGCTGGGCAACACAGGGAGACCCCATCTCTACAAAAAAAAAAAAAGTTAGCCAAGCATGGTAGCACATGCCTGTAAGCCCCACCTACTTGGGGGGATGAGGCAGGAGGATCACTCGAGCCTGGGAGTTCATGGTTACAGAGAACTATGACTGCCACTGCATTCCAACCTAGGCAACAGAGCGAGACTTTGTCACAATAAATAAATTAAAAATTTTTTAAATGGCATGCCTGTACACCATCAATAACCAATTTAATGAATAAAAATGTAAATAAGCTATTAAAACTCAGTATTGCAAAAATGGCAATGTTCCCCAGATTCATTTACAAATCAAAAACAATTTCAATGAAAATCCTGACAGTGTTTTTCATGGAAAATTGATTTTAAAATTCATACAGAAGAGCAAAGTACCAAGAATAGCTAAAATAGTTTTGAAGAAGAAGAACAAGGTAAAGAAGATGTGGAGTTGACACATGGTTATACAAATGAGAGAGCCTAAAAATGAAACTTGTGCATGACAGAGGTTGCATTACAATTGAAATAGATGAACTATTTGATAAATGATGCAGAAAGCACATGTCTTATCCATATGGAAAAATAAAATTGTGTTCCTTACAACATTCACAAAAATAAATTTTATGGGATTAGAGATATGAATCAAAAAAGCAAATTGTAGAAACTGCTAGAAAAAATACAGCAGGCCATTTTAATGACTTTAATGGCAGGGAAGGATTACCTTAAAACACAAAAGACTAAGAAAGCACAAATAAAGTGAAAAGACAAGCCACAAAGCAGAAAATATCTGTAACGCAAATGACTGACAAAGAAAACCAATAATATTTAAACAGTAAAAAGCAAATAACCTAACAGAGCAATGGACAAAGATAACAAATAGGTAAATCACAGAGAAACCCCAAATGGCCAATAAACATACGAAAACACATTCAACCTTACGTATAATAAGGAAAAGGTAAATTACTACAGAATTGAGATATTATTTCAAAGTCTGGCAAAAATTTAGAAGCCTGAGAGTGCCAAAATGGGGACAAAGGGGAAACTCATATTCTGGTGTGCGTATAAATTAAAATAACGACTTAAGTTGAACATGCTTATAGCCTACAATGCAAAAATTCCAATAGAAACTCTTGTTCATATTTAAGAAATGAAAGTGTTACAAGAATATTCACTGAAAAATGGCTTACAACAAAAAATTAGAAACAACTATATAATTCATCAATAAATGAGTGAATAAATTGCAGTATAGTTATACAATAGCATACTCCACTGCAGTTAAAACAAATTATCAGTACACATATCAACATATATATTCTCAAAAACATAAAACTGAGTTAAAAAATGAGCTACAGAATGATCTCACATATATACATTTTTAAAACTTGCATAACAGCAAATTTTATGGATAAACACTCAGCGACAGTATAAAAATATTCAGGAGAATGAAAAATACCGTATTTATGAGAAGGGTTTCTCTAGGGAGGGAGGAAGAAGAGGAATGGAAATATGGAAAGGAACAGAGGAGGTATCAACTGTATCTTTAATATTAGATACATAGGTACACAAACAGATACAGATACATATGCCATAATTTCAAGATTTCAAGGTAGTTGGGTTGTGAGTACATGGATATTTATTTTCTATATCTCTATATATTTGAAATATGTTATACATTTCCTTTATATTAGTAAAAGGAAACATTTTAAAAAATAGAGTTGCAGTATTAAAATAAATGCAACTCAAAAACAAAATGTTGAGTTAAAGAATTTAGTCAAAGAAATACATGTATGTGTGATATAGTTTATGTACTGGGTAAAACAAACATTTTTTTATAACTACGTATGTATTGGTAATTGTACAGGCTTTTATGGGAATGAACAAGTCCAAATTCACGATGATGGTTGTCTCTGGGGAGTGAATAAGAGGAACAGGATTAGGGAAGGGTACACAGGAAGTTTCAGCTAAATCTATGACTTCTTTAAAAAGTCTGAAGCAAATATTGCATTTGCTAAAGCTTAGTACTAGGGGCTTTTAAAAAACGTATCTATATGTAAATAATGGTAGCAACAACAATAATAGACAATACAGAGCCAACATTTTGAGCACTTATTATGTAGTAGCCACACTGCTCCCATCCAAGTACTAACCAGGCCCGACCCTGCTTAGCTTCCGAGATCAGAAGACATCGGGAGCATTCAGGGTGGTGTGACCATAGACTAGCAGCCACACTTCTAAGTATTTACATGCATAATCCTAAAAACAACCCTAGGAGGTAGATTCATTACTATCCTCATACTATGAGGAACTGAAGCAGAGGGAGGTGAAGTTCATCCAAGGTTACAAAGTTAAGTAATTAATGAAAGTAAGAAAAGAAGCTAGGACTCCTACTCCAGCTTACAGTTTAATACCTATGTTATTACCATCATTTGTTATTCATTTCCGTATGTTGAAAATATTTCTCAGAAAACACTATTAATCCCCCCCAACACACACACACACACACACACACACACACACACACACACACACACACACACAGATATATTTCAGTGTAGCTCAAACTGGTTCTAAAGATGCTAAAAGAATTCTAGGTATGTCATGAAAAAAGCAGCATCTCAACTACTCTACTGATTTACATGTTTGAGGTCTGGTATTTTTTAAGACCATTATTTCATGGTCAAACATTATTTCTTCAATAGCCCTAAAATAATAATTTAGAATCCTAGAAACTGACATGGGGAAGCATAAAATATAACTCAACATCTCTCTCTCAGAGGGAAAACTGGATTATTTACCTTTAGGTCTGAAAACTCATAATAAGAGTTTTTAGTAAGCAGTTCTGGCAAGAAATTGAATGGAATTTCAATTATTCATTTTTTCCTAGTCTCTAAGTTATGAGTTGGTTTATTTTTTAAAAAGTCAGTAGCTAATATAATGATAAAATATCATTTGTATAGGACTATTTATACCAAAATAAAAGGGAAATTGGCATTCTCAGTGATCAAAAATGTATCAGCATTTATTATGTGCTAACCCCATACTCTCTGTAGCAGTAACCATTTCTTAAATGTACATTTCTGTTACCATGTCTTAAAAATGTCCCCTCTTCTCAAGCAATATACCCACAATATCATTACTATCATCTACAGAATGTCTTTAAAAAACAAAAAAGTTCTTCTTGCGAAGAGTTCAGAGTATAGTAATAGGGGAAACAGACTAGTAAACAAAAGTTATCTGTAATCCTTAAGTACGTCAATAAAGGTATTTAAAAGTATTAGAGTAACAAAGGTTGGAGGAGATGGAAAGGTGGCTGGTGCACTTTTATAAGAGGAAATCTGGAAAATGATGAACAGGAGACACCACATTAGAGTACTCTTTTAAGAAAACTTGTTTTAAAAGAAAGAAGAGAGGCTGGCATGGTGACTAACGCCTGTTAATACCAGCATCTGGGGAGGTCCAGGAGGGAAGATCACTTGAGGGCAGGAGTTCGAGACTAGCCTGGGCAACAAGTGAAACCCCATCTCTTAAAAAAATGAAATAAAAAATTAGCTGGGCATGGTGGTGTACACCTGTAGTCCTAGCTAATTGGGAGGCTGAGGCAGGAGGATTGCTTGAGCTCTTGGAGTTTGAAGCTGCAGTGAGCTATGATCATGCCACTGCATTCTAGTAAGACTCTGTTTCTAAATAATAATCATAAATACATAAAAGAAGGTAGGGTAATAGTAGGAACACAGATTCTAGAAGTACTAAAGATAAGAAATACTTAGCATTAACTCCTCTGATCTATTTTCCTTGACTACATTTATCTAAGACTAAATCCCAGCTGTTCATTTACTACTCAAGAACAAGTCACTTAACATTTCAAAGCTTCAAATAAGGTACTAGATGTTTAAGAACTCTAAATTACAGAGGGAATCTGAATAAATGATCTCTAAAGTTCTTTCTAGATTTAAAATTCCATAATTCTAAGACTACCAGAGGCTCTGAACTCTTTAAACTGAAAAAGAAATCACAAAATATTCAGTATGCAAAGAAGAAAAATCAAGATCATTGAGTTTTTATACTTGCATCTTGTTACTTTTGCAAAACTGTTATTAATAAAACAATTTCTAACCTGAGCATCAGTAAAATTCCCATAAAAAGCAAATTTTTATAAACGTTGGTAAAGTGCTTCTCCCCCACGAAACTGCACACTTCTGGAAAAAAAAAAAATCACCAACAGACGTACACTGCTTAAAAGCCCATAGTGTAGACTTGTTAAGTCATCTTTTAAAATGAAGATGTCTATCAAATATGTGTATTACATATTTACTACAACATATTTGTCATCTCATCCTTAAAATGTTAATGTACAAGTTGAAGGTTCATGACATTTCAAAAAACAGCTGATATTAACTCATTATAGTAATATGCTTTTGTTTCATTATCATATATTCTGAAATTTGTAACAAGGTTTCCCTTACCTGATATGGACATGGAATGTGATATTCTCTGCAGCGTTCTTGTATCCACGTTGTTTCCCAGATGCCCCGGTAAGCTTGCTCATAAAAGTAGCATCCAATTACAACCAAGAGTGGTACGAGATAAAGAATGCTGAAAACACCGATCCGGATCATAAACTTCACTAATTTATCTTGGTTCTCCTTTTCTAATGGAATCTCAATTCGAACTCTGTTTAGGGATATAATGCCAGCTAAGAGGAGAGAAACCCCAACTACCACATACAGGCAGAGGGGAGCAAGAACAAAATATCTCAATGCATCAACATCGTAGAGGCCAACAAAACACACGCCACTAATATTGTCACCTTCAATTTTATTCATCGCTAAAAGGATGATGGTTAGAGTTCCGGGGATGCCCCATGCACTGGCGTGAAACAGCAATGCTTTCTTCTCAATAGCTTCACTACCCCACTTTGGCACAGCTGCTAAAAACCATGTGATGGTAAGAATTACCCACCATACACTGCCAGCCATAGTAAAAAAATAGAGTATCATAAAAAGCATGGTACAGGCTTTATTATGAGATCCTTGTGTCACTGTGGAAGCCTTATATTGTGCAGGGATGGATGCATTGCAGGCTACTCGATCTTCAAGCAAAAATCCAATGAAGAAAATTAAGGATACCATCATGTAGCAGACTGCATAAAATATAATAGGCCTTTCAGGATAACGGAATCTTGTGACATCAATCAAAAAAGTTAAAAAAGTAAACAATGTGGCCGAGAGGCAAATGATTGAAATCAATCCTATGAAATAGCGAGCAAATGACAGTTCTTCTCTTCTGAAGTACATATTTGGACAAGGAGGTGAACAATCACGCACATGCAGAAAAGAATAACCCAGATCAGGATCAATTTTTAACTCTCGGGGACACCAAAAACCATAGTCTCTCTGCACTGCCACTGGGGCTCCTTCAGTTGGTTCTCCAGCTAAATTCAGATCCACAAGTCGAGGATATGGCTCATCACAATCTGGGAACCTAAAAAACAAAACAAGATGAGAACTATTTTTACTTATGGGGAAATCTATCACGATCTAACAGTTTGGATTTCCAAATCTGGCACTCACAACCTTATTTATTCCTGGAGAGCAAATGTAATATGTAGAAATAAAGTAAATGGTGATATCTTGTTTGTGGTCCATACAACTAGATTTTCGACAGTTGAGCAAAAAATACTAGTTGTATGTCTTGAAAAAGTATGATAGCCTCGAGACAAAGAAAACAAGGTTGTGTTGCAGACATTTATGCAACTAAGGAGACCGTTGTCATGAATTCCCTTCATCTTTAATTTTTTTGCCAATATCTGTTTCTAAGACTTCAGACTCCCAGTAACTAGCTGTTTACTGTTTTATATGCATCAAATAGTTTCTAAGAAACTATCATTAAGTTTGCCAAACACATACATAACTTTATGCTGTAGCTGATTTGTATCTTCAAATCTTTCAAATTTTCTAATACAAACCATTTTCTTCACAGAGAATTATAAAGCCAAATGACAGAATGTATTGCAATCAAGTATTTACTGGAACCCTGAATATGCCAGGAGTTAAAAAGATAAAAATACAGATCTCTATCCTTGAATCCAGAAGGAGACACATACTTATAAACACAACATACACAAAATATAGCAGTGTGACACTCTGCTAGCAATTAAAATCTATATAAGGTACAAAAATGATAATGATAAAGACAGAGATTAGTTACATAAGGGGAAGGAACTATGAAAGACTTCACAGTCCCCCAATACAGGATTTTAAATCAGTATTAGCAGTAAGCCAATCAGCATTCTAGTAAGCAAATATAAGCATAGGCATAGATGTTTGAACAGGGTGTGTTATTGCTGGAATATAAAGTATGCATGACTTGTGGCAGGAGATGAGACTGGAGAGGTAAGCACGTTGCAGAAATGTGTGTGTGAGTGTGTGTGTGTGTATAAACATTAACATAAAATTTAAAACCATGCAAACACTACAATTTTCCCATGTTACCCAATACTAATATATCTATGGATATATTTGTATATCTAACTGCCAACTCAACATATACACTTAGGTATCTAATAGGCACCTCAATCTTCAACCCTTCTGAAAGCAAATTCTTGACTTCCACTCCTCAGGTTTCTCCATCTCCATAAATGGTTATTCTATACTTCTAGCTGCTCAGGCCAAAAACCTTGGGGTTATCCTTGATGTCCCTTATCTTTCATATACCTATGAAATCTACCAGCATTTCCTGTGATTCTACTTTGTAATATATCAAGAAACCGAACTCTTCTCATTTCCTCCCCTGCTGGTGCCCAGTCTGAGCCATAAATATTTCTTCCCTGGACTTCTAGAGGGGCCTCCAATTGATCTCCATTTCCACACAGCAGCCAAGGTAATCCTTTAAAGATATGCTGCTCCTGTGTTCACGATCATGCCTCTTCTGCTTAAAACCCTCTAATGGCTTCTCATCTCAGAGTCAAATCCAAATTCCTTACCAGAGCTACTCAGACCCTCAGCCCCAGTACTTTTCTGATCTTATTTCCTTCCATTCTCCCTCACTCACTTGGCTCCAACCACTTTGGTCTCCTGTTGTTCTGTGACTTTAGGAAGCGTGGTTCCACTTCAGAGTCTCTGTACTTGCTGCTCTGTTTCCTTTGCCTGGCCCGCTCTGCCCCCAGATATCATCATTTGTTTTCTCACTTCATTCAAGTCCCTGGTCCAAAGCCTCCTTATCAATAAGGCCTTCTCCAAAGACTCTATAGAAAATAGAATCCCTCTGCTCTCCTATATTGTATCCCTATCACCTACCATATTTGTTCTTATTAGCATTCATTTTCATCTGACATTGTCTATTTATTTACCACCACCATTAGAATTTTCACTCCATAAGAACAGGATCTCTGTTTTGCTCACTGCTCATCTTCGACATCTAGAATAGTGCCTAGCACACCAAAGACATTCAATTGACATGTGTTGAACTAATGAATGTTGAGTGAATATATTCATATAACCCTAACCCAAGTAATCAGAAAGGTAACCAGGAGCAGTGTAAAAGACAGACTTGAGCGGGGCAAAAATGGGGGCAGGGATACCAGATGTGCCAAAATTAAAGTCAAATAAGGCAGTGAGAATGAGACAGATATGAAATTAGTTAGCTGAAGGCAACAGAATGCCTAACTTGAATGTGGGAGTTAAGATCAATGAAGTAGGAACAGAAGATACTTCCAGGGAATAAAACAGTGAGCCAAGAAGTAAAATCAATTTTACATATGCCAAAATTGAGGTCGTGGAGACAAACCGAGGCCAGATTTCCAATGGCTACTGGATATAGGTTAGGATTTTCAACAGCTGCTGGATATATGCAGGTTTTGAGCTTTGCAGAGAGAGGCTACAGACTTAGGTTTAGGAGTCATCGGTATATAAATAAGAGTTAAAATAGGTGAGATGAGATTATCCAGGGAGGGCTGTGGAGAACAGGAACCGAACTCTGGGAAGCACCATTATTCAAGGGGCAGAAAAAAGAGGAGGATCCGAGAAGGAAATTGAGAAGGAACAGTCTGAGAAATAACAGATCACAATAGTTCTCTTACATGATGGACTGAATCATTTTCAGGAAAGGACAGGCTGAGGTTGAAGGAAATAAAGGTGAGATACAAGTTTAAAGTTAAGTGATACAGATTTGGCACAAGTGCTGAGGAAAATGAACAGAAATTTTTCTGACCAAGACAAGTGGTTACAAATAGAAAATACAACTGCTGTAATTTCAGAATCATTAAATACATAGCATAATCAATTTATAAGAAATTAATCAGTCTATTTGGAGGTCTAAATAAGTACAGTAAGAGGGATGAGATGAAACTGCTATCAGATGATGTTATTTCAAGTGATAGACCACAACATTTAAGCTAAATAAAGAAACAAATGAGATCAGGAAGGGTCTATTTAGGATAAAAAGATAAAAATTCTGGGGGTGTCCATGAATTTTTAGAATAGGTGCTGTCTTAGTCCATTTTGTGCTGCTATGACAGAATACTTGAGACTAGGTAATTTATAAAAACCAGGGATTTATTTCTTACAGCTCTAGAGGCTGGGAAGTCCAAGTCAAGAGGGCCTGCATCTGGGAAGGAGGCGCCTCCTTGGTGCATCAACCCATGGCAAAAGGGAGAGAGAGGATGTGGGGCCAGGGAGGAAAAGGGGCCAAACTCATCCTTTTATCAGGAACCCAATCCCGCAATAACTAATGCCTCCCTGAGATAATGGCATTAATCTATTCATGAGGGCAGAGTCCTCACGATCTCTTAAAGGTCTCACCTCTCAACACTGCTGCACTGAGAATTAAGTTTCCAATACATGAACTTTGGGGGACCTGAATATTCATGAAACAATCCCCACTGCAGTGGTATTCAGAGGCAGAGCCTGGCCAAGCGCAGTGGCTTAGCTTGTAATCCCAGCACTTTAGGAGGCCTGCTTAAGGCCAGGAGTTTGTGACCTCCCTGGGCAACAAAGCAAGACCCCATCTCTACAAATTTTTTTTTTTTTTTTAATTAGCTGGACATGGTGGTACGCCCATGTAATCCCAGCTACTTGGGAGGCTGAGGCAGAAGGACTGACTGAGCCCAGGAGTTTGAGGCTATAGTGAGCTGTGACTGTGCCCCTGCACTCCAGCCTGGGCAACACAGCGAGATCCTATCTCCAAAAAGGAAAAATGAAGTGAGGTCTTTGGGACAATTAAAGGATTAATGTCCCTATAAAAGAGGCTGCAGAGTGAGCTTGCCCCTCTTGCTATCCTGCCACATGGGGAAACTGTGTTCCTACCCAGTGGAGGATGCAGCAACAAGGTGCCATGTTGGAAGCAGAAAGCAGCCCTCACTAGAAACACAACCTGCCTGTGCCTTGATCTTAGACTCTCCAGCGCCCAAACCATAACAAATAAATTTCTATTATTTATAATTTACCCAGTCTGTGGTATTTTGTTATAGCAGCACAAATGAACCAAGGCAACCAGTATAGTAGGCACAAAAGTATGAGAGCTATGAAAGAATAAAAAGGTTGCTATGAAAGTTCCCTTTGAGGCTGGGCACGGTGGCTCACGCCTGTAATCCCAGCACTTTGGGAGGCTGAGGCGGGCGGACCACTTAAAGTCAGGAGTTCGAGACCAGCCTGGCCAACGTGGTGAAACCCCGTCTCTACCAAAAATGCAAAAATTAGCTGGATGTGGTGGTGGGCACCTGTAAGCCCAGCTACTTGGGAGACTGAGGTAGGAGAATTGCTTGAACTCAGGAGGTGGAGGTTGCAGTGAGCCAAGTCACGCCACTGCACTCCAGCCTGGGTGACAGAGCGAGACTCCATCTCAAAAAAAAAAAAAAAAAAAAAGAAAGTTCCCTTTTTCAGAATTTAAGATTTCAAATTTAGGCAATCCTAGGGTATAATGAGGACATAAAATAGGTTTAATCCTATCAAAACAAATTAAAAAAATAAAGATTATGAGATTTCTATGCTTATATATAAGCTATTAAAATAAAAAGACACCTAAACAATAGGCGTTAAATACAAGAAGCATAAAACAGAGTTCCTGCCCAGGCAATTTATAATTGTTTTATACCAATTTACAGACTTCTAAAAGAGAGACTGGAAACACTTCCAGGTGTCTGGAGACAGAAGACATGAATGGTTAGATGGGGCTAAACAAAAGGGAAGGTAAAATAGGTGCGAAACAGACAAATATGAGAAAGTAGAACATCAATAAATTGACTACAAGAAGCAAATACAGTAGTCCTCATTTAAAATCGTAGATAGGTTCTTGTAAACTGTGACTTCAAGCAAGAAACCATACAGCAGGTCCTTAAATAACACTGTTTTTTTTTTCAATGTCATTTTGTTATAATGTTTGTAAGAAAACAAATTGGTATCCATGAGGCTAAGGCAGGAGAATCGCTTGAACCCGGGAGGTGAAGGTTGCAGTGAGCCAAGATCATGCCACTGCACTCCACCCTAGGGGACACAGTGAGATTCCATCTCAAAAAAAAAAAAAAAAAAGAGAAGAGAAAAGAAAACAAATTGGTTTCATTAAATGTCACTGTGCTTAAAGTCACATATTCTGAGAACCTATCAACAACGTTAAGTGAGGACTTACTGTACAGGATTTATTATTTCTTAAGTTTCTCCATCTGTCAAGTAAGAGTAACAACATCTGCTTTACTCGCCTCCAAGAGCTATTACCAGATAACAAACAAAATTATTTTTAAATATGAAGGAGAAAAGAATGTTACTTATAATAACAAAAATCTGGAAACAACCTAAATGACCATCAGTAGAAGGCTAAATAACTGTAGGATATTAACACAATTGACCACTACACGGCAATTAAAAGGAATGTACTAGACCTACAGGTTACAGGTACAAACATAGATAGATACATACAAAAAAGCTGTATTGTTTATGGATATGCATACATGTAGTAAGAGTATATAAGCAAACATGGGAATGATTTTAAAACAAATTCAACATAAAGATTATCTCACTCCTTGGGGGGAAAGAAGATAATAAGCTCAAGAGGGATAACAAGGGAAAACCTTCAATTCTACCTGTATTGTTTCATTTCTTAAAAAAAATCTGAAGCCAATATTACAAACTGTTAAGATTGGGCAAAGCTAGATAATAATAGATACATAAGTATTCACCTTATTCTTTATCCTTGAAATATTTCAGAATACAAATAGGTAAAACATTATCACATAATAAATATAGTATATTATTAATAATAATGCTCACTTAAATGAAACTTTAAGAATGTCTAATAAATCCTCAAAACTTTAAGACATGCTTATAGTCGATATACTGCATGTAATTTGAAAAGTATTTGACATTTTCTGGATTTGGTATGTTAATACTTGACAGAAAAAAAGAAATGACAGAACTATCCTATAAATCTATATTTAAATCATAAAGGTATTTAAGCCCCCGCAATGATGAGGTAATAAATGGTTTTCTTCTCCGTATAATTTTTCACAAATAGCACTATTTTCATAATCAGAAAAAAATGTTTTAAAGGGGGAAAAATCAACTGTCTTGATTATGTAATTCTTAAGTCTTTTAAAAACTTCTTCACAGAAATGTTTTCTTTTTCATTTAGTGCTTCCAAATTTCTAAGCAAATAAACAATTGTGAGGCCATAAAACTGTTCAAAATTAATGACTAATATGTACACTTCAAAAAAAGTTTTTTAAAACAGATGGAAAAGAAGACAAGTACTTTTAAACATATTGCAACATAAGAAATGATCCATGAAAATCTATGATTTTCGCACCTACTGCATTCCATATCTTCAGGCCAAGGAACACCAAACATCTCCATGAGCTTCGAACACTCACTGTAAGCCCGCTGACACAGCCTACGACAGGGAAGTGTGACACGTCCATATTCCATACAAATAGGAGCGTAGAGTGCACAAAGAAAAGGCCGGAAATCCCGAGAACAATCCAGATTCACCATAGGGTGGAATGGCTAGGGAAAAGTTAAAATTGAATAATTAGTTAAAGAGCTGTATACAAGTTAAAGCTTTCTATAATACTGCAACATTCTCTTTCTCATTACAAGAAAATTCTGAGGGTTATTAAAATTTTCTGAAGGGGAGTTTTTGTTTTTTTAAACAAAACTGTCCTAGCCCTACCCTTGAAGATTCTAATTTAGTTAAATGTGAGGTGTATCCCAGAATCTATATGTATAGTTTAGGTATTACAGGTGATATTGATGAAGAAGCAGGGCTGAGAACCACTGACAATATCCATTTTACAAAGAATAAATCCACAAAAGACATGCACCAAATGTTCAAAAGTGTGACTAGATTGGTGATGGGATTACAAGAAATTTTCGTTTTCTTCCTTTAAGTATTTCTTTCTTTCTTCCTTTTTTTTTTTTTTGTTGTTTTTTTTGAGATGGAGTCTCACTCTGTCGCCCAGGCTGGAGTGCAGTGGCATGATCTCAGCTCACTGCAACCTCTGCCTCCCAAGTTCAAGCAATTCTCCTGCCTCAGCCTCCTGAGTAGCTGCGATTATAGGCATGCACCACCATGCCCAGATAATATTTGTATTTTCAGTAGAGATGGGGTTTCCCCATGTTGGCCAGGCTGCTCTCAAACTCCCGACCTCAAGTGATCCGTCTGCCTCAGACTCCCAAAGTGCCGGGATTACAGGTGTGAGCCACCACACCTGGCCTCCTTTAAGTATTTCAATTTCTAAATCTTCTTCAATTAACAATTGTCAACAGGAGAGAGAGGACAACCAGTAATGGGAGAAAAACTGGGAGAAGGAGAGGAAGGTAAGTAGTAATATAGTAGTAATTTAGGCATTGAGGGCGGGGAAAGGTCTCTCACTTTGGGCTGAAATTTTCTTGGTTTTTTTTTTTTTTTTTTAAAGACAGGGTCTCGCTCTGTCACCCAGGCCAGAGTGCAGTGACAGGATCTCGGCTCACCACCACCTCTGCCTCCTAGGCTCAAACAATCCTCCCACCTCAGCCTCCTGAGTAGCTGGGACTACAGGCACGCACCACCACACAGGGTTAATTTTTGTATTTTTTGTAAAGACAGGGTCTCGCCATGTTGCCTAGGCTGGTCTCAAACTCTTGGGCTCAAGCGATCTGTCCATCTCAGCCTTCCAAAGTGCTGGGATTACAGGCATGAGCCACCATGCCTTTTTCAAATTTTAAACAGAGTTCTTTATACTGTGAAATCACATGATGTAAACAAACTAATGCTGTAAGCTAATATTAAGGGAAAAAAAATAGTAACCCCAAACATAAAACCACAATAAAATAATCATTTCAACCACAGGAATAGATAAAATATCCCAAGGATGTGCATCTGGGCTTTTGACTATGGAATATTTTTTGCATTTATTTATATAATAGTTTGAGTCATTGCTGATTTTGAAGTGGTTAGAGATATTCTTACCACCAGGCCTTTCAAATGTGGATGAATCAATTTGTTTCTGCACTGATGTATATTATTTTCCAGAGCCTCCTATACATAATACAATTAGAAAATCAAGAGTCACTTATAGAAACTGATGTCAAAGAACTATAAAATGAATATAATAACTGATATATAACAATAAACTATCTATGACTTTCACTTCTAAGAAAGAGTACTCTGTATTAGACCAATGTTTCCATCAAGAACAACTTAAAAACAGAAAAAATTTTAAGTTATCTATTTAAAACCACTGGAGAACTGCTAAAGAACTTTAGAGGGAATAAGAATTCAAAGAGAAGGAAAGCACAAACAGGTAGCCTGATACGTACAGCCACTTTTTAAAGGTGGTATTTGTTGAACTGGGCGTAAGACAAGAGGCTAGGAATCAAGCTTTGCCTAGGCTGTGCTGGAGAACCTGAGAAACCAGCAGAGCTGTAGGTGGTCTTGTGAGGCTATAGAGACAAAATGGGAAATGAAAGAAACAAGATCTAAATGAGAAGAAGTGGGAAGGACTGAGTCTAACACAAAGCCAGTTTTCCCTATGTGTATCTCAAAATTCTAAAGCTACACAGGGAAGGAAGCTAAGAAGCTAAGCAGAAAGAGAACAGAGTAGAGATTTTGGCAGTCTTATCAGTCTAAAGAGACATGAATTACTGTTCAACCTCTGCACAGCATCTCAACATACCAGACTTTCTGCTGAGAAGTCCTGAATGACTACACCCTAGTAGCAGAGACAAATCAGAGGCAGAGACCTACCAACATTGCAACGCAGCCTCTACTCAGCTCAGTTACTGACTGAATTAAAGTGATCTGCTGGCTGGACGCAATGGCTCACGGCTGTAATCTCAGCACTCTGAGAGGCCGAGGCAGGAGGATCACCTGAGCTCAGGAATTTGAGACCAGCCTGGGCAAAACAGCAAGACTATCTCTACTTAAAAAAAAAAAAAAAAGCCAGGCATGGTGGCATATGCCTGTAGTCCCAGCTACTTGGGAGGCAGAGGCAGGAGGATCACTTGAGCCCAGGAGTTCGAGGCTGCAGTAAGCTATGATCAAAGCTGCAGTGAGCTATGATCACATCACTACATTCAGCCTGGGAGACAGAGTGAGACCCTGTCTCTGAAATAAATAAATAAAAATAAAGTGCTAATTGCATTTATGTGCTAAGCAGAAAAGAGGATTAATCTTTTCTATAGCAACATAACATATCTGGGATCTCACTAATATTTTATAACGTCTAGCACTTAGTAAAAAATTACTGGGCATCCCAAGAGACAGGGTGATATAACTGAAAACCAAAAAATAAAAAATAAAAAAATGTGGTGATCCAGCTATTAGAGTTAACAGACAAGACTGTATATAACAATGACTAATATCTTCAATAAAAGATTAAAAATTCATCAGAAAATTAGAATTTAAGCATCAAATTAAAATTCTATAATTGAAATATATAATTACTGAAATTAAGAACTTATTAGAGCTATCAGAAGATAGGACTGGCAAAACAGAAAACAAGGCAATAGAAAATATTCAAACAGAAAGAAGGTCACAGACCAAAAAATACAGAAAAAAGGGTAAGAAACATGTAAAACACACAAAAAAGATCTAACACATGTAAATGCAATCTCAAAAGGACAGATCAGTAAGAACGGGGCAGAGGCAATATACACAAAGATGATGGCTAAGGATTTTCCAAAACTGATTAAAGATAACCACTTACAGATTTGAGAAGTTGTGCAAACCGCAAGAAGGATAAATACAAGAAAACCTCAGCTAGGCGTATCTTATTTAAACGGTTGAAAACCAAAGAAAAATATGTTAAGGGCAGTCAGTGGAAAAAAGACATATTACCTTCAAGGAGGCGACAGTAACTTTCAGAGCTGACTTCAGAAAACCACATAACAATGGAATGGCTTATTTAAAAAAGCTGAGTGAAAATAACTGCAAACTATAATCTCTAGCCAGTAAAAATATTATTTACAAATGAAGGCAAATATACTTTTAGATAGACAAAAAAAGAAAAATTAGCCATCAACAAACTGCACTAAAAGAAATGCTTGAAAGTTCTTTAGACAGAAGGGAAATGATCTAAGATGAAAATTAAAAATGAATTAAGAGCAACAAAAGGGATGACTGTGGGAAAATATAAATGAATACTCTGTGCCAACAAAAATAATATCATCTTAAAATACATGTAAAATTAACATGCATTATAGTAAAGTGGAAAAGGTGGAGCGTCAGAAGAACACTAATGGGGGAATGGTTGAAGTAATTATTTCTATTAGAATATTATAAGTCAAAAGTACACATCATAATTTTTAGGGTAAACAATAAAAGAATGCACAACTAACAAAGTAACAGAGAGGAAAACAAACAATAAAAAGAAGGCAAGATAAGAGAGAAAAAAAAGAATGCAAAATAGTTTGAACAAATTAAAATCAAATAGTAAGACTGTAGATATAAACCCAAGTAGATCAATGAAAATTTTAAAAACCACCAACAGAAAATTATAAAAAATTATTCCATTTATAAGAGCATCAAAAATAATAAATAGGAATAAATTTATCCAATGTCATGTAAGTCAGAAAACTATAAAATATTGTTGATGGAAACTGAAGACCTAAATAAACAGAAAGACATCCTGTGTTCATGGTTTGGAAGATAATGTTGTTCAGATGGCAATACTCCCAAAAGAGACCTACAGATTCGGTGTAATCCCTTCAAAAATCCCAACGGCCTTCTGTTGTTGCAGAAATGGAAAAGCTGGTCCTAAAATTCATATGGAATTACAAGAGACTCTGAATAGCCAAAACAATCTTGAAAAAGAACCAATTGGAGTACGCATATTTTCCAATTTCAAAACTTATCACAAAGCTATTATAGGAATCAAAAGTGTGTACTAGATAAGGACAGACATGTAGCTTAATGGGATAGAATTACGAGTCCAGAATTAAACCATCACATGTATGGCCAATTCATTTTCAACAAAGATGCCAAGACTGTTCAATGGGAAAAAAGTATCTTCAACAAAAGATACTGAACAAGAGAAAATCCATATGCAAAAGCATAACGTTAGACTCTTACCTTACCTTATATACAAAAATCAACTCAAAATTTATCAAAGGCCTAAGTATAAAAGCATAATCTATGAAACTCATAGAAGAAAACACAGGGGCAAATCTCCATGACCTTGGATTTAGCAGTGGTTTCTTAGATATGAAACCAAAAGCACAAGTTGAAAAGAAAAAAATTGGCAACCTGGACTTCAACAAAAATAAAAGCTTTTGTATATGGAAGGACACTATCAGGACAGTGAACGGACAACCAACAGAACGGAAGAAAATCTTTGATGTTCAAGCCTCTCTAAAATAATAATTGGTTTCAGCTGATGCCAGGGAAAGGCAGTCTCCCAACAGATAAGAAAAACCTGAAATTGGTGATCAGCAGCTTCCTGATAAGATCTCAGGAGCTGAGGGAGTGGGCTCAAACATGCTAAGAGGCAAAACAGCAGCGTTTTACTGGTGTATGACCTTCCTCTAGGAAGGCTAGACTGGTAAGGAAGGAATGCGTCAAGTGAGCATGCATACAACTCCAGTAAACACACTGTACATGCAGCCCCTTCCCAAGTGCTAGCAGGCTACTGCGCATGCGGACAGCCCACCCCAGGGGAAGACTCAGGAGAGAAGACACAGAAGTATGCCAACATATAAAACCATAAGTCAAATCAAACCGTGCACTTGATCTCTCAAGTCACCCGCTTGGCCTTCTTCCAAGTGTACTTTACTTCCTTTCGTTCCTGCCCTAAAGCTTTTTACTGAACTTTCACTCCTGCTCTAAAACTTGTCTCAGTCTCCCGAGACTCTGCCTTACGTCCCTCAGTTGAATTCTTCTGAGGAGACAAGAACTGAGGTTGCTGCAGACCCGTATGGATTCACTGCCACTGGTAACATACTTTGGTGCTGTGTGACTTGGATACATTCCAATGCTAACACAAGCACTGTTCAAAATGCCTTACACATATTATCTCATTTAACCTTCACAACAATCCTATAAGGTAAGTACCATTATTATGAACTCATTTTACAATACATGTGAAGAAAACGAGATACAGAAAACGAAGTAACTTATCCAACATCACACAACTACAAAGATAGACCCAAGATTAAGGCAAATCTTGGCATTCTTATCCAGAGCCCTTGCATTTAACAAATTTGTTGTACTTAAATCTCTCTACGCTTCAGTTTCCTCTTCTGTAAAATGGTCTTAATAACCCATAAGTAAAAAGATAAAGTTAGCATACAGAACACAATTAATAAATGATAGCTTGAAAGGGATTGGGGAATAGGTGCAAGTTAATAGAGCTGTAGCAGGCCTACTTGGTGGGCATAAGGAGGAACCCTGCTAAATTCTCTGTTCTCAACTGCCAAGTGAGACAGTTTTTAAAACAGGAATGAAGTTTTTAAAAAGCAAAACAAAACACAGATGAATCTCAAAATCATTATACTGAGTGAAAGAAACCAGACCTAAAGAAGTAGATACGGCATGATTCTATTTATACAAAACTCTAGAAAATGGAAACTAATCCATAATGAAAGAAAGCAGATCAGTGTTGCTTGGAGCAGGCAGTAGAGAGCGGGGTGACTACAAAGCAGCACAAGAAAGCTTTTCAGGTGATGGAAATGCTCTGTATCTTGACTGTGGTGATGGTTTCACAGGATCTGTCAAAACTCATCAAACTGAATGCTTTATATGAGGGCAGTTTACTGTACTCACATTATATCTCAATAAAGCTGTTACATAAAAACAAATACAAATATTAATATTTTTCAAATAAGCAAATTGCCCTGATTTTTTTTTTATCCTTAACAATTTTTGACCTCAGCAAAATCAAAATTAAATGAGGTAGCCTGAACACTAAAAATCTGAGAACAAATGTATAACATAAGAAATACTATGAAAGCTCTATGAAGTCTAGAAAAGGAACTTTAGCTAACTGAATTATAAAGATTCTTATTGAGTACTTCCCTAAACCATAATACTTTTGTTCACTAAATCAAGACCAGGGTATAGGAAGTTTACAACTGGAAAGTAACTTTCTAAAATTAAATTTCTGGTTTCTACAACAAAGGTGCACTACAGGGAACCTTCCATTCTTTGTTCAAATTCAAATCAACCAAGCCTTTGTGCTACCATTCTCTTTCTTCTTTCAAATTTCCATTCCTGTTACCATAGGAACCTGCTAGCTGACAAGCCTTCAAGCATAGCAACAGCCCAAGCTTAGCAAGGATGTGCAGAGGGGACCCAGTCAAAGGCCAAAATTTGACTCACGAGAATCAGAATTCCAACCTTTGTCACTCTACAAAGGGTCTGGTAACCATAGAAACTGTACCCTATGGGGTTTGGGAGTATTATGACTAAATTCATTAAACATAAAACCAAATGTGGAATGGTCTTGAAAATTTAAAAATGGCTATTTCAGATCCCTTAGAATGAGAAATTATTCAAAAACAACTTTTCAGAATAACTGTGACTAAAAATGACACCTTTTAAAAATCCCCTTTCTGTAACAATAAAATGCCTAATGAGAAAAGGTCCAAACTTTAAGAATTATTTTGTATTAAATAAAAAAACAAAAAACTTTAGGTTTGTAAAAACGCCTTTAATCCCATAGGTTTATTTTCCTGTTCAAACCTTAATTTTTAAAAATGTTCTGTGATAGCATATTAAATACCTTCCAATACTTTTTCAGTGAGTTTTTTACAGAAATTTCTCATTATCACGGAAGAATATGTGTTTTCACAAGTCAAAGCAGAGTTCCCAGAGAGGTCCATAAATCTGACTTTCCTATAGGAAGTAAACTTTTAATATTTCCAATATCATGGACAGTTCTGAATTAAGTCTCAAAAGATAAAGCTTTACAAACCAAATTCCAATGTATTTAATAATTTAAGACAAGTAAATCACTTTATAGTGATCTGTCACACAAGAAAATAAATTAAAAATTTCAGAAGCTGCTATTTTTTTGTCCTAAAGTCTGAAATGACTAAATGCAATTATCTACTACTTGTATTTAGACGTTTAATTCCTGGCTGGTTTCTCCTCACACCAGGCTTCTTAGGCCACTTTGCTAGATGTTTGTTTAGGGAAAACCACCTTATTAATATTAATCTCAACAAAAAATAATAAAGTAAATGTTTGATAATGCATGTATTCTAAAGATTAACACCATGAATTCTATAAATGTAGTAAAAGAAGTTTCATTTTCTAAAAAGCCTATCCATAAAATGTTAATAATTATTGTTATATGGGTGTACATTATACTATTCTCTTAAAATAAAAACCACAGTAAAAAAATTTGTCTTTCAAAGTTCATTTAAATACCATCTGCAATTTGAAGCCTTCCATGACTCCTTCAACATATTCTCTCTTTGAATCACCTTAGCACTTTGCTTTTTTGCGGTATTTACCAAGTTCTTCCCTATATTGTACTTATCCAATCAAAATATATTTAATAAATACTAAATCTTAGACCCTGCACCAGGAGCTGAGCAAAAAAGGACAGTTGAAATTTTTTAAAAATAAAATTTCTTTACTAGTTTTACTATTTTAAAAGCATAATGTGTTCCTTACAGAAAAAACAGAAAATGCACATGTACCCTAGAACTTAAAGTATAATTAAAAAAAAAAATGAAGAACAGAAAACACAAACTACTAATTCAGGAACAACCAATGTTGGTCCTGGTGAAAATTCCACCCGATCACTCACTCTGAATGAACATGCATATATGTTTTTCAACCAAACCAGGATGATACCATACTAATGTTTTGCTATCTACCTTACTTTATTTTTTCAACCTAACAATGGATCAAGTACAACAGAATTTTGATAAGCAAAGATGGAGAATATGCATGCAGAAGAAACATGAAAGGCCTAGAAATGAGAAAGCTGTGTTGCTTTCTTTGCTTAATTACACCACTTATAAGTACAAACACATAATGTTGAATTCAAGTCACTTTGACACTCTGTCCCCTACCACCCAAAAAATAGAAAAAGAAAAAAAGAAAAGTAAAATACTAGTATTCAAAAGTATGTGGTAACCTTGGTACTGGAATTACCATCACCATCCCCACCAACCACAGAACTATTTATAACCCTAGGAGATTAAGAGCTTAGGTATAGCACTAAAACAAAAATCAATTACTACTGCCACCTCTAAGGGATTTAGGGTTTATAAAGTTCATGAATTAATTCAAACATTTATTTAGCAGTTACTATGTGTGAGGTTCTGTGTCGGGTACTGGGCATACAAAGATGAATAAAGACAAGCTCTACTTTGAAGGGGTTAAATTCTAGCAGAAGGAATAAAAACGTGAACAATTCCAACATAATAATATACACACAAAAATAGAGGTACATATAAAACACACTGGTGAGTATGGAGAAGAGAGTCACTAACTTCTAGGCATCCCAGATTTCTTAAGGAAATAACATCCACACCACGCCTTGAAAATTAAGATATTACCAAAGGGGATACTACAAGAGCCTTCCAGGCAGAGATGGCATTTACAGAGTTGATAGACTTAAGGAATGCTAAGTAAGTAGAAGCCAATTTGTGAAAGTCTATTATGCTTTGGATTTGATCCTCTAGGCAAGGATTGGCACTGTTATTTTATTTTTTATTTTTGTGAGATGGAGTCTCACTCCATTACCCAGACTGGATGGAGTACAGAGGCGCAATCACGGCTCACTGCAACCTCCGCCTCCCGGTTCAAGCTATTATCCTGCCTCAGCCTCCCAAGTAGCTGGGACTACAGGCACACGCCACCACGCCCAGCTAATTTTTGTATTTTTAGTAGAGACGGGGTTTCACCATGTTGGCCAGGCTGGTCTTGATCTCTTGACCTCGTGATCCGCCTGCCTCGGCCTCCCAAAGTGCTGGGATTACAGGTGTAGACCCACTGTGCCCGGCCAACTTTTGTATTTTTAGTAGAGATGGGGTTTTCCCATGTTGGTCAGGCTGGTCTCAAACTCCTGACCTCAAGTGATCCGCCCACCTCAGACTCCCAAAGTGTTGGGATTACAGGCATGAGCCACCGCACCTTGCCGGCAATGTTATTTTATTTAATTAATTTATTTTTGAGACGGAGTCTCACTCCGTTGCCCAGGCTGGAGTGCAGTGGCATGATCTCGGCTCACTGCAACCTCTGCCTCCCGGGTTCAAGCAATTCTCCTGTCTTAGCCTCCCGAGTAGCTGGGATTACATGTGCCCACCACCACGCCCGGCTAATTTTTGTATTTTTAGTAGAGATGAGGTTTCACCATATTGGTCAGGCTGGTCTCCAACTCCTGACCTCTGGTGATCCGCCCGCCTCGGCCTCCCAAAGTGCTCAGATTATAGGCCTGAGCCACCGTGCCCGGCCCACTGTTATTTTAAAAAACAATTTTCACATATCTCGTTTGATCCTTATAACCAATTCTATTCTAATGATGGCACATGGATATTATATTGTTACTGTCCACAGTTGATAAGTAGCAAAACTTGGGCTTGAACTGCTTTGTCTCTGAATTTCATACTCTTGCTGGTATTAAGAACCCTCATGTATCAATAATTATGAAGGTGTTTCTGTCTCTGTAAAGTAGGTGATGAAAATCATTGAGACACCATTTCCCACCTATCATACTGGTTTAAAACAAACAAACATGACAACATATTATTTTGGTAAAGCTGTGAAGAAACAGATACTCTCACACATTACTAGTGGGAATGCAAAATAGTACAACCCCTATAGAGAGGTCTGGCAATATCAAGGAAAGTAACACATACATTTATACTTCTAGGAACCTATCCCAAAAATACACTAGTCAAAATGTGAAAACACACTTGCAACATTGTAACAGTAAAAGACCAGAAACACAGTTGTTTCCTGTGTCCATCAACAGACATTGAATAATACTGTATATCCAATACAATGGAGTAAAATTTAGCTATAAAAAAATAAGGATCATGTCATCATACTCCTGAAGACAGCTATTATTAAAAACAAAAAACAAAAAAACAAAAACAAAAAAAACAGAAAATACCTAGTGTTAGCCAAGATGTGGAGAAATTGGAATCTTGTGTATTACTGGTGGAAATGTAAAATGGTACCACCATATGGAAAACACTTTGACAGTTCTTCAAAAAATTAAACATGGAATTAACATATGACCCAGCAATTCCACTTCTGACTACAAACCCCAAATAATTTAAAGCAGGAACTCAGATTGTACATTTATATTCATAGCAACACTATTCATAATACTCCAATGGTAGAAACAACCCAAGTGTCCACTGATGGATAAATGGATAAGCCAAATGTGTTATATACCTACAATGGAATACTATTCAGCCTTAAAAAAATAAGAAAATTCCAACACATGATACATTGATGAACCTTGAGGACGTTATGCTAAATAAAATAAGCCAGTCGCAAAAGGGCAAATACTGTGTGATTCCTCTTATACGAAATACATAGAGTGGTCAACTTCAGAGGCAAAGAAAGTAAAACGGTAGTTGCCAGGGACTAGGGAGAAGAAAAAATGAGGACTGATTTGTTATTTAATGAGTGTAGATTTTCAATTCTGGAAGAAGAGAAAACTCTGGAGATGGAATTGTAATTATGTTACTTAAATGTATTATGCATATCTTACCACAATTTTTAAAAATTTTAAAATGAGGAATATCTATAAATGCTACTATGAAATATCTGAAATATATTAAGTGGAAAAAAAAACCAGTGTGGGGAAAACAAACGTTATAACTGTATCAAAAAAGGTGAAAGAATATAGATATATAAATATTTTATATAAGTGTTATATTTAAGGTTTTTAAATGGAAGGATAAAAACTTTTAAAAAATGACTGCCTTTAGGTGGAAGGAAAAAATAAGATAGAGGTGACAGAGGGATAGAAACTAGAGTTCTCTGAATGTACCTTGAAGTATAATTATAAAATAAATTTAAATTAAAAAATTAAAGTCATTCCTCAAAATCAAAATAAAACATATGAACCTAACTGTGTATTGTGTTTAACCACATGAAGAAAAAATATTTCAGTGACTTAAAACACAATAATTTGATTGTACATCCTTGCTGATATACATCCCTAAAGGACAAAAAGAAGTATAAAGAAATCTTTGTCCCTAAAGGACAAAAAGAAGTATAAAGAAATCTTAAACTGCTTGCTGTAATCATTGTTAGTAAAAATATTGCTAATATTATTCTGAAACTATACAATGTATGTGTATAATAAATTTGAGGATAAGAGAGTAGAGAAACAAAAATGAATTTAAAGATGCTAAATAAAATCCATGGCCAGGCATGGTGGTTCACATCTGTAATTCCAGCACTTTGGTAGGCCAAGGCAGGTGGATCGCTTGAGAACAAAAGTTTGAGACTCAACTTGGCAACATGGTGAAACCCTGTCTCTACAAACAAACAAACAAACAAACAAACAAAAAACACAAAAATTAGCCAGGCATGGTGGCATACACCTGTAGTCCCAGCTACTCAGGAGGCTGAGGTAGGAGGATTAACTGAGCCCGGGAGATTAGGACTGCAGTGAGCTGTGATCGTGCCACTACACTACAGCCTGGGTGACAAAGCCAGGCCCTGTCTCAAAAACAAACAACACCCTGCAATATTACTTGAATCGCAAGTATCAGTATAAACTCATGATGGACTTTCCCTTAAAAAAAAAAAAAAAAAAAAAGTATTCCCTAGCTGTGTTCATGAAAAGGCCTAAAAATGACTTAGTATCACTAGGCTTAGCACCCAGATAGTGATCTCTTAAGCATCATTTCCAAATAAAAGGAACCAGAGCTTCCTAAAGAAATTGATGATTCAGAGTTTGACGCGGAATTTTATGAAGCGAGCTTGAATCACACCAGAAAGAAAAGAAACTGTTAAACACCACTAGGGTGGTGTCAAAAACACTAAAGAGGGCCAGGCGCAGTGGCTCATGCCTGTAATCCCAGTGCTTTGGGAAGCCAAGGCAGGAGGATAGCTTCAGGCCAAGAGTTCAAGACCAGCCTGGGCAACATAGTGAGATCTTGCCTCTACAAAAAAAAAGTTCTTTAAAATTAGCCAGGCATGATGGCATGTACCTGTAGAACCTACTTTGGAGGCTGAGGTAGGGGGATTGTTTGAGCTTAGGAGCTTCAGGCTACAGTGAGCTATGATTGCTCCACTGCACTCCAGCCTGGGTGACAGAGCAAGACCTTGTGTCAAAAACAAAACACTCAGGAGCTACCATGTAGAGGCTCCCACTACCAAAGATGGAATATTTTGAGCCTCAATAATCACTGTGATAGATTTAAAACATCAAATATGTTAAAAAAAAAAAAAATCCTTGAGTTCACAATGAAACTTAAACCAAAAAAAAAACAAAAACCCTCACTGGTCACCTTTGATGGATGCTTGGGAATCAACTAATTATTCTAAAAACTAATAACGGGGGAACATGCAAGCACTTATCCTATCTTTCTTATATAAACTGTATATGAAAGTAATCCAATAGTCAATGAGAAGTTTCCAAATATTCCAGCTAAGAAATGAAGAAAGGGTGACAGAATTAGAGTATCACCATTTTGCAAACCCCTAACAAAACTATTGGTCTAGGAAATCATCAATGGCTGCTAACATTTATAAAAAGAGTAACAACTTAATATTATGTGCTCCTGGCAGGAGTATGTTAGCTACCTATGAAGTATTCCTTCCAAAACAACAATAAAAAACCAAACTCGTGTCTAATCAAGCCTCTACAGTGCCTGTTTACAAAAATAAATGAGACAGAGACACGGTAAACAACACCACAGGGATGCAATCAGCAAAATAAAGACTATGGGAAACTCTATAAGATAAATATATCACAAGAAAAAAGGGGAACAGGAAAGGAAAACCTATAAATTAAAACAGACTTAAGAGACATATCAATTGGATGCAATGTATGAACCCTGATTAGAAAAAGCCAGTATGAAAAAAAATTGTGAAATATGCAAGAGTAATTTGAACATTAATTTGATACTTGACACTGATAAAGGAATAAAGGTATTGTGTTCATATATTTTGAAAGATACCTTACTTTTCGGAGGTATATAACAAAATATTTATGGATGAAATTTTGATATACGAAATTTGTTTCAAGGTGACCCAGAAGGGCATGCAGTGATAATGAAACAAGACTAGCTATGAGTTGGTAATGTTTAAGGCTGGATGCTGGATACATGGCACTTCATTATATTATTCTATTTGTATATAATGGAAATTTCCATAATAAAGTTTTTTAGTAAAAAGCTCAAATTTGAGTTTGGATAACTGAGAGACTGGTTGAAACATACTCTGTTCTTAATGAACCATAAAAGATACAGGATGTTCAGGCTTTTAGGCTCTGTGTTCCTACTAGGATTATTTCACTGCCAGCTTTCCATGCTCCCATTATAAGAAAACCTTAAATCATAAAAAAATCTTTAATGAGAATGACAAAGGAAAACAGGAAACGGAGGCAAACACAAACCATTCCAGGAGTTTTTCCTCTGATTATCCTATAGAGAGGCCTACTTTCCTCTATATATGGGGTGGGGAGGGGCAAGCAATCAACCTCCCAAAGAGATTAAAGATTGCTCGTTCCACACACTAACTGAAATGAAAAAACAGGGTGACAGGCAACAAAGAAGAATGCTCTGTATTCACACAGCACTTTAACTTTTCAAAATTCTTTAACATAAATGCCACTTATCTCACTTGATCTTAACAATAACCCTATAAAATGGCAGGAAAAAAATTTACTTCCTATTGGAAATCAACACAAAGAGGTCTCAAACCTAGTTAGTGACAGAATACAAGTCTCCTATCCCTATTCTAGTGCTTCTTCCACTAATCTGTTCCCGTCCTAGCCAATTTGGTTCAATTATTCAGTATGAGGAAAAGCCTGCCCAGATCTCTTTTATTACCACTAGAGTCGTAAATACCTGATAATAGGTGGCTCAGTAAAGATTGCTACTGACATTTGTTGATTATTGCTCCATGCTGAACAGTTCCCAAAAATTTACTTAGCAATTTGGACAGCTCAAAATGGTTTGGAAGGCTCAGAAGTGAGCATTTTTTTCCTATCAAAAGCTACTCATACACAGGGGAAAAGAGAACGTCAAGTTAACAACTTAGAAAAACGTAGCATGTGTGTTTGCATATTGATGTGCACGTTTTGGAAGGCAGAGATAAAGAAATAAACATATTAGCAAGAACCTTCTTTTCTAACTTAATGGATTGACACTTATCTATTTAAACATGTCCCAATCTCAATAAAAGTACAGAGTATGTACCCTGTAGACACAATGTAAGAAGATCCAACTTGTTGATTGTGAATAAAACTTAAAATAACCCAGATTCTGCTCTTTCTCCTATTTGTGGCTAATCTAGCTTACTGCCCACATACCATTGTGTTCCAGGCACTCCTTTTAACTCACAAAACAGTAAAGGAATGGACTCCAGCCAGGCGCGGTGGCTCATGCCTATAATCCAGCACTTTGGGAGGCCCAAGTGGGTGGATCGCTTCAGCCCAGGAGTTCGAGATCAGCCTGGGCAACATGGCAAAACCTTGTCTCTAAAAAAATACAAAAAAATTAGCCAGGGGTGGCGGCACACACCTGTAGTCCCAGCTACTTGGGAGGCTGAGGCAGAGGATCACCTGAGCCTGGGAGGTTGAGGCTGTGGTGAGCCATGATTGCACAACAGCACTCCAGTGTGGGCCACAGAGTGAGACCATGTCTCAAAAAAAAATAAAAAAAGAAAAAAGGAATGGACTCTAGGCAGGCTTAAAGCCTGGGGCCTGCTGAAAGATGCTACACCTAGGAAACTGTCTTTGAATTCATTCAGTCTCACAGCAAACACTCAAGAGTGTGCTGGGTTTGCTCCAATTACTTGTGCCTGCTAAGCTGGTTCCTGGATCAGTAGAGGGATGGAGGTGGAGAGTCATCAGCAGCACTGAGCAGGCAGTGTTGTCTGCTGAGTTTCCACGTCATTTGCTATTAAAGAAACGTTACACTCTCAAACTGTGTTTGATTATTCTTTCTGTCAGTGGCATCACTGTCCTGATACGATAAACATGCAATATGCAACTATTCCCAACATTACTTCAAGTCATTAGAGCCTTCTCTTAGAAACTATTACTCACTTAGGTGCTCTCCCCAGAATGTCAGTGTCTGAAATTCAAACAGAGGCAACCCCATTGTCACTGAAATATCTAGACTACTTGTGCATATTTGAGAAGTCAGAGAGAGCCTATCATGCTATCACTATGAATGAATGCCCCATGAACCTACAATGAGGGATGCAAATTCACTGGAGCAAATACATGGTGTTTCTAGTACTTCCCTTTAGATGATTTAGAAATGGAATTTGGAGTAGAATTAATATTTGTGAATCACCTATTGCGTATGATGCATTGTGCTAGCTACTTCATAAATCTCTTATTTAATCCTAACAGCCCTTCAAGGTGTATCATTATACTGCCTTTTCACAAATGAAGAAAACAAAGATCAGGAGTGTTAAGTAACCTGTCCAAAGTCTTAAACCTACTACATGGCAGAGCCAAAAGTTGAACCCAAGTCAGGACAAACATCTTTATGACCTGCTTCTTATTAACCTATTTGCTTCCCAAAGGAGTTATGATTTAAAATGATACCAGAAATAAAAATGTTTCTAGTTCAATTTTCTGTGAGAAATTGATAGCTTTAATACATAGCAAAGACTACCATGCCTGGAACCAACTTACTGTATTAAACCAATACCCATTTTTATATATCCTAATCTGATAGCCTATACCAATTCTCTCTCTTCAACCACTTAGACCTCGTGTACTCAGAGGAAAAGCAAAAAATGTTTTGTTCAACCTCTACAGCATTTTCAAATATTTGGAATATATAAGATGCCCTCCTTATTTCAAAATCTATGAATAATAATCTTACAAATTTTCTTAGACTTAGGTTAGTCTCCCTTAAAATGATGAACTTTTCGGTTTTATTATAAAATGAAGAATTCCAAAACATGTAGGCTTCCATTTGCTGAAAGCGCTATGGAAATAGGCTGAAGAGTAATGTATCAAACATTCCCTCTAAATTATGTTATGTAACCACGTTAATATGAGAATATGAATTAACGGTAAAAGCTATCACTTATAGAGTACTTACTATGCGCCAAGTACTATACATGGATTTTCACTTTGTACCTTACTGAAGTCTCTAAGTTACAAGCAAAGAAACTATGGTGAGAAAGTTCATATAACGTGGCCAAAGTATACAGCTAGAAAGTGGTAGAGGTAGAATTCAAACCCAGGTTTGTCTACCTCAAAGCCTATGGTCATTACCACCACTGCTTACTGCCTGCTAGTTCTTATCTGGTATATATATCCCTGTCCTCAATTCTAAAACCATTATAGACAGATATACCCTTATTTAAACCTATTATTAACTATATCAATTAATGTGTCCATAGTTTCTAAATTTGAAATAGTTTCTAAACTAAAATAATTAAGAAATGTCTGAAGAATTACCACTGAAAAATTCAAATAAGGCAGCAAACTTTCATAAAATTCTGAGAGATCAAGAACAGATAATTCGCATTGACAAAAACTTTTTCACTGCTTGGGAGTTATTCTTAAATTTTAAACTTCTGAATGGCTGCTATCTCCCATGTTCTGATGTTTCAAATTTCTTTATAAAAGTATAATGTCTAAAATATAAGAGTAACATTCACCAAATGTGAATTCTTCAATCTATTAGAGTCTGAAGCAAAACATATACATTTTTAAATTTATAAGATATAATTTAAAATAGCATATTATTTTCCTGTTGTTTATCAAACACATTCATTAGATTGGCTGATGGGACAACACAAGAGTCATTTACTAAGATACGTCAAAGAATAGATCAAGTCTTACCTCCATTGCCAAAGCTGCTGTCTGTTGGTCATAATGATTCAGAAGATTAGGCATGAAGGTAGTATTATAAGGCAAATCTTGGCACATCCTCAAGGTAATAGGTTCACAAGAAAACAAACTGTGCCCACCTATATGCCCCATGAACACAGTCAAGGGCCAAAGAGAGAAGACAATCCAAGTCATAGCCATCCTTCCTGGGTCTGAAGGAGATTCAGATGATCAGGCCTATTCAATATGTATTTTAGATATTTATACACCTGCAGGTCTCAGCTCGAAGGTACTTCTTCTGTATCTTACTGTTAAATTCTTCAAACAGTTAAATACTCTTCGCACCGTCAGAGGTTTGTTAGCTTGGTCTCACAAAAGGCGTTTGTTTTTGGTTTCACAATATGGGAAAATGACATCATCTTGTCTCTTCTTTTCATTTTATTACATGGGGCACATTTGGCCAACATATCAAGTTGATCAACCACATTCCCAAACCACAGATTCCATCTTAGGAGAAGAGCTATTTCTTCCTTCAACTGAAATATCTGAAAAGTATTATTTTAAAAAATGGGAGAAATTAGTCATTTCCTCTCAAAGTATTATGGACTTGACATTAAAAATCTTTGATGAGAGATATTATACTGACCTAATAGTTAACAATATGTGGGTACTTTATAAAGATATCATTTTTCTACTTTATCATTTATGCTATAGCTACACTAAAATGATCCTTAAACAGCATTTAAATGCAAATTTAATTTCATCCCTCAGTTGCTTATATAACACATGGTTCAACTTCTCATGTATAATGGCAGTTTTTCATCCGTCACAATATATAATTGATTCATTTTGAAAAATTATTATGCTATTGTCCTAAATTTTATTTAAATAATAAATATTACGCTTATAACCTAAATTATTGAACTAAAATTGCATGTGTTTTAATCTTTAATAGTATATTTTTGTATTAACTGATGTAGCAGAAGGCATCTGTGAAAGTGGTCTGAAAAGTAAGTCAAAAGATACAGATTCAAGCCTCTTGCTAGCTGTGTGAATATAAACATACCACTTAACTTCTATGTACCTAGAATTTTTCTTCTTGAAAATGATTCCAATACCACCTAGCTCACAGGGATGATATGAGTGAATCATAAGATAATGTATGCAAAAGTACTTTATAAATGGTAAAGCAGTATGAAGCGTTAGACATTTTAATCATTGAATTAGTTTATACAAATGCTACCTCTATCAACCAATACTGAACTGACATATAGAAGGTTCTAAAATATTAGGAAATCTTCACAATATTATATTATTTTTTAGACAGTACAAAAATTTAATAACACAGATGTAGCACTAAGAAATATTTCATCAACGAACGGTCATTACACACAGCCATGCTGCACAGAGAATAGAAATCATCCCTAAAAAGTCACAGGAAAAATAAGAATAATTCCCAGTTATTGTTTCCACAGAGCTTTAGAATTTCTGACTTGTATGTACTTTTCCAGGGGCAAAAATATGTGTGATTCTCAATTTCAGCTGAGAGGGTGTGGGTGGAGTGGAAGGCAGGTCTGGTATGAAAAAAGTATATTCTAAGCTATCACATTTTGATTTGGTTTAGTAACGATGTTAACTTTGCTTTTATTTCAATTTGTTTCATATGCATTGGATAGTCTTATGTTTGTTGTGGAGAGCCTAGGTTAGGAAAAGAGAAATTCAGGTTCAGAAATTCTCAAAGACCCAGACTAATAGGACAACTTAAATACTAGCACCTATGATAACTTAGATTGTGGGACCTGGAACTGCTTTGGCTTAAGTGGGGAAAGAAACTGTCCTCTGTGCATTAACTATCAATGACTGGGAACTCCATGTCCCAAGCTTCAGTTACTAGGCAGATAACTATTTGGAGAAAGTAAAACAGTGACTGAATCTTCCCAATTTCTCCCTCTAGTAGATGGTCTTGACTAACAGAAGGGAAAAGAAAAGTCTATGGTCCCTAGAATTAGGAAACTAAGGTAAAAGCAAACCCTGCTCAAAAAGCCCTAAAGCGCCTCATGTTCTACATCAGAAATTTCTGAAACAGATTCTTGGCCTGCCATATTTCTTTTTCTCCCCACAAATGTTGAGATCTGCCTATAGAAAACAGATACTGGGCAGGGCGCAGTGGCTCACGCTTGTAATCCCAGCACTTTGGGAGGCCGAGGCAGGCGGATCACGAGGTCAGGAGTTCAAGACCAGCCTGGCCAACATAGTGAAACCCTGTCTCTACTAAAAATACAAAAAATTAGCCAGGCGTGGTGGCAGGCGCCTGTAGTCCCAGCTACTTGGGAGGCTGAGGCAGAAGAATCGCTTGAACCTGGGAGGCAGAGGTTGCAGTCAGCTGAGATCATGCCATTGCACTCCAGGCCTGGGCAACAAGAGCGAAACTCCATCAGAAAAAAAAAAGAAAACTGGTATTAACCACAGTTAAAAACATATTTATCTTAATTACCATGCAGCGCAGTAACAATTATGCATATCACTAAATATGTCAAGTAACTGTTGAAAGTTTTATTTGATTGTAGTATTAAAACATCCATGTAAGTTCAGTCTTTGTAGTTTATTACTTATGCAGCATATTCATCTGCTTGCAACTAAATAAAATTAAAGGGAACATTACTCCCTGTTGAATACGCATATAGTAACAACAAGAATTTCAAAAATTTCATTTAAACTAATCTATTTTTCAAGCAGGTATGGGTTTCAAATCAATGGTTCAAAGAAGACTACCACATAAAACCTGAAGAAGAAACTGAGCAATATCTCACTGAGCCTTTAAAACTAGCTGAAATGTCCCCCTATACTTCTGCCTACTCCATCTATTTTACCTGGTTTCCTTTTGATTATTCCTTTTGCCTTACTTGCAAGTAAAGCATCCTACCTTCTTATAAAAGTGCTTCCTTATGTACTATGACATTCAAATTACCATGTACCAAGATGCTTTTGTAAAATCTACTGTTAAGCTGTGAAAGGACAAGAATCTTGATACAGCAAGACTGCAGTTTATGATTATTAAAAGAAGGGAAAAAACAGCAGTGGAATTCAGTGAGACATGAAGAAAACAGGTAAAGTATAGGTGTTAAAGAATTTTCATTTCCCCCAAAACAGCAGTTCTCTAATCGTAAAGTGTAGCAGATTCATGGATTCCCCTGGAAATCTGAATCCTGGAGAATGATATGCATTCTAATGATTACCTCAGGTTACAAGTGCTCCATAAGTCAGGTCTTGAGAAATGCTATCCTAGAACAGAATAATTAAAAAGAATAAAGGTATTGTTTATGTAATTATATACAGTAAATGAATTTTAAAAATAAAAGCAGATAGGGGATAACATTTTAATAGAAAAATAAGCAAAGGACATAAATTTACAAAAGAAATACAAACAGCCAAGAAACATATGAAAAGATATTCAACTTCACTAATAATAAAAAATGCAAATGTGAGATAAGATTTTTTGCCAACCAGATAGGAAAAAACAATAATGATAGAACACAGTATAGGGTGGGAGTACAGGGTAAAGAACACCTTCAATATTTCAACATTTTCAAATGTTATTAGTAAACTAGTTGGTACTTAAAAAAAAAAGTGGCTACTTATATCAAAAGCCCTTAAAATGTACACAATTTCATCCAGCAAATCTTATTATTCTAAGTAAACACGTAAGTACACATGATGCACAACCAAAATATTAGTGTAACACTGTTTATAACAAAAAAAACCCTAAAAGCTGGTAACAACTGAAAAGTCTACCAATAAGAAATTGGTTAAATAAATTATGGTATAACCACATGATGGAATATTATATAGTTACTAAAAATGATGAGCATAAACCTGTATTTGTGGATACAGTAAGATAGTAACAATAAATAAAAAATAAAATTTAAAGGCAGTTTACAAAACAGTATATGTATATATCTCTCATTTTGTCAGAAAATATATATGTACATGTAACACAGTAAAACTATTTCGATTGTTTAAAAATAAAATATTAAATGCTTTATGGAATTTTATGAAAGAACCTATAGTACATTATTTTGTGTATGAAGTAATTAACTCTGCTAAATCTGTAAATATGTGCTGACTGGCTGACAAGAAAAAATACTAGTGAAATGACTGGTTTATTGACTACTAATTAAGCAACAAGCCAAGGAATACACTACTGCTCTACTGTACCTAGTAAGAAAAGCAAATCAGTGATGATCAATTTAGTAAGAGTCAAAATCTGATTTTCAATACTAAAAAAATCAGATAACCAATCAACTGAATCAAATGGTATGCACAATTTAAAAACTTTTGATAAACATTCCTGGCTGGGCACAGTGGCTCACGCCTGTAATCCAAGCATTTTGGGAGACGAAGGCATGCAGATCATTTGAGGCCAGGAGTTTGAGACCAGCCTGGCCAACACGGCAAAAACCCATCTCTACTAAAAATACAAAAATTAGCTGGCATGCGCCTGTAGGCCCAGCTATTCAGGAGGGGCTTGAGAATTGCTTCAACATGAGAGGTGGAGGTTGCGGTGAGTGGAGACTGTACTACTGCATCCAGCCTGGGTGACAGAGTGAGACTGTCTCAAAAAAATTAAATAAAATAAAAAAATAAAAACTTTTGATAAACATTCCAAATAATATGTCTTCAATAACATAATGAATTATCTGCTTCTAATCACAATTATGTGAGTATGCCATTTTTCCTAAGGTAAGGTCATCCATGGAAAAGCTGTAAGTTGAAGTTCCAGACTTGCAGGACATAGCAAAGATTCTGGACCCAAAGAGATCCTATCAAAATGTAGCAAGTCATTAAATAAAAGTTAACAGTCATTTGGGGCGTTCTTACTGATTTTTTTTTTATTATAAGAAACTGTAGTATATCAACTGGAAAAAAAAAGGGGGGGGACCTATTAGATTAACATAATCGGAGTGAGCAGCTTCAGGGGCCAGGGCCCTGCAAAAAGTGAATGCTATGCAACAGTTGCTCACGCCCTTTGTATGGGAAAAGAGACACATTCACTTCTCCATAGAGCAATACAGAATATCTGGAAAGCTGATTTCGGACTAAGTTACTTGGTTAACATTCCATCAGAAAACAAAAAGGACTAGATACTTTAAAGCTTACCCATTTCTATTTTTATGAATGTATAACATCAGGAATTTTATATTTCCAACCATTATTTATCAGGTTTCTTTTGATGACAAAAAGTAAAAGTCTTTAAAATAAAATCAACTAAGTATTTGTCCTGAAAGACAGCAATAAAGGGAAGGGATTCCAATCTTGGAAGACTGTCTTCCCGGGCTGCCTGCAAAATCAGACCCAAAGAACTCGGTGGGAAACGCAGGAGGTGGCAACTGTGAAGAGGAAAGCAGGCTGAATCCCAGAAGAAAGGATGATGAGAAAAGAGGGCCCTAAGGGCTTGTCAAAGGGGTTCTGCAACAAAAGATTATGTTCAGCAACTCTATTCCAATTCACACTTTCTCTACAGAAAGGGCTCCATTCCATCATTCTGTTGAGATTTCATTTTCTTGACACCTGATAAATGCAGGTAACATTTTGCATTTCCAATTGAGAAAGATCATCTAAAGGTTGTTTCAAAGTAAATGCTGGTTACACAGTGCCTACAGAGCGAACAGGAGGGATATTCTTTGTCTTTTTTCAGACACGTTTTCAAGAACGCATTGCAAGGATTAGCAATAACTATCTCTAAATAAGAGCTTCTTAAGGAAATTATTGTCTTGTTAGACAAAATATACACTCAGTGTACACTCATTGCTCAAATGTTACTTTCCTTCTCTTAAAGTCTATATAGTCTTTGGCCCTTTGCCTACTGGTTGCTACAAGAAAGTTTATATAGCTTCATATTTAATTCACAGGACCTAGATTCCTATTAATCTCAGAGTATCTCTTTTCTGAACTTTCCTGCTTCATCTAATGTTTAAAGTCCATTTGTCATCATCTACTGATTACAACAAATAACTTAATCTTCCAATGTGTTAAGTGATTAAGGCTTAAAACACACACACAGAGGAAAAGTAAATCCATCTAGGTTCAAAATTTAAACGAATGGTAGGCATCAAAATTCAGTTCAATTTAGAAATTATTAATTACTAAGACTAAAGAAGACAGAAGATCTTTAAAAATTAACCTGAAAATAAAACTGGAAAGTTAAGAGACAGATAGATTCTGGACTTTAAAATGGGCTGAAATTTCAGCCCAGCTTCTCTTAAATCTGCTATCAAAAAAATTCTCTAATACCAAGCCCCTGCTTTCCACCCCTCTTAACAAGTTTGTAAGGTTTGCATGCTTTGACTACAGAATTATTTTAATGAGATAAAATCTGGGGACCAGGATTTGGTTTTCAGGCCCAATAGCCTAGTTACATTCATCTCAAACTTCACGTGCAATACACTCCTTGAATATACCAAACTGTCAATAGTTCCCAACATGACGAATTGGAAAGCAAAAAGAGGAAACTCATTTTTTGACATAGTAGGTAAAACTCTTTCCTAGCCAGTAAGAAGCTGTTACACTTCATTTGTTCCTAACATTATAGAAATATCACTACTGAAAATCTAATGTCTTTCCTCGAGACTCTACCACACATTTTCCTCCAATCTATACTGAATAATTTATCCAGTACATATTTTTAAAATCATTCTTTTTATTTTTGCGCACAGCTGCAGTTTTAATCATGCATAATTCTAGAGTTCTGGGGATAGGAAAACAAAAAAAACCAAAAAGAACAAAAACAAAAACAAAACTTGAGGCCAAAACCGCTCAAAGAAGTGGTAAGAATTGTTTCCTACTATCTGTCTCTGAAGGAAAAGAAAGTCAACAGCAGCTTAACATCAACAAACTCACATGCTCAGAAAAAGTTTTGACTATAAAATCTTAGAGTTTCACTATCAAACTAACATGAAATTTAAGTCTGTTTCCTGGGAAACAGATAACTTATTGTGAGCGAAAAACTCCTCTCTCCTTCCCCAGTGATAAAGCTTTCACTTTGTTCTATACAAAGAAAGAATGTGCACTTTGCTATTAAATTCCCCTAGCCCTCTCTACTTCAAATATCTCAATCACGGAACTCCCAAGAAATAGCCACCTAAATGCTCAAAGCACAAAATAAAGCTCAGAAGCATAGAGCAGCTAGGATGAGGAAACAGCTCATTGTCCTTCTCCTTTTATAAATGGGACGATTTAGGAGAGATGGAGATAGAGAATTTTAGTAGTGGATGAGGGAAAAGGGGTAGGAGGAAAGAGAGGGTAGAATGATAGGCTTTACCAGTAATTTACTTATTTTCCTAATAGTTTCAAACAATGGGGTGGGGGGGTATGGTAGAAGAAAGGCTGCATCTTAGTTATATTTTATCTTCAGCTCTTTTATCCTTCCAGCCCCACCCAGTCAAGCTCTTACACCTCTTTCCTAGGCTCTCCGACTCTGAATTTTTTTTATCTTTGTGGGTTTTTGTCCTTTTTTCTGGAGGAAAAAGATAGTATTGATTTGTTTAAAAGTAAAGACGGAAAGCATCATCTTCAGGAGTAACCACTTCTTAATAATAGAACTAAGGACTTCTATTCTTTTTCCAGACTAAAATGCAGGAATGGCACCAGCACACCACCAAGGACTAAAGGAGGGTGAGGGAAGGAGGTAACATCCCCAGGGGTAGTCAGGTCTTTGTTTCCTTGCTCATATCATATTGGCTTTACAAAGTAACTCAATTCCCATCAATAAGCATTCCCGATCAGAACTACTTCTCTAAGATGAGGCTGTATCTAAACACTTCCCCGTAACAGTCACTGATGCGGCTACTCTGCTGTGCTGCTGCTGCATCTCCCTCAACCCAGACGGGAACCAAAATTCAAAGAGTCATTCTACACTGGGCAAACCGCCGGACCTCCTTCATGGAGCCAGTCTCTCTAAATCTGAAATCTACTCCTCTGCCTCAATTCATGGCACGTGCTTTTGTTCTTAAAAACAAAGCCAAGAAAAGCACCCTTGGCTTCTCTTACAACAGAGGGATCGAACTCAAGACTCCTAAGATGTAAAACACCGCTAGGAAGATGTTTACATGTCTTGAAAGGACACAAGGCTCCTTCACCTTGCTGGCTATTTCACAGCAGCTTCATTTCAGATGCGGACCCTCGGGGATCCAGCAGCAGCCACCCCACGGCAAACCCACAGCCCGCGGAGGAGGCAGCCGGGGGAAGCTCGCGGAAGGGAGCAAGGACTTTGCAAACTGATGGACGGGAGGGGAAACTTTCAGGCGTGGGCAGGCAAAGGTGGGCCCGAAGCTGACCCGAGCCGGGGCCGGGAGCCTGGCGGCGCGCGCTTCGGGCGGCCGGGAGCCCCCGGAGCATTGTCTTCCGCCTACGGCCCCCGGCACCCCGCGCTGCCGCCGGCTCCGGCCGGGCCCCTCTCTCCGCCGCGCAGGGTCTGAGCCGGGGTAGAGGCGAGCGAACCGCGGTCCACACTCGCACAGGTTGCCGAGCCGCGGGCTCAGGGCGGACAGGGTTAACAGTCTCCCGGGGCAGCTCCCCCCTTAGCCCTCAGCCCTCAGCCCCCAGCCTCAAACTAGGCGTCCCCGAGGCCCCCAGCCGCCACCGCGGGCCCGGGCCCCCGCTCCGCAGCCCGCCACAGTCCGGCGCCCAAGGCTTTTGTTGTGGCCGCGACGAGAGGAACGATCCCTGAGGAGGAGGCGCCGGGCTGCTGCTGGCTCCTCGGCGCGGGCTGAGGCGGAGCAGCAGGCAGCCGCGCGGCGCCTCCTCGGGCTCCACACTCGCCGCTCCTTCTCCCGCTGCCCCGGCCCAGGGGCCCACACGCTTCGCGGGGCTCACCTCAGACCCCGGCGCCTGGCTCCAAGGGGTGGGGGGGCTGCACCGCCTGCCGCGGGCGGCCGCGCGTCCCTCAGGTACCCGGAGCGGCCGAGGAACGCCGGCGCGCGCCTCCCAGCGACAGCGAGCTTTCGCGAGCACCGGGGCGCGCGGCCCGGAGAGCGAGCTCACGAGCGCGCGCGCACGCACGGGGCAGGCGCACTGAGTACGCTCGGCCGAAAGCTCCCTGCCGGATCCTGGGCTTGCGGGCCTGGCCCGGCGCGCCTCGTTGTTCTCTGCCTCTCGCCCTGAGTGACGCCTGGAGCTCCCTTGCTCCGGCGTGCTCGTTCCCAGCCCTGGAGGCGCTCATCTGAGATGCACTCGGGGCCCTCCTCGCAATGCACTCCGTCCCCTGATGACACAGCGCGGAGGTGTGATTGCAGGACCACCTACACCTGGTCTGAGAACCAGAGGTGCCGACCTCCGGACCTGGGGATTTGGGGTGCTCAAGAGGCAGATCCCCGGATGCTGAGGGTGGAATGGGGTGCAGGAGCTCTGGCCTGCTGCAGAGCTCCACGCGAAACAGCGTAGCGGACAGAATAGGCTACTCGCCCGGGATAGTTCATAGCCTCTTGGCCAAGACCTTAGGAAACAGGTGGCGCTGGTCGTTACTGGTGCGCGCCCCAATTTTTGCTCCTTAGGAAATGTTTCTCCTCTCCTTTTCTACATAAGCTGCTTTAGAGCTGAAAGAATTCTTAAAGATAATCTAAACCGAACCTCTCATTTTTCAGACGAGGAAAAGAACGCCCCCAAAGGTTAGATGATTTACCTAAAGCCATGCAGCGTTTTAACAACAGGGCCTGGACTCGTCCCAACCTAGGGCTGTCTTTCTTTTCACTGCACCGTTTAACCTGTCTTTTCTTTCTCTTCTTTTTCGTTCCTCGTCAACCTGGATTTCATGGGCATCATTTTGTTCTGTCGGTAGCACATAGAACTTAAAGAAATTGAACGATGTGAATGGACTATTAGAATTGTACACTTAAAAATGTTTACAGTGGTGCATTTATGTTATGTGTGTTTTACAATTTTTTTTAGAAAGGCGCTTGATACGTGTTAAGTAAATGTTGACGAATGTTGAACTTAGACCTAGAGTTTCACATCAGAAGGTGAACTGTGTGAACAGGCCTGATAAATGAGATCTGAAATGACAGTTACAGTTTCTCTAATAAGTAAATACTTGTGCAGTAAACAATGTTTAAAATAATATTGATTCTTAGGTTGATTCTAGGCAGGGCAGTGTATCCTCTGGAGCCAGCGGTGCCTCTGTGGAGAGTGAGTGAGGGGGCAGATAGCGTGGGGGAAATCTGTGTGTGTCAGATCCCTTGTAGCTGGGGAACCTCTGGAGATGTGCTGCGAGGTGCATTTTTATTCAATTTACACACCATCCTGTAAAGACTGTCAGGAATGAGACACATCATAATAGCTCAACATCGGGAGGTGGGAATGACGTAGAAATGATCGCCACTGTATCAGCATGACTAAATTGCAGAAAAAGAACATTGAGTGAAAAAAAAAAAACAAACCACAAGATATGTAAGTGATGATGCCTCTTTAGAAAAAAAAGACTAGCAATACTATACAATGTTTATGAGGGCAAACGTACATATAATAAAAGCATGAAAATGGACAGAAACGCTGCACACCAATTTTGTGACAATGACTGCCTCTAGGCAGGCAGGGAGGGGGATGAAACCTGGGAATGAGACAAAAGAAGCTTCTACTGTATCTGTGAAATACATACAAATGTACTATTTAAAAAAAATCTTCGTGGAGAATCAAGGGTGTTTCTTATGAAAGTGTCCAAATCTTTCTTTATGTTTGAAATATCCCTCTTAAAAGTAATTAATATTTGGGGCTGAGTGAGGTGGTTCAGACCTGTAATCCCAGCATTTTGGAAAGCCGAGGAGAGAGGATCACTTGAGCCAGGAGTTGGAGACCAGTCTGGGGGACATAGCAAGATCCTGTCTCTACAAAAATAAAAACTAAAAAATTAGCCTGGGAGGATTGCTTGAGCCCAGGAGTTCAAAGCTGTAGTGAGCCACTACACTGCAGCCTGGGCAACAAAGCCATCCCTGTCTCTTAAAAAAAAAAAAAAAGTAATGTTGCAGTGTCAGACATGGAGCTCTATGTGCTCACTGTGAACACAGACAGTGTGGATGGTGTGACTCAGGTTCTTTTGGGAGGACAGTAGTCTGATGATGAGGTGCAGGACAAGAGGAGGCCCAGAAGATGTTGGTTGAGAGGCAAGAAGAAAGAGACCTTCTTTTCAGGGATGAAAATATTCAAATCCAACAGGGCTAAAGGAGATGCTCTCTGTGATCCCATCTCTCTTTCATTCCATGTTGTAACCACCAATACGAAGTCTTTAATGAGCGGGAACTTCATAGAGAGACACAGCACTCCCAACATTGTTAAAACTGGTCTCTTTCTGGATGAACCCGTTTTGAAACCATAAAAGCTAACTGGTAATGCATGGTAATTTAGTATTGCATCTAAGTACCTCCTCCAGGCCACCCCCTCACCGCCTCTGCCCCCAAGGCTTTGTTTATTCATTTAGGTACAACCCGGTCATGTGGAAAAAATCCCTAGGCTGGAATTCAAACAACCTAGGTTCTAATTTCAGCTTGCCCACTTACTGATCCATTTTAACCCAAGGAAAGCAACAACTTCTATGAGCTTCATTTTTTTCTTTTTAAACTAGAGATATACAAATGCTGCCTATTTAAAAACTATAAAACAGGTCGGGCACGGTGGCTCACGCCTGTAATCCCAGCACTCCAGGATGCCGAGGCGGGCAGATCACCTGAGGTCAGGAGTTCGAAACCAGCCTGGCCAACATGGTGAAACCCCGTCTCTACTAAAAATACAAAAAAATTAGCCGGGCATGGTGACGCATGCTTGTAATCCCCGCTACTCAGGAGGCTGAGGCAGGAGAATCGCTTGAACCCGAGAGGCGGAGGTTGCAGTAACCTGAGATCGCACCAATGCACTCCAGCCTGGGCAATAAGAGCAAAACTCCGTTCCCCCCAAAAATAAAAATAAAACCTGTAAAACACAACAGAAACACAGGGTTTGTACATTTAAGTGGAAGGGGAGTGCATTCTTATTTATTTTGAGAAAAAAAGATAGTAAGGAAAGTCTCTTTTTGCTGTTGTTTTGCTTTTTGTTGTTGTTGACTGCTGCCTATAAGACCTGCTTTACATTGACCAAAGGACCTCTGTTCCGGAATTTTGAACTTTTTGGTATCCTCCAGCACTTGTTCATAACTCTATAACAGCTGTTACCCGTGTGAGCCTTCCATTAAATATTTGTATATTGCACCTTCCAGTCTTCCTCTTTAGATTTCTTTTTTATCTTTGTATTCTCATTTTGCTTCGTATTACAAGACAGGCGCTCAATAAATTTAATGAATTGGACGGGATTCTAAGAGTTCCTAAATTTAGTTATTCTTATTAGGGCATGCCATCTGCTGGTTCCCTGGTGTATCTGTCAGTCAGCCTGAATTCTATAATCCAATAAATTGAAATTTGCATTGAAGCATTTGTGTGTCTCTGTGTTGGGCAATTCCTCCTGGCCCCATCCTTCCACTTCCTGTTGCAGGTGCTATTCTTTCATTGAACCAGTCTCGAATTCTTTTTCCTCCAACCCTCTGTTTACCTGTTGGCCACTCTTAAAACCTGGCACAGTGGAGCCTGCATTTCGCAGCTCCGGAGTGACCAGGACAATGTGACTGGGCGTGCTCCGTAGGTAGGGCTGATTTGGGACACACTACGTCTTGAATGAAGGTTTTCAACGCTACTTGTTTCAGGATTCGACGCGTCTTCATTCTAGGGTTATATTGAGACATTGCAGTCCCTCCCACGCTCTTGGCCGCCACACTTGTTAATTTTATCCCCGTGCCCAATTTTGTAGCCAGCCCTCCTGGATCTCGCGGCCAATCAGGAGCCCACACATTGTTGCCTAAGAGACCCCGGATGCCAGCGACGGGATTTATAGACGGTGATTGGGCTGCTGGAAGCTGGGAGGGGTGAGGGACTGGAGGGAGTCGGAGAAAAAGCTGACCTAATGAAACTGTGGCAACGTCAGCGCTTGAGGCTTGAAGAGGGAGACAAGCTAAAAGAGGTGAGAGCTGTGGGCAGTGCATGAAAAAGATGGAGACTCTCTCTTTGGAAAGCTCCAGGGCCTCCCATGAGCTTTATCAGTGCTCTTGGGGATTTCATTGTGCCCTCTCATTTGGGCTACAGTGCAACCGCCAGATATTCATACTTGTGAAATTAACAACCCACAGATAATTATATGCCTACCAAGCATTAGCTTTTTGCGTTGTGTTATAGTTCTTGCTTTTTAAAAACTAGTTAAGCGGAAGATGAATTCGTATTGAAATCTACCCATACGCTATTTCTTGATAATTTCCTGATAATAATTTGAGATTCCCTTGTCTGATGATATTACAATGTATGGGTAAATTCTGTTAGCAGAGAGACCCAGTCCTATTATGCTCAGTAAACTCTGCATATAACCCCAGAGCCCAGTATCATGTTATGAGTTTCACTCTACATTTCTACAATTCTACAAGGGTTTTTTTTTTTTTGTTGGTTTTTGTTTTTTGAGACAGGGTCTTGCCGTGTTGCCCAGGCTGAACTGCAGTGGTGCAATCATCGCTCACTGCAGCCTTGAACTCCTGGGCTCAAGGAATCCTTCCATCTCAGCCTCCTGAGTAGCTGGGACTATAGGAGCCCACCGCCACACCCACACCTGGCAATTTTTTTTTTTTTTTTTTTTGTAGAGATAGGGTTTTGCTGTGTTGCCCAGGCTGGTCTGGAATTCCTGGGCTTCAACTCCTGGGCTCAAGAGATCCTCCTGCCTCAGCCTCCCAAAATGCGGGGATTATAGGCGTGAGCCACCACACTTGGTCAACATTTCTACAAATTGTGGTGGTGGTGGTGTTGGTGTTTTTTTGTTTTTCAAGATGGAGTCGCACTCTGTCCCCCAGGCTGGAGTGCAGTGGCATGATCTTGGCTCACTGCAACCTCTGCCTCCCAGGCTCAAGCAGTCCTCCCACCTCAGCCTCCCAAGTAGCTGGGACTATAGGCACACACCACCACGCTCTGCTAATTTTTTGCTTTTGTTTTGTTTTTGGTAGAGACGAGGTTTCACTGTGTTGCCCAGGCTGGTCTTGAACTCCTGAGCTCAGGTGATTCACCCACCTCAGCCTCCCAAACATTTCTACAAGTTTTAATCCTTAAACTGCTCCCCACTTGCACTGCTGTAGTCATTTTTTCTATTGATTTAACAAATATTGAGTATACTACTGTGATGATTCAGGTGAGCAGTGAGCATCAGAAAACCACATAAGCCAAGAATCATCAGAGTTGTGTGGCACGTTCTCAGAGTGGCCATGAGTTCAGTGTGTCTGGGCAGAGAGCGCATGAAGGTGGGGCCAGGTGAGACTGAAAGAGTAGATGGAGGTAAAATCATGGCAGACCTAGACTTCCACGCGAGGAAGTCTGGATCCTGTAGCTGTCAGTGAACCTCTGAAGGTTTTGAGCTGAAAAGTGACATGATCAACTGGTCTTTTAAAAAATACCTAACAGGAGACTGTGAGCTCCATTAAAGCAGACTCTTATCGTTGTACCCCTAACACCTGCCTTGTAGATACTTAGTAAGGTGGTTAAATAATGATGACAGTGTGAAGAATGGCTTAAGGCAGGAGGTAGTGGCTCGCCTTTGTAATCTCAGCACTTTGGGAGGCTGAGGTGGTGGATTGCTTGAGCCCAGAAGTTTGAGACCAGCTTGGGCAACAAAGCAAGACCTTATCTCTACAAAAAATACAAAAAAAAAAAAATTAGCCAGGTGTGGTGGTGCACACCTATATTCTCTGCTACTTGGGAGGCTGACATGGAGAATTGCTTGAGCCCAGGAGGTTGAGGCTATGGTGAGCTGTGATCACACCACTGCCCTCCAGCCTGAGTGACAGAGCAAGACCTTGTCAAAAAAAAAAAAAAAAAAAAAAAGGCTTAGAAGATCAAATTGGAAGTATGTGGCCAGGGGACCCATCCTTGCTATTGAAAATGAGACTAGAACCATATGTCAAGAACTAGGGTCGTAGGCCCTCTTTCTGTATTTTAATTCTAAGAAAAATTAAAGATGAATATTTGGCTGGGCGCAGTGGCTCATGCCTGTAATCCCAGCACTTTGGGAGGCCGAAGTGGGTGGATCACGAGGTCAGGAGTTTGAGACCAGCCTGACCAACATAGTGAAACCCCATCTCTACTAAAAATACAAAAATTAGCTGGGTGTGGTGGCAGGCGCCTATAATCCCAGCTACTTGGGAGGCTGAGGCAGGAGGATTGCTTGAACCTGGGAGGCGGAGGTTGTGGTGAGCCGAGTTTGTGCCACTGCACTCCAGCCTGGGCGACAGAGCAAGATTTTGCTCCACCTCTAAAAAAAAAAAAAGAAAAAAAGATGAATATTCAAAGGTAGTCCTTACAGGGAAGGAGATCACAAAAAAGCAACAGCAAGACATCTGTGGAAGGAGGGATGACAACTTGCTTTATTTTGTTGATTAAGTGGGGACAATTATGTTTTGTATGTGTTATATGAAAATCTCTGTAGCTGGGCGCAGCAGCTCACACCTGTAATCCCAGCACTTTGGGAAGCCAAGGTAGGCAGATCACTTGAGGTCAGGAGTTCAAGACAAGCCTGACCAACATGGGGAAAACCGCATCTCTACTAAAAATACAAAAATTACCCAGGCATGGTGGTGCATGCCTGTAATCCCAGCTACTCGGGAGCCTGAGGTAGCAGAATCTCTTGAACCTGGGAAGCGTAGGTGCAGTAAGCCGAGATCACGCCACTGCACTCCAGCCTGGGCAAAAGAGTGAGACTTCATCTCAAAAAAAAAAAAAAAAAAAATCTGTCTTCTTAATAGTAGCAAATGGTCTGTTCTGTGAACATGTATGTGCATGCAAATATACACGCTGCCTGTCTTCTGGAATGGAGGAAGGAGGAAAATACTGTAAAAGGATAATAGCAAGAGACGAGGCAGGACGTCCACATTGGCACACTTCAGCAGGCCTATATGGCCAAGAGGGCTGCTTCCTGGGGCCAGGCCCATCTGCTGAAAACCCATCTTCAAGCAGGTTGAAAGAAAGTCTAATCTAAGTGACATGTAGTTCTGAGGAACCAGGAAAAAGAAAACAACCAGTGCAGGCGCTTGGGGGAGTTACCAAGGAAAGCTACTTCTCCTCATTCAGAAGGATGTGCCTAGGATCAGTCACATGGTTTCCTACACAAACTGGAAAGGAGAGAGTTGTTCAGCATAGAGCAGGGGTAAGCAAAATTTTGCGTGTATGTGCATTTTTCTAGGGGGAGAATTCATAGCTTTCATCATATTCTTCAAGAGCCATGTAGCTCTTAAGAAAGGATTCAGAACAACGAATTTAATTTTTATGTTTTTATTATTTTTTAAAAACGGTCTTGCTCTGTTGCCCAGGCTGGAGTACAGTGGTGCAATCACAGCTTACCGCAGCCTCAACCTCCTGGGCCCAAACGATTCTCCCACCTCAGCCCTCTGCCCCCACCCCAAGTAGCTGGGACCACAGGCGTGCACCACTAAGCCCAGCTAATTTTTTGGTTTTTTTACTTTGTGTAGAGATAAGGTCTCTCGATGTTGCCCAGTCTGGTCTCAGATTCCTGGGCTCAAGCAGTCTTTCTGCTTCAGCCTCCCAAGTGCTGGGATTACAGGCAACAAAACAACTAGTTTTAAAAGAAGAAATGTAGCCCAGGCGCGGCGGTGGCTTACGCCTGTAATCCCAGCACTTTGGGAGGCTTAGGCTGGTGGATCACCTGAGGTCAGGAGTTTGAGACCAGCCTGACCAACATGGTGAAACCCTGTCTCTACTAAAACTATAAAATTAGCTGGGCCTGGTGGCTCATACCTGTAATCTCAGCTACTAGGGAGGCTAAAGCAGGAGAATCACTTGAACCCAGGAGGCGGAGGTTGCAGTGAGCCAAGATCGCACCATTGCACTCCAGCCTGGGCAACAACAACAAAACTCTTCCAAAAAAAAAAAAGAAGAAGAAGAAGAAATGTAGAAAATAAATAAATAACAACAACAAAAACAGATATATCACTTTTTAGCTGGGGAGATCTAGACTCAGTGGCTACACTTTGTATCTGTAACTTTTTTTTTTTTTTTTGAGACAGAGTCTTACTCTGTCACCCAGGCTGGAGTGCAGTGGCGCGACCTCAGCTCACTGCAACCTCCACCTCCTGGGTTTAAGCGATTCTCCTGCCTCAGCCTCCTGAGTAGCTGGTATTATAGGTGGGCCACCATGCCCAGATAATTTTTGTATTTTTAGTAGAGATGGAGTTTTACCATGTTGGTCAGGCTGGCCTCGAACTCCTGACTTCAGGTGATCCGCCTGCCTCAGCCTCCCAAAGTGCTGCTATTACAGGTGTGAGGCACCATGCCGGCCTGTATCTATAACTTGCCTGCTCACATGTACTTTTATCATTAGCTGCCAGTTAAAATTACTGTAATGAAATCATTTCTTTTGGCTTAGTAACTTACCTAAATGTGAGTCCGATAGTTAGCTGTTGAGGCTGAAAAGAACCTGAGTGCTGATCTGAGTGCCCCTCATTCCAGTGGCATATTGGCAACAGGCAACTGAAGGAAGGCATTGTCTTGACACCCCAGAGGGTTTAAAACGTGGGCTTTATCTTCCTGAGAGAGAATATTACATGTCAAATGAGAACCTCAAAGATCTCAGATAGTGTTTGGGAAAATCCCATACTAGCCAAAATATAATGATTAAAAAAAAATTATCAAAGGTCGGGCACAGTGGCTTGTGCCTGTAATCCCAGCACTTTGGGAGGCTGAGGTGTGCAGATCACCTGAGATCAGGAGTTCGAGACCAGCCTAGCCAACATGGTGAAACCCCATCTCTACTAAAAATACAAAAATTAGCCAGTCGTGGTGGCAGGTGCCTGTAGTCCTAGCTACTCGGGAGGCTAAGCCAGGAGAAGCGCTTGAACCTGGGAGGTGCAGGTTGCAGTGAGCCATGTCTGCACCACTGTACGGCAGCCTGGGAAACAGGGCAAGACTCCTTCTCAAAAAATAAAAAATATCCAGTATCTGTTGCTGTGGGGTCATTTGTGGAGCCCATTGATCAGGCGAGCAGGCCCTGGTCCCCTTAGCCATCTCTTCTACCTGTCCTTGTGAAACCCACCATCACAGAGTGGAAAATGCAGAAGCCTGCAACCCTGAGTGTATATATCAAAACTACTCCCAATCAGCTACTAGGGGAGCTGAGGCAGGAGGATCGCTTGAACCTGGGAAGCGGAGGTTGTGGTGAGCCGAGATCGTGTCACTGCACTCGAGCCTGGGTGATAGAGCAAGACTCCATCTTGGCCGGGCGCGGTGGCTCACGCCTGTAATCCCAGCACTTTGGGAGGCCCAGGGGGGGTGGATCATGAGGTCAGGAGATCGAGACCATCCTGGCTAACACGGTGAAACCCCGTCTCTACTAAAAATACAAAAAATATTAGCTGGGCGTGATGGCGGGCGCCTGTAGTCCCAGCTACCCGGGAGGCTGAGGCAGGAGAATGGTGTGAACCCGGAAGGCGGAGCTTGCAGTGAGCCGAGATCGTACTACTGCCCTCCAGCCTGGGCGACAGAGCGAGACTCTGTCTCAAAATAAATCAATCAGTTAATAAAATAAAATAAGATTAAGAGTAAGCTATTGTCAGCCCAACTGGCCTAGCCTGGTCTCATGACCATCTCTTGGCTGGGGAAGGACAGGCTACCTTAATTAATTAAACCATCAGGCTCTAAACAATGAGGGAGAATTAATTCCTCCTGAAAATTAAAGTGCTTTAATCAAAAGGAGGCAGACATATACTGGATAACTAAAAATAGCAAGTTTCCCCCAATAAACTCAAATCTGTTCATTTCCAAAGCCTTGGCTTTGTCTCTCCCACCATGCTACCTCTTCAATACGCTGTCAGGCAGGAGTTCCTGTTACTTGGATATCTGGAAATTAAGAGGGGAGAAGGAGAATTAATATAACAAGGGACAAGAATGAAGTGTTTCATATTGCATGATGATTTTAAATTTAAAATACTTCTCTTCCTGGCCAATATAGTATGTCCTTAGCTAGGAGTGATTCTGGATTTCCCCCCAGAGTCCAGTGAAAATAAAGTGGCATCAAACTGACCTGGGTCTGACTACCAGTTACACCACTTGCTATCTGTATGACCTTGGACAGGGTAACATCAATAAGCCAAATCTTCCTCGTGTGTAAAATGAGTTAAAACCCACCACCTCACCAGGTAATTGTGCACTTCCATTGAGGAGATGTATGAAGTGCTTGACATATAACATGCCCCCAATAAATGCTCTTCCCACCGCATTCCCTCTGCCAACATGCTAAAAAATTATATGGTATTAGTATTGTTTTTTTTGAGGTGGAGTCTCGCTCTGCTGCCCAGGCTGGAGTACAGTGGTGCCATCTTGGCTCACTGCAACCTCCACCTCTGGAGTTCAAGTGACTCTCCTGCCTAGTAGCTGTGATTACAGGCATGCACCACCACGCCCGGCTATTTTTTATTTGTTTGTTTGTTTGTTTGTTTATTACATTTATTTTTAGTAGAGACAGGGTTTCACCATGTTGGCCAGGCTGGTCTCGAATCCTTGACCTCAAGTGATCCGCCCACCTCAGCCTCCCAAAGTGCTGGAATTACAGGCGTGAGCCATCGTGCCTGGCTGGTATTAGTAATTTTTGTTTTCTGAGGGTTATATGATTCACTTCTTCTGATAGGTGTTGTTTTTCTTATGGAAGGATATCCAGTTGTTTCATGATGGCATTTGCACCTCCAAAAAACACAGATGGTCCCAAAATGCAGACAAAGATGAGCACCTGGACACCCCTAAACCATCAGCTATTGAATGACCGGGTAAGTGACCAGAACTATTTTAACAATTGAATCCATGACTGAAAGGAAAAAAGATATTAAAATTTTACTTACCAAAATATGAACAGGGATTATTTAAGATTGTGTAATGGATGAATAAAAACCAAAATGAAGATATTCCAAAACTTTTATTGAACCCATGCTATATGGGCAAGGCTGGCAATAGACCCAAAGTCCTTGCCCAAGAAAAAAATGTCTTGGATTTGTTCTTTCCCCCACTGTCACCTTCCTCTCCCACCCCACTCGCCATTTTTCTTCCATCACTTGTTCTCCCCTGGAACCACCAGGACTGAGAAAGGAGAGAGTGGTCCATGGCATTCCCCCAAACCCAGTTTTCTTGGTATAGTTGAGGTTGCTGGGTAATGCTGCACATTTAATAAGATACATAAAATGCATACATTTCAACTGATTATTCACATTACTCAGGTTCTCTTAAGACGTTTATTTTCATGGCTGGGTGCGGTGGCTCATGCTTATAATCCCAGCACTTTGGGAGGCCAAGGCAGGTGGATCATCTGAGGTCAGGGGTTCGAGACCAGCCTGGTTAACATGGTGAAACCCCGTTTCTACTAAAAATACAAAAAAAAAAAAATTAGCTGGGCGTGGTGGTGTGTACCTGTAATCCCAGCTACTCGGGAGGCTGAGGCGGGAGAATCGCTTGAACCCAGGAGGCGGAGGTTGCAGTGAGCCAAGATCACACCATTGCACTCCCGCTTGGGCAACAAGAGGAAACTCTGTCTCAACAACAACAACAATAAGAACAACAACAACAAAGACGTTTATTTTCCACCTGCACTCTGGGAAGGTGCTAGCGGAATACACTAAAGGATCACGGTGGACGGCTGGGGTGTGAGACTGACCAGCCTCTAGGGGTTTCTATTCCTGCTTCAGTTAGGGACAGAATTTACCAACAGGTCTGTGAGCTCCAGTGACCAATCGCTGTATGCAAGGACCACACCTATTTTTCAGGAAAACACAATCACCATATATAAAACTGACCTCATCCTCTTGCTCCTACACACCAGTTCCTCCCCGCTATGAGAGGCACTATTTTATACCAAGTCAATCAAGCCAGAAATTCTGCTTCTCCCTGTCCAGTCTGGGATTTGATTTTCCCCCAGATTACAAGCTAATAAGTTAGCCTGTGACTTATGGAATAGAAGACTCTGCTGTTTCACAATAAAAGATGAGATTCTTGGGTCAAAAACAACTTTACTCACAAAGCAGCGAGTGGCATGAACGTTATGTTTGCGTGGGTTCTGCTGGTCCTCCCCGTCCCACAGGTGTGACACATAGGGCCCAGGTAAATGATACACGTAACAGTGGTTTGCACCCAGCTGAGGAACAGTGAGCCCAGGGCATCCACTTCTTTTCATAGTAAGCAGTAAGTCAGCCTGCTGTTGCTCCCAAAGGGAGACATTACCTCATCCCTCAAGGTTGCCTTACTGCAGACACAACCTGCAAGAATGGCCCAAGTCACGAATGCTCAGGGCCTTGCATTCTTTTTTTTTTTTTTTTCCTGAAACAGAGTCTCACTGTGTCACCAGACTGGAGTGCAGTGGTGCGATCTCGGCTCACTACAACCTCCACCTCCCGGGTTCAAGCGATTCTGTTGCCTCAGCCTCCTGAGTAGCTGGGACTACAGGCGCACACTACCACACCCAGCTGATTTTTGTATTTTTAGTGGAGACAGGGTTTCACGATGTTGGCCAGGATGGTCTCGACCTCTTGACCTCATGATCCACCCGCCTCAGCCTTCCAAAGTGCTGGGATTACAGGCGTGAGCCACCGCACTCGCCACGAATGCTCAGGCCCTTGCATTCTTGGCATGCCAAGATGTTTCGGAGTGTGAGAGGCACACAGAGAAGTGTCTACCAACGCTCCCTTGCCTCCATATGTAATTTGCTTTCCAGTACTCTGAGTCCTCCTCCCAATCTCTCATTCAGGCCTCTCTTCTCCACCCGCTTATCTACTTCCAGCTCCATTCTCAGCTGACACTGTCTGCACCCTTTGTCTAGTACACTGCAGTCACCCCCTAACTGCTTTCACTGGCTCTGTCCCTGCCACTCCATCCTCTATTCTTGTCCCAGAGAGATCTTTCTAAGATTCCGATTCTATTATGTGAAACCAATAATAGACTCCACTCCCAAGAGTAAATTCCAACACCCCCAGGCATAGCGTTGAGGATCTTTCATGATCTGACCTCAGCCAACTTCCCGGCTCCACCCCTGCCACTGCTCCCTCACATCTGATGCCCAGGCCCGGCTCGGGGCCCCCGAGTGAACCCTGCTCTCCCACACCTCCATGCCTTTGCATGTGCTCTCGCCCTCGCCTCCTATCTGAGTCCATTCAAATGTCCTTTCCTCTGTGAAGCCTCCCCGTGTCCTGCTTCCTTTTCTTTGCTCTCATCACTGTTTACTGGCTTTCCCAGTCAACTCCCATGCATGAAGAGTTGAGATTCCGTCTTTTCTCTCTGTACCTCCAGGAACCTGGTTTGGTTCCTGAAGCATAAGAAATGGAGTCAGGGCTAGGCACAGTGGCTCACACTTGTAATCCCAGCACTTTGGGAGGCCAAGGCGAGTGGATCACCTGAGGTCAGGAATTCAAGACCAGCCTGGCCAACATGGTAAAACCCCATCTCTACTAAAAAATATAAAAATTAGCTGGGCATGGTGATGCACCCCTGTAGTCCCAGCTTCTCGGGAGGCTGAGGCAGAAGAATCACTTGAACCCAGGAGGTGGAGGTTGCAGTGAGTCAAGATTGCACCACTACACTCAGTGCCTGGGCAACAGAGTGAGACTCTGTCTCAGGAAAAGAAAAAAAAAAGAAAGAAAGAAAAAGAAAAAAGAAATTGAATCAGAGTTCAGGTCTACTCCCTGGTACCTGTTTCATTGACTCTTGTCTTCCTGCCTCTTCATCTTTGTGTCCTTAGCCTGGATTTGCCCCTCTGCCCCTCTAAACTCAATAGATGGGCTCATCCCTTGGCAAAGCCGTCATCAAACCTGAACCCTCCTGCTCAGTACCTTCTATTTCTAGTCAAATCAGTTTCTACTGATGAGCAATTTTAGAAGAGGAACAGAAGGGCCAAGGTAGAGATTGGAATAGTGAGAAATAAAATGGAGAGAGACTGAAAAAGGAAAATGATAAAGGAAATGAGGAAAGAGGAAAGAGAATGAGAAAAAAAATAGACGGACCAGGAGAAACAAAAGGAAAGGCAGAGAAAGAGGGAGAGAGACAGATTCAGCCTTCATCTAGCCAGGAACACCAAGCAAATCTATTGAAAAACTTTTGGGGGCCAGGCACAGTGGCTCAGGTCTGTAATCCCAGCACTTTGGGAGGGTGAGGCCGGTGGATCGCTTGAGGCCAAGAGTTTAAGACCAGCCTGGGCAACATAGTGCGACCTCATCTTTATTTAAAAAAAAAAAAAAGTAAAATAAAATATTAGCCTGGCGTGATGGTGCATGCCTATGGTCCCAGCTACTTGGGAGGCTGAGGCAGGAGGATCGCTTGAGCCCAGGAGTTGGAGGTTGGGGTAAGCCACGATTGTACCACTGCACTCCAGCCTGAGTGACAGAGAGAGAGAGACCCTGTCTCTAAAAAAAGAAAGAAAGAAAATAGTTTTTATCCAGCTCAACAGTAATTTACTGAGCACCTGTTTGCAATGCTCGAAGCTCTCCCACAGTTTATATAACAGTTTATCTGCTTCCCCTACCAAAACTTCAGGGTCTCATTTTGAATTCTGTCTTCCCATAGAATTGTGAAGGTTTTACACACATTGAAAAAGTGACTTGAATTCAAATATGCGTTAATTAGATTCCTTGATTTTCAGAAATTTTCTTCGAAAAATTACGAGTCTTGATCAATTTAGCAGCTGTGGAGAAGAAAAGTGTCTTAGGAGGCAAAAAATTGCCTGAATGCCTCTTGCAATTCGATTTTTAGAGAAGCTGATTCGGAGATTAGCATGTAGAGCATTGACTGGAGAGGACTTTCAGGATCAGCACCTGGGAAGGGAAGGAAATAAAAGGAAAAGGAGAGAAAAGGGTCAGATGCAGGGCAAAGGAAGAAGTTGGGCTGGAATGCAGTCTCAGTGAGGTCTCCACTGACCCCATAGGACTTCCTGAAGCTGCCATGATGCTTCAGATTGGTTGTAAAGAAACACCTGAGGCTGGGTAATTTATAAAGAAAAGAGGTTTAATTGGCTCACAGTTCTGCAGGCTGTGCAGGAAACATAATGGCATCTGCTTCTGGGGCGGCCTCAAGGAGCTTTCCATCGTGGCAGAGGGCAAAGCAGGAGGAGGCATCTTACATGGCAGGAGCAGGAGGAAGAGTGAGACAGGAGGTCCCACACACTTTTAAACAAGCAGATCTCATGAGAACTCACTCCCGCTGATGACAGCACTAGGAGGATGGTGCTAAACCATGACAAACCGCCCCCATGATCCAATCACCTCCCACCAGGCCCCACCTCCAACATAGGGGATTACAATTTTTTTTTTTTTTTTTTTTTGGAGACAGAATTCATTGTGTTGCCCAGGCTGGAGTGCAATGGCGTGATCTCGGCTCACTGCAACCTCTGCCTCCCAGTTCAAGCGATTCTCCTGCCTCAGCCTCCTGAGTAGCTGGGATTGCAGGCACCCACCACCACACCTGGCTAATTTTCATATTTTTAGTAGAAATGGAGTTTCACCATGGTGGCCAGGCTGGTCTTGAACTCCTGACCTCAGTGATCCACTGGCCTTGGCCTCCCAAAGTGCTGGATTATAGGCATGAGTCACTGTGCCCAGCCGGGGATTACAATTTGATATGAGATTTGGTGGGGACAGAGATCCAAACCCCAACATTTGTCTTACATTGTGGCAAGGGGTAAGGGAGGGAGAGGGTCTGGTTTTTATACTTCCACACTGACCGAACATTCAGTGGCTGCTAGCTGCCTACCCACCCCCGCCAGGTCTGACCTTGGGCAAGGCGGCTCTCTCAAGCTTGTACCTGTCAACCAGCAGCCTTCCAACAGGTGGGGAAATAAATCCTTCAGTTCTGGAGGGGAACGAGTACATCACAGTACTCATTGGTTCTTTAATAGATTTTTATCCAATGTAATGATCACTTCTCAAGATAATATGTATTTTATTGTCCCGAACTCCCATTTTATTCCAAAAATAATAATAATAATTTTTTGGTTTAGTTAGGTTCTTGTGTGGCATAAAATTATTTTTAAAAATCTTTGTGTGTATATATACACGTAAGTTGTGTACAAATGCAGAGTCACACACATAGAATTTGTGTATGATTATGCCAAGCTGGTGTTTGTTTGTTTGTTTTTGAGGATCTCACTCTGTCACCCAGGCTGGAGTACAGTGGCACAATCACGGCTCACTGCAGCCTCCACCTCCTGGGCTCAAGCTATCTTCCTGTCTCATTCCCCCAAGTAGCTAGGACCACCAGGCTCACACCACCATGCCCGGCTAATTTGTTTTTGTTTTTATTAGAGAAAAGGCCTGGTCTCAAACTCCTGAGTGCAAGTGAGCCTCTGTCTCAGCCTCCCAAAGCTCTGGGATTACAGGTGTCAACCACCATGCCCAGCTATATCAAACTGTTAATACTGGTTTTTCCCAAAGAGTTATATGGGTGTTGGTGGACAGAGGAGGGTGTGTTAGAAGAGAGAGCTTTCATTTTCTTACTTCATACAATGCAGCAATGTTTCCAATTTTAAAACAAATTAGAACATAAATATGTATCGTATATTATACATACACACACACCCATACATATAAGTAAACAAAGAACAATAACTCTGGAGTTGAAAACTCTGGTTTCAAATCAGCTGTACCAGTTTTACCTTCTCTGGGCTTTATCCTCCTTTGTAAAATGAGTGGATTGGATCAGATGACCTTGAAGGTCCCTTCTGGATCTAACATTCTAACTGTGTGAAAGGAATTAAAAATAGATGCCCGAGGAGACAGCTGGCCAAAAGGTATCCAGACAATAATTTCAAGGGGCTTCCATACTTCTAAATGAGGGCATTTGTCACCAATGATCAGTGAAATTTTAAGGCCCTGTTTTTTGTTTTTGTTTTAATTTTGTCTTTCTTCTATTCTGTAGTAAAATGTGAAATATGTAACTATCTTAGACTAAAATAAGAGTCACAGGATTTTAACTTCACAGCAGGTTTTAAGCAGAAGATTGAATTCTCTAAATTCAAATTTAGACGCCTAAAAAAAAAAACTGCGTCATCAGGATAGGCATATATAACAGATTAGTAAGTTATTCAAGCATTGTGAATTTTGGGTGAAGGAATGTTTTTAAAGTGTGTATTTCTTTGCCAACTAGTGTTTTAATTGAAAGTGATCTTTATCACACATACATAGAAAGGTAACTATGGAAGATGACGGATAGGATAATTTCCTTGACATTTCATTATGTATGTGTATATCAAAACATCAAGTTGTATACCTTAAATATACACAGTTTTTTAAAAGAAAGGAAAGTGATCCACATTTCTTTTACGGTATGGTTCACACATGTTGTACAGTACATGTTAAAAAAGTGTTCTGAGAAAAAGCACCCAGTTACCATCAATCAATCATTATTTAGGGGCCCCTAAATATCTCACTCCTACATTGTAATGATGTCACACGGTAAAATATGTAACTACAGTGTCAACAGATTAAAATAACAACCGTGGGATTTTGACTTAACAGCAGGCTTTGAGTAAACTGTGATATAAACAGACTGCAGCATCTTGCAAGAAAAGAAGATCCATTTTAATATTTCCATTTGGAAGAAATACTTTGTTTTCCAGCTCTTTAAAATGAAGAACCTGATTGCAAATCTCTGAAATAAAGACTTGCTCCAAACCAGGGTGTATAAGACTATAAGTCCAACTGAGAACCTGACAACAAAATTATCTGCCCAAAATGATATGTCTTGTCAAGGGTAGAGTCAGAACCAGATCTGAGGTCTCCTGACTTTCAGTCTAGTGTCTTTCCTCTACCCCTTCTGTCCCATCAGTTTCTACTTGAGTCTAGATGCCTTCTGGTAAAGAGCTGGACTTGTGTGGACTCTGTTTAGACTTTGTCTCGTGTTTTAACCTGCGTAGCACTTCCCAACATCCACCCTATTCCTTTTCTACTACCTTCTTGTTGACTGTCTTTTCCCCTTTAAGTCAGTTTCCTTTTGTTTCCAGTGGGCCACACCATCATTGGACACCATGCTTCAACTTCCTCTTGAAGCTCTGTTGTAGTCTCTTCTTCTTCCTGTAGTCAGACCAAAGCATGGGCAGAAGTACATCAAGAATGTAAGGCTGGAAGTCAGAATGGGGAAGACCAAGGATCTGGTGAGGAATCAAGTGCAGTGTTGAGCTGAACACACAGTTTGGACCCAGGGATTTTTAAAATATCTGTAAATATAACCTCTTTGGTCCTCTGCTTATCCTTTCTAAAATATGGGAATCGAACAAAAAGACCTTTAGGATTCATTTTAGCTCTAAAATTCTATGACTTCTGAAGCTTTCTTGTTGTTGTTAGTCAATCAGCAAAATGGTTTATTGAGGGCCTTCCATGGACTCTGTACTTGAGGGTTCTGTGGAGCATGTAAGAGAAAGTGGTTGTAATCTACTTGGGAAGATAAAATTAACAGAAACCACTAGAGAGCAAAACAAACACTGTAAGGTCTAAGTGAAGCGTGAACTATAAATTGAGTAGGAGTTAGGAGGAGAGAAATCCCTGGACATCAGAAAAGTGACAACATTGGTTGCATGGGTTGGGCGATGCATGATTGATAGAGAAGAATTCAGACAATATTTGAATCCAGATACTTTGAATCTTCTGTGTTCTACAGATTCTCCTCTACTTCTTTTCATCTAGAAATTCTGAGTTTATCTGTTGCCATTATTTGAGGGTCCTGGTAGCCCAGGTGGCAGTTAGCTGCAGGGGAGGGTCTTTTTCTTCTTCTCTTATGTGCAAAAAGTGTCTGTCTGTGACAGAAGAGATTCCCTGGCCAAGAGCAAAACTGACATTTCACTGGTCCCAAAGTGGTGGTTGAACCAGTTATTTCAATTCCTATTTTGTATGTCCTTGGCAACCAGAGCTTGAGAGTTAAAAAAGGAAGGAAAGCATGATGTGTGGGAAGCATAAAACCAGCTCCTCAGCCTCTTCCATAAAAAGAGAAGAAATAGGCCTGAGCCACCTCTCCAAGTGGGGACATTCTTACAGCACTAGAGAATGTAGCAAGTGCCAAGAGGAGGGAAAAACATCAATCCCAATTTTGAAAGCTGACAGAGGGTGTATGGGATAAAGCAAGCGAGACATTCACATATGTTCATGACTCTCTCTTCCTCTCTTAATAACCCCCTTCTCTGCCACGTGTCCCCACGTTAGTCTTCCTTTCCTCACTCACTGAAATATACATATGCACTGATGCTCAGAAAACCACCTCAACACCAATATGTAAAGATACTCACATTGTACTGATACATCCATAAGGATATTCATTCTCACAATCACATTCTTTCAATTCAATAAACATAGATACCTGTAACATGCTCTGTAAGCACTCTACTGGAGATGTCAAGATGAATAAGACTTAGTTTCTGTCCTAAATAATATATTGTAATAAACCTATACCAACAAGTATTCAAGTGGAAGCTCAGAGGTGCACACACACACATTTCTAATCCTACAGATGTGTACATACTTATACACATATGTGAGTACTTATCACATCTGTGATATGTGTATACACTGAAATAGAAAAACAGAACTGATCATTCACTTGTTTTGTAAATTCTCATACTATTAATATTGAAACATTTCAGATGGGGGAGTTTCATGTTCCTGTTTTTTCGTTAGTTTTTTCATCTCCTTTCAAATTCTAAAATTGATTTCTCTTTATAATTCCATTTTTAAAATTTCTTTCACTTTAAAAAAACTATTTTTTCTTTTCTTTTCTTTCATTTTTTCTTTTCTTCTTTCTCTCTCTTTTTTTTTTTTTTTTTTTTTTTTTTTTTTTTTTTTTGACAGGGTCTGGCTCTGTTACCCAGGTTAGAAGTACAGTGACGTGATCATAGCTCACTGCAGCCTCAACTCCCCGGGCTCAAGCGATCCTCCCACTTCAGCCTCAGCTGGGACTACAGGGACACACCACCACGCCTGGCTAATTTTTTGTATTTTTGTAGAGATAGAGTCTCACCATGTTGCCCAGGCTGCTTTTAAACTCCCTAGCTCAAATGATCTGCCTGCCTTGGCCTCCCAAAGTGCTGGGATTACAGGTGTGAGCCACTGAACCCAGCCTTATTACTTCTTCTTTCATATGAATTATTCCACATGTAGAAACTGAAAGAAAAAAAAAGAGAGAGAAACCTTGCCCAGGGTAAAAATATATAACCTCAGGAGTAAAATCTGCCTTTTAATATTCAGTTGATACAATGAATGTTTATTCACCGATCCCTTAATGGTATCTTTCTTGTAATGGGTATTTTGAACTATGGTATATGAAATTACCATATTCTTTTTTACTTACTGTAGGTATTTGAAGAAAGAAGAGCCCTGCTTGGCAAATGGGTAAACATTTAAAAATACTATTTTTGCATTATGTTATGTTATCTGTTTTCATCTTTCAGGCTGCTATTAAAAAATCAGACTGGGTGGCTTATAAATAACAGACATATTTTACTCAACTTGGATAGAAAGAAAAAAACCCAGACATTTGTTTTTCATGGTTCCGGAGGCTTAGGAAGCTCAAGATCAAGGTGCTGGCAGATTCAGTGTCTGCTGAGGCCTCTCTTCATAGACAGCCACCTCCTCACTGTGTCCTCACATGGCAGAAGAGGGAGAATGAATTATCTGGGGTCTTCTTTATAAGGACAATAATCCCCTTCATGAGGGCCCCACCCTCATGACCTAATCACTTCACAAAGACCCCACCTCCTAATCCCATCACACTGGGGGGTTGAGATTTCAACATGAATTTGGGGGTGATGTAAACATTCAGTCTGTAGCATTATCACAGAGGCCAGAGAATTCAGCTTGGATTTAAGGGAGTGCTTCCTCATTTCCTGAGAAGCATGGCAGGTGCTTTCTGTAGGTATCAGTTAGGATTTGGTCAGGAAAACAGAAGTCGTATCTTATTTTAACAGACATAATTCAATGAAAAGGATTGGTTAAGCAAATATTGGAGAACAGAAGAGACAAAAAGGGAATGCTGAGGTTCCAGGGAGACAGAACTTTGGGAATTAGCTACCATCAGCTTTCCTGGTACTGAGAGCTCAGAGGGAAGACCTTCAGCCCCATAGGGAAGCCAGATTTCTGTGGAATAAAGTAGATGACATCACAGCCAGCTGGTTCTGATACAGTTGGTGAAGCATGATGGTTCTGGGTGTATGGGAAAAAAACTGGACCTTGGAATCAACAGCTACTGTCAGGGTCAAGAGTTAAGTGATCCTGATAGGAACAGCAACCAAATAGGAGTAAGTTTCTCCTCCCTCAGTTTCCCTCTAGCACCTTCCTCCTCATTGGCAGCATTTATCAGGGAGCCAGCTGTCAAAGGAGAAATATGGTGATAGAGATCTTGCCTTCTTTTCTTTTTTTGAGACGGAGTTTTGCTCTTGTTGCCCAGGCTGGAGTGTAATGGTGCCATCTCGGATCACTGCAACCTCCTCCGCCTCCCGGGTTCAAGTGATTCTCCTGCCTCAGCCTCCTGAGTAGCTGGGATTACAGGTGCCCACCACTATGCCTGGCTAGTTTGTTGTATTTTTAGTAGAGATGGAGTTTCACCATGTTGGCCAGGCTGGTCTTGAACTCTTGACCTCAGGTGATCCACCCCGCCCCCCCTTGACCTCCCAAAGTGCTGGGATTACAGGTGCGAACCACATGCCCAGCCCAAGAGATCCTGCCTTCTATGCTCACAAAGTAGAGCACAGAAAGGTGGATATGGGTCAGGTGCAATGGCTCACAACTGTAATACCAGTACTTTGGGAGGCTGAGGGAGGAGGAGAGCTTAAGGCCGGGAGTTTGAGACTAGCCTGGGCAACATAACAGTTAGACCCCATATCTACAAAAATAATAATTAAAAAAATTAGCCAGGCATGGTGGTGCTTTCCTATAGTCCCAGCTACTTGGGATGGGTAAGGCAGGAGGATTGCTTGAGCCCAGGAGTTCAAAGCTATAGTGAGCTGTTGCACTGGTGCACTCCAGCCTGGGCAACAGAGCAAGACCATGTCTCAAAACAAACAAACCCCAAAATAGAAAGATGAATTTGGATCTGGGGGACAGTAGCTTAGTAACCAGCACAGTTTACCCATTTGGCTACTCAGCATTCATATATACCCTTCTATAGATCCTGACACTTCCATACAAGAACTGTAACAATGTTATGTTTTTACCTAACAAGATACAACTATCCTTCATCAAAAACTAGGACTTTCTCATCTGTGCCTCAAAAGGAGGGACACAAAGTCTCAATGGCCATCCCTGGGTGATGATCAAAATATCCATCTCTGGGCTTTTTTTTTTTTTTTTTTTTTTTTTTGAGATTCTCTGTTTTCTTTCTTCAAGAGAGTAATCTATGGAGGCAGGGCTGGCTTCTTCCTGTTTTTCGTTATACATTCCTTGATGCTTACCAGGCATTAACAGATATTTTCTAAATCAATAAATAATGGTCTCTTGTTTTTCTCCTTTCCCCAAACAAACTTATTCCTTAAAATCACTAAGTCATATGGTAGCCTATGTACCCCTGCAAAAACCCAATGAATTGGGCTTAAAGGAGATATTTATAATTTATCTTTATTTACATTTCTGTCTCCATTTTAATTTTTAGATTTTCTTTGTTTGTGTGTTTCATGGACAAGACAGTAACATAAGAAATGCATTTTCGAAAGAAAGAAAGAGAGAGGAAGGAAGGAGGGAAGGAAGGAAGGAAGGAAGGGGAAATAAGGATACCAGTGTTTTTACTTAGCATTACTTGGGATTTTCACTGTAGACATCAAGCACTGTCTTAGTTTTAAAGTTTAATCTAGTATTAGAAGTGAAATCATTTTTTAAAAAAGAATCTAGACAGTGAGAGATAAAATATAATATGAATTGTATTCAATGATAGACAGTCCGGAAGTATTTTTATATTTGGCCATACCTGTCTAATGTTCTGTACAACAGCAAATAAAATAATTAAGAGAAACTGAAAAGCTCTTCTACTTTGCTGTTTCATGCTACTACTTAATCCCCTTCCTCTCAAATCTTCTCTGCCCTTCAATCCCTGTTAGAAAAGGTGATTCCCTCCCAAACTGAGAGAGAACACCACAGGAGAAGTGAAAAGAGAAAGAATCTCAGATTTTCTCTCAGCTTCTGCTCTGTTGCTAATATAAATAATAGTAACATAATAACCCATTTTAATAAAGTAGATGGCATCACTTTTAACTTGCTGGAAACCACCATAATCAGAGTTAGAATTCAAAAGAGAAACAAGGAAAACTGTTTTGCAAATTGCATGATAGCAAAATGATTAATATCCAGGATATATAAAGAGTTCCTACAAGTCAATAAGAAAAATACAAATATCCCTACAGAATAATGGGCTAATATAAGAATGAAGAATATTATAAAAAATGAACAACAAGCATATAAAATATGCTCAATTTTACCAAAATCAGAGACATGCAAATGAAAACAACGAAATTCCCAAATTCTCTCTTCCTTGCCTATATGGCAAAAATTGAAGAGCTAGATAATAATATATAATATACCCTGTAAGAAAGGATTCACTGGAAAGCAGGAAGATACTTTTAAACTCACTTGGTAAAGACCTTTTAAAGACAATTTGACAGGATCTGTTAAAATGTTAAATGCACGTACGCTTTGAACCTCTATTTATGTATACTAGAGAAATATTCATTTAGAACATGAAAAGGCATGAAAAAGCATGTGCCAAGATATTGCTCCTCCTCCTCCTTTTTCTTTCTTCCTATTGGAAAGGTATCAGTAGTAATGGTATCAGTAGTAAATTGAGTAAATAGAAAATGCCATATTCATCCTGCTATGACTGAATGAGAAGACAAAAAGCTCTGGAGTTCATTACATATCAGGACATGTGTGGCTACATTTTGTTCACTTATTTATTATTATTATGACTTTATTTTTTTTTTTTTAAGACGGAGTCTTGCTCTGTCGCCCAGGCTGGAGTGCAGTGGCACGATCTCGGCTCACTGCAAGCTCCGCCTCCTGGGTTCACGCCATTCTCCTGCCTCAGCCTCCCGAGTAGCTGGGACTACAGGTGCCCACCACCGCGCCCGGCTAATTTTTTTTGTATTTTTAGTAGAGACGGGGTTTCACTGTGGTCTCGATCTCCTGACCTCGTGGTCCAGCCGCCTCGGCCTCCCAAAGTGCTGGGTTTACAGGCGTGAGCCCACCGCGCCCGGCCTATTATTATTATTATTATTTTGAGACGGAGTCTCGCTCTGTCGCCCAGGCTGGAGTGCATTGGCGCGATCTCGGCTCACTGCAACCTCCGCCTCCTGGGTTCAAGAGATTCACCTACCTCAGCCTCCTGAGTAGCTGGGATTACAGGTGTGCGCCATCATGCCCAGCTAATTTTTGTATTTTTAGTAGAGACAGAGTTTCACCATGTTGTCAGGCTGGTGTTGAACTCCTGACCTTGTGATCCACCCGCCTTGGCCTCCCAAAGTGCTAGTATTACAGGCGTGAGCCACCACTCCCAGCCATTTTGTTTATTTTTTAAACTGCTACATAGTGTTCCCTGGGATGGGTGTACTCTAATTTATTTCACTGCCACTAAGCTGATGGAGATATGTGTGTGTGTGAATGTATAGAAATGCATGACAATCTTCCAGGCATGGTGGTGCCATGCCTCAAGTCCCAGCTAATCCAGAGACTAAAGCAGGAGAATTACTTGAGCCCACGAGTTTGAAGCTGTAGTGCACGATGATCATGCCTGTGAATAGCCACTGCACTCCAGCCTGGGCCACATAGCAAGACTTTGTCTCTGAAAACAATTTTTTTTTTTTTTCTGAGGCAGGGTTTCGCTCTTGTTGCCCAGGCTGGAGTGCAATGGTGCAATCTCGGCTCACCACAACCTCCGCCTCCCAGGTTCAAGCCATTCTCCTCCTTCAGCCTCCCGAGTAGCTGGGATTACAGGCATGTGCCACCATGCCCAGCTAATTTTGTAATTTTTTTTTAGTAGAGATGGGGTTTCTCCATGTTGGTCAGGCTGGTCTCGAACTCCTGACCTCAGGTGATCCGCCTGCCTCGGCCTTCCAAAGTGCTGGGATTACAGGCATAAGCCACCATGCCCGGCCCTAATAAAAAAATTTTTTTTTAATTAGAAAAAAAGGAAATGCATGAACATCAAACTTTTGAACACTGGTTATCTGTGGGAGATGAAGTGAGATTTAATGGGGAGCAGTGTTAAAGAAGCTTTTCATTTTTTATTCTATTGATTCTATGTGTGCCTGCTTGAAACTTTTTTTTTTTTTTCAAGATGGAGTCTTACTCTGTAGCTAAGGCTTGAGTGCAGTGGCGTGATCTCAGCTCACTGCAACCTCTACCTCCTGGGCTCAAGTGATCCTCCCACCTCAGCCTCCCCGGTAGCTGGGACTACAGGCATACGCCAACATGCCCATCTTTTTATTTTATTTTATTTTTTATTTTAAGAAACAGGATCTCGCAATGTTGCCCAGCTGGTTTTGGTCTTGAACTCCTGGGCTCAAGCAATCCTTCCTTCCGTGTTGGCCTTTCAAAGTGCTGGGACTACAGATGTGAGCCACCTCGCCCAGCCCTGTTTGAAACTTTTAAGACAAAAACGTATTTACACTTTGTGAAATTAAATTTTTGATAATAGGACTCAGAAACTCAACCAGAAGAGATCGTATAACCAATAAGTCAACAGAAACAAGCCTCTCTCTTTATCCCCCTCCCACCCTCTTTTTGCCATTCAGTGTGAGGTGGGTGGAACCTGATCGCCCTAGCAACCTTCTCACTTCCTGAAATGGCAGCAAGAATCCTTGTAACAACTACTCTAAAAATAGGATGTGCATAGTTATATTGAGTCAAGAAAGCCTTAAAAAAGGCATCCTTCAGGAATGAATTGGGAAGCAAGGTACCGTACATGATGCTAGAATAGGAGAATAATGGTCCTGACGGTCCCCCAATCTCATACATGAGGTCCCTGGCTACTCAGTTAGGGGTATTTTTGCTTGAGAGGTGACGCAAGAGACGTGGGGGATAACTGAATTCCTGTACAGTTAACCCCTCCATGGATTATCTACTTTTTGGATTATTTCTAGCACCTTCTAAATTGTAGAGGGATTTTCCCCTACTGTTCAGCATTCTTCTGAGTCATCTAACCTTCTTCAGTTGGTAGTTTAAGGAATGTAAATTAGTTTTCTATTAGCCTAAACAAACACAATTAGAAAGGAAAATCCCTTGAGGCAAAGAACACCTATCAAAGCCAAACAAATTACCTCTGACCATTGTAATCAGGGAAATAAATGAGGAACCAATGTAATTATCTTTTTAATCGCTGGGGAAAGTGTTTTAATGTTTTCTTTTATAGATTTCTTCAGTATTGTGTAATACTAATGTTCTTTTATATTCGTGTTAAATCACTCATTCTGCAACCTGAGTCCATTCTCTTTTGGGGACAGCGGGAAAGTAGATGAGCTAACCTCATTTATTCTCAATGCACTTTCCATCCTTGTCAATGTACAAACATGGTAATTTTATGCGCACATCTTTTTATAGTTACTTAACCCACATACATATTATTTTTAACATCACTGTGACATTTTCTAATAGTAGCTGCCATGTCTACAATGAGTCATGCACTCTATTAGGAATTTTATACATATATTATTGTATTTAATCCTCACAACCACCCTACAAGGTAGATGTAATTATCTCTAATGTATAAATGAGGAAATCGAGGCTGACATATTTCTGATGAGTAAAAGAACTAATAGAATATTGGGAGTGAGACATCAAATTGTCTTATTCCTAAGCCCACCATCAACCCATAATGCCCTGCTTTCCCCTATCATGTTGATATATTACGGTTTGTTTAGCTGATCCCCTACTATTAGGCATTTTGAGTTATCTTTGATTTTGTTGTGGCAGCCATAATATCTTATGAAAATTTTTTGTAACCGTAATCATCCTGGGTCTCAACGTAGCTCAGCCCCACCAGACTCACATAGCACTGCCCAAAAGTAATTTTAGAATGAATTCCAGGCCAGATGTGGTAGCACATCCCAGCCACTCAGGAGGCTGAGGTGGGAGGATCCCTTGAGCCCAGGAGATCGAGGCTGTAGTGAGTAGGATTGCACCACTGTACGCCAACCTGGCGACACAGCGAGACCCTGTCTCTAAAAAAACAGAATGAAATAAAAAATAAGTAAAATGAATTCCAATCTTCATTTTGTCTCTTTCAAGGAAAACAGGAGATCCAGTTCAAAACTCACAGCCATACTCCTCCAATCTGCCTTCACTCCCCAGCTCTCCCACACTAGCTGCCGTAGAGGCTACCATTGCCTCTGTGAGGCCCACAACTCCCGTCAAGCCAACTTTCCAACTGTTCTTCCTCTCTCGCCTCTCACCTTCCTTTTGGCTCTTTATCGCCATTCTTCTGCTTCAGCCTCCCATGTAACTGGGACTACAGGCGCCTGCCACCATGCCCGGCTAATTTTTTTTTTTTTTTTTAAGTAGAGATGGGTTTTCACCGTGTCAGCCAGGATGGTCTCGATCTCCTGACTTCGTGATCCACCCACCTCGGCCTCCCAAAGTGCTGGGATTACAGGTGTGAGCCACCGCGCCTGGCCAGAAGTCTCCTTTTATGGGAGTTGGAGATATGGCTTGTATAGAAACGGGGCTAGGAGATGTCAGGGAACACTCACACATGAATCAGTTTTATTCCTGTAGTCTTCGCAGTTAAAGTTTTTGTTTTTTCATTTTAGGGTCCTCCTCCTCCCCACTGCAGTGATAGTCTCCAAAGTGAGATTTGTGGGTCATAGAATAAATCTATAGTAGTGAATAGTTTTATTTAGGAAGTATTTCTACTGTTATTCTACTGTTTTTTTGTTTTGTTTTGTTTTGTTTTTTCAGATGGAGTTTTTGCTCTTGTTGCCCAGGCTGGAGTGCAATAGCACTCCGCAACCTCCGCCTCCTGGGTTCAAGCGATTCTCCTGCCTCACACTCCCGAATAGCTGGAATTACAGGCATGTACCACCATGCCTGGCTAATTTTGTGTTTTCAGTAGAGACGGGGTTTCTCCATGTTGGTCAGGCTGGTCTTGAACTCCTGACCTCACGTAATCCACCGGCCTCGGCCTCCCAGGCATGAGCCACCACGCCTCTAATGTTAAAATTTATGGAAGGCCATTGTTTTGGACTGAGCTCCTATACTAGGCCCCAACAGACCAAACCAACCCAGAATGGAGGCACTCTCACGTAATCAAACTGAACTTTAAAAAGTGCCAGTTTAAATTAAAAATGAAAACCAGGACCAAAAACAAAAACAAAAACAAAACAACAACAACAAAAACCCAAAACAGGAGATTCACAGCAACCAATCTGAAGGGCCCCAGTTTATCTGAGCTGGCGTAAGAAAGTCCCCTCTGTTTTAATCTTATGAGAAAAGTAACTCTGAAACAATCAATCCACTTTTTGTTCCTTATTTCTGCTTTTTTAAAAATTTTTTATTTTTTTTTTATTTTTATTGACAGGGCCTCTCTCTGCTGTCCAGGCTGGAGTGCAATGGCATGACCACAGCTCACTGCAGCCTCCACCACCTGGGCTCAAGCAATTCTCCCACCTCAGCCTCCTGAGTAGCTGGGACCACAGGCGTACACCACCATACCCAGCTAACTTTTTATTTTTTTGTGCAGATGGGGTGTTGCTCGGGCTGGTTTCAAATTCCTGGGCTCAAGAGATTCTCCTGCCTCTGCCTCCCAAAGTGCTGAGATTACAGACATGAGCCACCACACGGGGCCTATTTCTCCTTTCTTCAACACATTTCTGCCCCTGAAGCCAACCAACCTCCTCTGCTCAGCTCTGAGGAGCTCTTATCTGTTCTTTTGATGGGATGCTACCTGATTCATGAATCGCTAATAAAAGCCAATTAGATCTTTAAACGCAATTTGTTGACATTTTGTTTTTTAACACTACTAATTAAAAAATATATATCAAGTTGACCCTTGTGAAGCCAAAAAGAAAAAAAAAAATCAAATAAATTTAAAATACATTGTACAACTGTGATGAAGTTAACTTGTTGTAAGGCTTGCAAAAAATAAATTTTTCCTTTACGTGCCTTTTTAGGTAGTCAGTGTATTTTATGATTATGACTAAAATAATTATAAACAGATTATAAAATTCTGTTTATAGCCGGGCACAGTGGCTCTCGCCTGTAGTCTTAGCACTTTGGGAGGCCAAGGTGGGTGGATCACGAGGTCAGAAGTTCGAGACCAGCCTGACCAACATGGTGAAACCCTGTCTCTACTAAAAATACTAAAGTTAGCCAGGTGCGGTGGCGCGTGCCTGTAATCCCAGCTACTCGGGAGGCTGAGGCAGGAGAATCACTTGAACCCAGGAGGTGGAGGTTGCAGTGAGCCAAGATCACACCACTGCACTCCAATCTAGGCAACAGAGTGAGACTCCGTCTCAAAAAAAAAAATTCTGTTTATAATAACTGTACTGAATATATGTGAAATGCAATAATATACAAAAATACAACCAGCTCAAACTTCCCTATTTTCTCTTCCCCAATGGGCCAGGGAAGAAAAGAGATTAAGACTTCCAGTGAAGTAGCTCACTAAGCTGGTAGTGTTGTTCCCTTTTTCTCTTTTGGTTTTGGGCAGTCTCAAGGTGCTCATCCTTGGTCATTCCCTGATCTTGGGTGTTGTTCAGGGTAATCTCTGAGGAAAACTGTGAAGTAGCCAATTGTTGGACATACCCTGGCTTCCTTTGGCATTCACTTCCTCTCTTCAAGTCCTCCTTTATCAACACATCCTCTCCAATCATATCAGTCATTTACATACTAGTGAGAATTTACGCCAATATACTTTCCTTCTGAGGGATATTTGCTTGTAATACTTTATCTCCAATTGTGAATACAAGGATTTGTTTCTGGTCCTGCTGTTTTAAGCACTGATGGGATAATGCAGAAACTATTTGGGGGGAGGAGCTGCACAGTTATTTTATCTTAAAATTGTCTTTTATAAGCAGATATATTCTCAGTTTGTGAATATGGCCAGCTCCCAATTTATTGTTCACATGTGACTGCAAGTTTTGAGGTCACATGCACTTCTGTGTGCGCACTTAGGTCATGCACATGCTCCCATATAAATGTGAGAGAAGATAGGTGGCAAAGCATGGAATTTGCTGATTAGGGAAATAAATACTAGAAATAAATTACTAAACTCCCTTTCTATGCCATTGTCATGTCTTACTCGTAATGAATCTGCTATCAGACTAAACCTGGAGCTTTTTACATTTTGCTTTGTTTTGTGTTTCCAGTTTGACAAATGGACAGACTCTCAAAGAAGAAGAATCCTCACAGGCCTGTTGGAGCGCTGCTCGCTGTCCCAGCAAAAGTTCTGCTGTCGAAAGCTTCAAGAGAAAATTCCAGCAGAAGCCCTGGACTTTACAACCAAGCTTCCAAGGGTGTTATCTTTATACATCTTTTCTTTCCTGGACCCTCGGAGCCTTTGTCGTTGTGCACAGGTAAAGGCAAGGAAGGGGTATGTGGTGTTTTGTGAGGACAGCCTTAGGAAACTTGAAACTTGAAACTAGAAGTTAAGGGGAAACACAGGCATACACACACACACATATATACACATACACACAAACACACACAAATGTACACTTAGACACACATATACTCATAAACACACACATACACATATACACACATACATATACACACACACAAATACATACAAACACAAACACACAAACACACACATATACACACATATACACAAACACAAATATACACACAAACACACATACACATATACACACACACACAAACACACACAAACATACATATACACATGCACACACAAATACACGCACAAACACACAAACGTGTACACAAACACACACACGGACACACATAAACACACAAACACATACACAAACATACACACATATACACACACAAACACACATACACACACAAACATACACACACACACAAAACTAAGAAAGAGAAGGGATGATCAATATGTTTGTACATTTGGATTAACCTCCACCATCTTTGTGTCCAACTCTATTTAGAACTCAAATGGGGAAAAAAGTATAAGCCACATTAGTGTACAACAAAGAAGTATTAGCTAGTTGGGGAACTAAATATACATGTAAGAAATGGTTCATCAGCAGGACGGTCTTATACTGCACAGCATTCAGCTGCAATAAGGTCCTCAATTGTAGAGCACAGGGCATTCATGAATAAAAAAGCTCAAAATAAGGACCTAATGAGATATGTACAAAAGAGAATGAGACTAAAAGAGATCCAAGTGGGCAGGTGTGCTCATACAGGCCTTGGAAAAGGAGATGATTGTTCTGTTTTTTTCTTTTACAAGTAATTCTGTCCTGTATTAAAGTGAAGTTAAATTATTTTAGATATAAAACTGATAGTCATTTTGTTGAGTCTTTTCATAGAGTTTGGCAAGACCAGATATTACCTGCCAGTGTGCATTCATATATGTGTGACATGTTAACTTTAGTTTTTAAAATTAAGAAAATGAATGCGGGGCCGGGCGCGGTGGCTCACGCCTGTAATCCCAGCACTTTGGGAGGCAGAGGCGGGCGGATCACAAGGTCAGGAGATCGAGACCATCCTGGCTAACACAGTGAAACCCCGTCTCTACTAAAAATACGAAAAATTAGCCGGGCGTGGTGGCGGGCGCCTGTAGTCCCAGCTACTCGGGAGGCTGAGGCAGGAGAATGGCGTGAACCTGGGAGGCAGAGCTTGCAGTAAGCCGAGAATGCGCCACTGCACTCCAGCCTGAGCGACAGAGCGAGACGCCGTCTCAGAAAAAAAAAAAAAAAAAGAAGAAGAAGAAGAAAATGAATGCAGGAGAAAAGATGGGTCCGGGTGTGGTGGATCACACCTGTAATCCCAGCACTTTGGGAGGCCAAGGTGGGAGGATTGCCTGAGCCTAGGGGTTCAAGACTAGCCTGGGCAACATAGGGAGACCTCGTCTTTACAAAACATTTTAAAATTAGGTGGGTGTGGTGACGTGTGCCTGTGGTCCCAGCTACTTGGGAGGCTGAAGTGGGAGGATTACTTGAACCCAGAAGGTTGAGGCTTCAGTGAACTATGACTGTGCCACTACACAACAGCCTGGGCAACAGAGTGAGACTCTGTCTCAAAAAAAAAAGTATTATTCAATAAATGGTGTAGGGATAATTGAGCAACTCTCTGGAAAAAAAAATTTCAGTAGGATAAAAGACAGATAAAACCAAAGGAAACTATTAAAGTCCTCAAAGAAAACAGGAAAGGAAGCCTTTGTGAGTATTCCATGATACCCAGAAGTCTTAAAAGAAAATATGCAATTTAAAATCTTGCTTTCTTCATTTTATGTATCGTGAGCAAGAATGAAGAAGCAGATTTTTAAATTGTGACTATAAAAATTAAAATATTCTTCATGGAACAGAACGCCATAAATAAATCCAAACAGTAGGCAGGGAAAAAAATCGATTGCATGCAAAGGGCTAATTTCTTTATTTTTTTTCAAGAGCTCTTATAAATCTATATTAAGAAAAAAAAAAGACCAACAACCCAGCAGAAAAATGAGCAAAGGAAATGAACAAGTAATCTGCAGAAAAAGAAATGCAGATGTCTCTAGAATATGTAAGATGCTTAGCCTCATTATGGCATGCCATCTTTCTTGACTCAGATTGAGATTTGTTTTAAATGATAATATTCTATATTGGTGAGGATGTGGGGAAACAAGAACTTTCATATATTGCTGGTAGATAAATAGATGTAACCACCATGGAGAACCATTGGGCAGTGTTAACATTTCAAATAAAAATTCCCTTTGCCCCAGCAGTTCCAGTGCTTGGAATTTGTCTGATGGGTGTCCTGCAACATGGTAAAAGCCATACCTGTATAAGAATATTGCAGCATTGTCTGTCCTAGCAACAGGTTGGAAACAATGAAAATGTCTACCAGGAGGGACTGGGTAAATAAGTTGCAACTATCTCCACGACGCGTCATTGGTAAAAAAAAAAAAAAAAAAGCAGAGGTATAGAACTGTCCTACCATCTTATAAAGAATAAAGAATATATACGGCCAGGCACAGTGGCTTGCCTGTAATCCCAGCACTTTGGGAGGCCATGGCTGGCAATTGCTTGAGGCCAAGAGTTTGAGACTGGCCTGGGTATTATGGCAAGACCCCCATCTCTACAAAAAATACAAAAATTAGCCAGGTGTGGTGGCACGTGCCCATAGTCCCAACTACTCGGGAGGCTGAGGTAGGAGGATTGCTGGAGCCCAGGAGGTTAAAGCTGCAGCGAGCCAAGATTGCAGCACTGTACTCTAGCCTGGGAACATAGCAAGACCCTGTCTCTACAAAAGTTAAAAATTAGTCAGGTCGGCCAGGCGCAGAGGTGGCTCACACCTGTAATCCTAGCACTTTAAGAGGCCAAGGTGGGCAGATCACTTGAGGTCAGGAGTTTGAAAACAGCCTGGCCAATATGGTGAAAACTCATCTCTATTATAAATACAAAAATTAGCCCAGTGTGGTGGTGTGTACCTGTAATCCCAGCTATTTGGCGGGGCTGAGGCAGAAGGGTTGCTTGAATCTGGGAGTTGGAGGCTGCAGTGAGCCGAGATCATGCCACTGCTAGCCTGAGTCACAAAGTGAGACGCTGTCTCAAAAAAAAAAAAAAAAAAAAAATTAGCCAGGTATAGCGCATGTGCCTAGAGTCCCAGCTACTTGAGAGGCTAAGTAAGGCAGGAAGATTGCTTGCTTAAGGCTGGGGGGTTGAAGGCTACAGTAAGCTATGATCATGCCTCTGCACTCCAGCCTGAGCAACAGGGTGAGACTTTGTCTCAAAAAAAAAAAAAAAAAAAAATATATATATATATATATATACACACACATATATATTTGTTACTGTATGCCTAGAATATTCTGGAATTATATACCAGAAACTGGTAACAGTGGTCTCATCCAAGGAGAAGAATGGGTAACTGGGGGATAGTGATGGGAGAGGGACTTCCTTTGTTTCTTTGAATTTGGTATTAGTATGCACATACCTATTCCAAAAATGATTTTTTGTTTGTTTGTTTTTTGAGATGAAGTCTTGCTCTGTTGCTCAGGCTGGAGTGCAGTGGCACAATCTCGGCTCACTGCAACCTCCGCCTCCCGGGTTCAAGAGATTCTCTTGCCTCAGAATCTCGAGTAGCTGAGATTACAGCATGCGCCACCATGTCTGGCTAATTTTTGTACTTTTACTAGAGACAGGGTTTCACCATGTTGGCCAGGCTGGTCTCAAACTCTTGACCTCAAGTGATCTGCTCACCTTGGCCTCCCAGAGTGCTGGGATTACAGGCATGAGCCACCACACCTGGCCTGAAATGATTTTTTAAAAGAACATAGCAATCTGGATGCCTAGTAATAAGAGGGTATCAAATAGCCATATATGATGCATTATTATTATTATTATTATTATTATTATTATTATTATTATTATTTTTGAGACAGGGTCTCGCTCTTGTCGCCCAGGCTGGAGTGCAATGGCTCGATCTCGGCTCACTGCAACCTCCGCCCACCCCGGGTTCAAGCAATTCTCTTGCCTCAGCCTCCCGAGTAGCTGGGATTACAGGCGCATGTCACCACGCCCAGCTAATTTTTGTATTTTTAGGAAAGACGGGGTTTCGCCATGTTGGCCAGACAGGTCTGGAACTCCTGGCCTCGGGTGATCCACTCGCCTTGGCCTCTCAAAGTGCTGGGATTACAAGCGTGAGCCACTGCGCCCAGCCTATGATGCATTATTATGCAACCATTAGTAAACATGTTTTGGAAGAACAGAGATACTATAATATTTAAAATAAAGAAAGATTTTAAGTTATATATAGAGTTTCCCAATTTTCTTTTGTATATACTTCAAATAAAAACTGAAAGGAAAAGAACTCTACCAGGTTGTCAATAATGGTCATCTCTGATTTACGGGGTCATGGGTTAAACTTCTCAGAATTTTTCATTTTCCACAAGGATAATATTATTATTAGAGGGAAATGTTATTTGAAATAGCTAATTCTATCATCTGCATGCACTATAAGTCATAATTTCTTCTCACTACTGACCATGGGCAAGACACAGACCATCATTCTTCAGCCAGATTTAAAGTAAAACATATAAAGTCATTGCTGTTTTAAAAAGATGGAAGGTTGTGGAGGAATTGTGTCTTGTAAATTTGAAAGCTCTTACTTACCTTTCAATTCTCTTCATTCCTCTCTACCTTTAAACAAACAAAATAACACAAAAACACAAAAAACAAAAACTGTATTTGCCTTGGGAAGAAGAACAACTTAAGTACTCAGGTCAAAACGTGATCTAAAGAAGAGGAGAAACCCTGTCTCTACTAAAAATACAGAATTAGATGGGCATAGTGGCGCATGCCTGTAATCCCAGCTACTCGGGAGGCTGAGGCAGGAGAATCGCTTGATCCCGGGAGGCGGAGGTTGTAGTGAGCCAAGATCGCACCACTGCACTCCAGCCTGGGCAACAAGGGCAAAACTCTGTCTCAAAAAAAAAAAAAAAAAAAAAAAAAGAAGAAGAAGAAGAGGAGAAAAGGAATGAGAATTGAGAGACTTTTCTCCCCCTTCCCTTTCCCAAAAACTCCATCTCTCCATTGAATTCTGAGCTAATTTACCATGTGGAGATGAGGTGGGTGTTGTTTCGTTTCTGGGTCAAACAAACTAAATGTGATTTCTGTTGCTGCCTGCAGGGCTGTATCAAATCCTCTAAACTTTTTCCTCCTTCCCTAACCTTTCCTGAATCTATTATTTCTTCTAATTGTGCCCTACTCTTTCCTCAACATCTCATCTTCTGCACATAAAACAAACATAGTAGGAACTCAATAAATGGTGGGTGGAAGGAGGGAGGCAGAGAGTAATAGAAAAATAGGTGTATGGATAGCAAGGGCCATTACAGAGTGTTCCCCTTTTGGGGGTGAGGGGGCACTCAAAAATTATTAATTATTTAATTGATCTTGAAAAAGAGGCCAGTTTTCTAAGGGTGAAATTTGGGCTTGAAGGTTGTATGTCATCTTTGCAACTCTTACAACTAAGACACTGAATCCTTAGTTTCAGCTTTATATGTGAACTTGATCCTAGTTTCTGGCAAGACTTATTCAAACCCTTGGGTAAATTATTATAAATATTGCTACACATAGTAGGGCCATCTCTGCCATTTGCTGGATGGGTGGGATTAGCCATAATGCTGTGGAACTGGTATGTACATAATAAGTGCTTTATGCTTTGTAGAATCCTAAAGGCTCTATACATCACATAGTATCAGTGATTATATTCCATTTATAAAATTTATATTTAGTGAAATTGAAAGAATGGAGGTGATATGGTTGGGCTATGTCCCCACCTATGTCTCTTCTTGAATTGATGCTCCCATAATGCCCAAGTGTTGTGGGAGGGAATCAATGGGAGAAAATTGAACCATGGGGGTGGTTTCCCCCATACTGTTCTCATGGTAGTGAGTCATTCTTATGAGATCTGATAGTTTTATAAAGGGTTTCCCCTTTTGCTTGGCTTTCATTCTCTCTTGCCTGCCACCATGTAAGACATGCCTTTCCCCTTCCACCATGATTGTGAGGCCTCCCCAGCCACATGGAACTGTGAGTCCATTAAACGTCTTTCTCTTTATAAATTACCCAGTCTCAGGTATGTCTTTATCAGCAACGTGAAAATGGACAAATACACAAGGGAAAAGGAAGCACACCATGAAAAGAATAAAAAAAGTGCAGACCTGAGTTTATATAATCCTTATACAACTTTTATATGACCTTCAGAAACCTCTAGAAAGTTCCGAAGTCTATCTGAGCCTCAATTTCCTCATTTACAATATGAGAGTAATAATTGTACTTACCTCCCTAGGTTGCTATGAAGATAATTAATAGGTGCTCCATAAATGTTAATTGACTCTGATTCTAAATCTGAATTAGCATTTAAAGCAAATGCTACTTTACTTTAAATCTGCCTGGGTAGGAAACACTTCAGGTAGGAGGTAACCATTTAAGCTATGGTTTGGAGGCAAAGGACAAAAAAGTTTTCTCAGGTCCAGGATGACAGCTCAAAACCTAGAGAAAGTGGGCATGTAAACTGAAGGGGTTGTTTGATTTGGTTTTGTTTAATTGTAATTGTTTTTCCAGGTGTGCTGGCATTGGAAGAACCTTGCTGAGCTGGACCAGCTCTGGATGCTGAAATGTTTACGGTTTAACTGGTACATCAATTTCTCTCCAACTCCCTTTGAGCAGGGGATCTGGAAGAAGCACTATATTCAAATGGTGAAAGAACTTCATATTACCAAGCCTAAGGTGAATTTTAGACAGAAAGCCACAAGCTTGCAAACATTGGCTCTTTGCAAATTCTAGAACTAAGAATAAAGGATCAGACTGGAAGTTGGGGAAGGGAGGTAGTTCAAAGGACATATACTATGATTTCAAAATTCTCCTTTTCTGAGACTTGATAGTTGTTTTCAAGACATTCATGTTAGTTGAGAGCCCTCATTTGCCACTCCCAAACCACAGTTGCATCCCGGCGGTTAGGACCATGGAACTTCTTTCTCTGTCTAGGTCCCTGGTTTCTGTGTCTCTGACAGTGACATCAGACAGTTCTGACATGGGGACTCTGTGGGTAACATGAAGTATTTGTTACCTATGGGTCTTCAAGTTTTACTTTACTAATTCAAATTTTCTGTGATTCTACCAGGTGAGCTGAAGTTTATTTTTGTATCGTTTATAAGGAAAAGTTTTCTAATAAATGAGTCATCAGGGAAGGGCCTCATGGGCATATTAGAGTTCTTAGTTTTTGCTAGGAACTAAGCAATGTAGAGCACTTACATATATTCATAAAAAGTAAATAATGCAAGAATTTTTTTTTTCTAGTGGCTTCTTAGGCATTCTAACCAATGCTTATATTCATTCGTATAGTCCCAGCTAATGAGATAATTTATGGGAAAATTTTATGAGCCCTTTGTTTATAGCATTATCTATACACATGCAGAGTTGTGCATCATTTCATACAATAGATGAGTTCCTGAAAAATTATGTGTAAATTAAATTTTTAAAATGATTTTTTTAAAACCACAGGGGTATTAAAGCTTGTGAAAAAAACAGCAATGAATCCTGTTAAAATTGGAGAATCCTTTTGAAATATGAACAGTCGACTCCTAGCTTGCTTATTTTGGTTTAGGCTTTATTGTGTTTTCTTGAAATAGATTCCACCTACACTTAATACAGTAATAAACTATGCATAATTAATATTGTTACAATTGCAATGATAAAAGTCTTTCTGATTTCAGTAGTTGGTATGCTCCACGAGGATTTCTTTTAAAAAGAGAGTTTTAAGTGAAGAATTTTTAAAGTTCTCTTGAAAATTCCCGTAGCTCTGACTCCTTTCCTAGTGAGACTTCTCTTGCATCTCATTCTCAGTTAGGGAGCAATAGCTGAAGCTCAGGCTGTTCAGGGGCAGAAGAGAGAAAAGTGATTAACCAACTAGTAAAATGAAAAGAAGTTGTGAGTTTTATATATGTAACTGACTTTGGGGCCAGGCACAGTGGTTTATGCCTATCATCCCAGCACTTTGGGAGGCCATGGCGGGAGGATTGCTTGAGGCCAGGAGTTTGAGACCAGCTCGTATAACATAGGAAGACCCTGTCTCTACAGAAAATTTAAAAATTAGCTGGGTGCAGTAGCACACTCTTGCAGTTCCAGCTACTTGGGAGGCTGAGTTGGGAGGATCACTTGAGCTCAGAAGGTTGAGGCTGCAGTGAGCTGTGATTGTGCCACACTCCAGCCTGGGTGACAGAGCAATACTCTGTCTCAAAAAAAAAAAAAAATTAGCTGAGCATGGTGGCATGCACCTGTAATCCCAGCTACTCAGGAGGCTGAGGCAGGAGGATCACTTGAACCCAGGAGGTGGAGGTTGCAGTGAGCCGAGATCAAGCCACTGCACTACATCCTGGGCGATAGAGCAAGACTGTCTCAAAAAAAAAAAAAATCAATGTAATTCATGAAATAAAAGAGAAAAAAGTGCATGTTTCAGTAGCACATATACTAAAATTGGAATGATGCAGAGAAGACTTGCAAATTCATGAAGCATTCCATATTTTTTTTAAAGAGAGAAAAGATATATGATCACTTCAATATATCCAAACAAAAGCATTTAACAAAATTCAACATCTATTCATGATTAGGAAAATTCTCAAAAAGACTTCAGGTGATGTGAACAAAAATTTTGTTTACTTAATACAAATAAGTTATCACAGATTTCACTATTACCTATTTTGTTAAAGTGTAAGCATTTTGTACTATATAGAATTAATGATCCTTTTTTTTTTTTTTTTTTTTTTTTAAGACGGAGTCTTGCTCTGTCGCCCAGGCTGGAGTGCAGTGGCGCCATCTCGGCTCACTGCAAGCTCCGCCTCCCGGGCTCACGCCATTCTCCTTCCTCAGCCTCCTGAGTAGCTGGGACTACAGGCGCCTGCCACCATGCCCGGCTAATTTTTTGTATTTTTAGTAGAGATGGGGTTTCACCATGTTAGCCAGGATGGTCTCGATCTTCTGACCTCGTGATCCGCCCGCCTCGGCCTCCCAAAGTGCTGGGATTACAGGCTTCAGCCACCGCGCCCGGCCAGAATTAATGATTTTTTACATATAACTACTAGCATTTATGCCTAAAATTTCCCCCTGAAGTTATTTTTTATTATCATATGTTATTTATTCCCAGCAGTATTAAACTAGACCTCTTCCAGCAACAACAGATTTAATTCAATAGAAGCTCAGGGAAATGAAATGAATGTCCATTCTAAATGAGACTTGCACAAAATACTGAATACTAAACCAATAATGAGCTATCAATTATGTAAATATGAAATGTCTTCTTAATCTGCTTCTAGGTTACAGTCATTCATTGAATAAATAAATTTCACTCTGTCGCCCAGGCTGGAGTGCAGTGGCACAATCTCAGCTCACTGCAACCTCTGCCTCCGGAGTTCAAGTGATTCTCCTGCCTCAGCCTCCCAAGTAGCTGGGATTACAGGCATGCGCCACCACACCTGGCTAATTTTTTTGTATTTTCCGTAGAGACGGGGTTTCACCATGTTGGCCAGACTGGTCTCGAACTCCTGACCTCATGTGATCCACCCTCCTCGGCCTCCCAAAGTGCTGGGATTATAGGCGTGAGCCACCACGCCTGGCCTGAATAAATATTTATTAAACACTGTTGTGAGCTAATTGCTAAACATAGAAAGATCCCAACCCTGCTTTCACAGAGCCTAGTCTAGTAGCCCAGGACGTAGACAAATAAACAAATAATTACAACACTGAGTACTAAGCGTTATCCTGTAATAGAATTGTATACAAAGAGCTGTTGAAACAAGGGTGAGAAACTAACTGATTATGCTTGGGGGAACTGGGGAATTTCTTGATTTTCACCAGCAATGGAAGCAAACTGATTTACCAAGCAAAGCTTCCCTAATCTCTTAATTAACAAAAATTAAGCCCTTAATGGCTTCTCAACATACCAGTAGTACTTTCCTTAGGCTACAACCACATAAAAACGTTATGAATTTCACACACACAAGACAGGCTTTCAGTTTTGGAGATTAAAGCAAAGTATTCTTTGGGAGTGGTTGAGGTTTTGATAATTGATAAAATTTCTAGTCTACCTCTCTGCAACTCAAAGTTGTTTCTATGTGTTAGAAGTCATGAGAGCTGGAGTACTTTTTTGGGGGAATGTGTACTTTTTATGAATAAATTAGCTGCAGTTGTGACAAACTAGACAATGGCAGAGTACAAGAGTAGGATAGGGAGGTCTTATGTGTGGGCTTGAAGCAAGACAGTCCTGTATTCAAATTCTGGCCCTCCAACTTACTACTTTTGTAGTAGTGGGCAAATTAATTAGTTTCTCCTATATTCTATTTCCTCTTCTGCAAAATGGAAGTAGTAATGATTACCTTATAGAGTTATTGTGAAGGTTAAACAATATAATGCATGAAAACTGCCTCAGACAGTGACTGCAACATGGCAAGTACTCCTGGAGTGGTGGCTGCTATAATCATTATCACCATGGTAATGGTGATCGTGATGATGACGATGATGACATTGGTGATGGTGATGATGATGGCAATGATGATGATGATGATATTCCTTTTTTTCTTTTTTTTTATTTTTTTATCCTTCAGCCAACTCACATCAATATATTCTTTGTTTTGTTGTTGTTATTATTATTATAGTGTGTGGTTTTTTTGTTTGTTTGTTTTGTTTTGTTTTGTTTTTTGAGATGGAGTCTCGCTCTTGTCACCCAGCCTGGAGCGCAAAGGCACCATCTTGGCTCACTGCAACCTCCGCCTTCCAGGTTTAAGTGATTCTCCTGCCTCAGCCTCACGAATAGCTGGGACTACAGGTGCCCGCCACCACACCCGGCTAATTTTTGTATTTTTAGTAGAGACGGGGTTTCACCATGTTGGCCAGGCTGGTCTCGAACTTCTGACCTCAGGTGATCCGCCTGCCTTGGCCTCCCAAAGTGCTGGGATTACAGGCGTGAGCCACCGCACCCAGCGTATTATAGTGTTTTGAGAACATAATTAACTTTCTTCTTCTAGACACCCCCAAAGGATGGATTTGTAATCGCTGACGTTCAACTAGTTACAAGCAATTCTCCAGAGGAAAAACAGTCCCCTTTATCAGCTTTTCGGTCCTCTTCCTCTTTAAGAAAGAAGAATAACTCAGGGGAGAAAGCACTTCCACCCTGGCGATCTTCTGATAAGCACCCAACAGATATCATTCGTTTTAATTACCTAGACAACCGTGACCCCATGGAGACTGTCCAGCAAGGGTAAGAAGCTCCATGCTCTTCTCAACTTCTTCGTTTTTAGAAATAATTTATTGGCATTTCAGTATACGAAGAGATGGAAATAGAACTTACTGTGAAATACAAAAGCTTTTCAGTACATAGAAGCAAAAAGTAATAGAGCAGGATACTGACCATTACTAGCAAATTTGCTCTATTGGTTACAGTTTGTTTGCATTTTGTAATAGTAATGATTTAACATTGCTTCTTCTAATTTTTTTTTTTTTTTTTTTTGAGACGTAGTCTGGAGTCTTGCTCTGACACTCACCCAGGCTGGAGTGCAGTGGTGCAATCTCAGCTCACTGCAACCTCCACCTCCCGGGTTCAAGCGATTCTCCTGCTTCAGCCTACCAAGTAGCTGGGGCTACAGGCGACCGCCACGATGCCCAGCTAATTTTTGTATTTTTAGTAGAGACAGGGGTTTCACCATGTTGACCAGGCTGGTCTTGAACTCCTGACCTCAGGTGATCCACATGCCTCGGCCTCCTAAAGTGCTGGGATTACAGGCATGAGCAACTGTGCCTGGCCTCTTCTAATATTTTAATATTAAATTGCAGTCCAGCACCAAAGGGTTCATTCTAGCCTTTATTCTTTCTGTATTTGTGACTCCCTTTTCTGATGGTAAGAAACCTGACACTCATTAGATTTACTGATTGTAATATATATATATAAAATATTTACTTATAAATACATTCCGAAAGTAAAGCTGAGTAAGGTGGCATGTGTCGGTAATCATGGCACTTTGGGAGGCCGAGGCAGGAGGATCACTTGAGCCCAGAAGTTTGAGACCAGCCTGTGCAATATAGCTAGACCCTATCTCAAAAAACAAAAAACAAAAAAAAAAAAAACAACAACAAAGAGACAGAAAGAGAGAAAGAAAACAAAGAAAAAAGATTTTTGGTTCTTTGACAAACACACCAGAAATCTCTTCATGAGTATCTTTCAAACCTAAAAACATCCTGTCAGGAGCCAATAGGGCTCTAGTACAATATCTTAAGCTGAAAGTGACTCTTCAGCTCTCCCCAGAGATGCAGAATATGTGAAACAGCCTTGGATCTTTGGGGTTTCCTGGTGGAGCTCCTTTGTTGTTTATTAAAATATTGTACTTGAAAGAAGTCTGGGTGAGTGCGGGGATGGAGGTGCCTCTTTCTCGCTTAAATGTTTCCCTTAGTAAAGGACATTACCTTTCACTTCTAAGATGAATGAAACACAAATCAAGGACCATTGGACTGGATCTGTCAAGGATTTAGGCATTTTTTAAAAATTGCTAAGCCTTTTAAAAAATTATTATTTTTATTTTTTGTAGAACGGGGTCTCATTATGTTGCCCAGGCTGGTCTCTAACTCCCAGACTCAAGCGATCAGACTCAAGTGATCCTCTCACTTCGCCCTCCGAAAGTGCTGGGATTACAGGCATGAGCCACCGTGCCTGGCTAGTTGTTAGGTCTTCATAAGTTTTGGTGCCTACTGCTGGCATCATGGACAGTGCCAGCCCAGTACAAACCAGCACATAGGTACAAGAAAGGCTGAGGTATTACTCCACAGAGGTCCAATTTCAGAGGCACATAATTGAGATCAGAGTCCTGGGAATGGAGCAAGCCAGAGAGACTGAGCTGGAGTCAGGTTGGTGACAGAAAAATCAAGAGATAGTGCAAAGATTAAACAAATGAAACGGAGCAACCCTGAAGCTCATTTCCCCAAGTAGACCTGACACCCGAGACATTCACTCTCTTGATAGCATCTTTTAGAGCACAAAAGTTTTCAATTTTGATGAAGTCCAATTTGTCTAAATTTTTGGTGTCACATCCAAGAAATCATTGCCAAATCCAATGTCACGGCAATTTTCCTGTATATTTTCTTCTAAGAGTTTTGTGATTTTAGTTCTGCAGTTTAGGTCTTTGACCCATTTTGAGTTAATTTTTGCATATGGTATAAAGTTGGGGTCCAACTTCATTGTTTTGCATGTAGATATCCCGTTTCCCCAGCACCATTGTTGAAAAGACTGTCCTTTGCCCCACTGAATAGTCTTGACACCCTTGTTGAAAGTCAATAGACCATATATGTGAGGGTTTTAACTCTGGGCTCCTTATTCTATTCTATTGGTCTCTATATTGGTCTTTACACCAGTATGACACTGTTTTGATTATTGTAGCTCTGTAGTACATTTTAAAACCAGAAAGTGGGAGTCCCCCAATTTTGATCTTCTTTTGGGACGTTTATGCAAATCGCCCTTCTTTTTTTTTTTTTTTCTTTTTTTTTTGAGACAGTCTTGCTCTGTCACCCAGGCTGGAGTGCAGTGGCATGATCTCGGCTCACTGCAACCTCTGCCTCCTGGATTCAAGCCATTCTCCTGCCTCAGCCTCCCTAGTAGCCAGGAGTACAGGCACGCACCACCACGCCCAGCTAATTTTTGTATTTTTAGTAGGGACGAGGTTTCACCATGTTGGCCAGGCTGGTCTCGAACTCCTAACCTCATGATCCTCACACCTCAGCCTCCCAAAGTGCTGGGATTACAGGCATGAGCCACCGCACCTGACCCGTATCACCCTTCTTTATTGGGCCAAGGGAGCTGAGCTGAGAGGTTGGAGTGAACTCCCAAGAAGATCAGGCCAGGTGTGGTGGCAAACACCTGTAATCCCAGAACTCTGGGTGGCTGAGGCAGAAGTATCACCTGAGTCTAGGAGTTTGAGACCAGTCTGGGCAACATAGCAAGAACCTGTCTCTATAAAAATAAAATAAAATTAGCCAAATGTGATGTTGCATGCCTGTAGTCCCAGCTACTCAGGAGGTTGAAATGGGAAGATTGCTTGAGCCCAGGAAGTGGAGGCTGCAATGAGCCATGGTTGTGCCACTGCACTCCAGCCTGGGTGACAGAGCAAGACCCTGTCTCAAAAAAAAAAAAAAAAAAAAAAAAGAAGTCTACATATTGCATTCGATCTACATGTCACTTCAGCATTTTCTTTTCTTCTGTTTTGTCCATAGATTTCCCCTCTGTCCTTTTTTTTCCTTGCAATTTGTTTGTTATAACTATCAGATCATTTATCCCAGAGAGCTTCTCACATTCTGGATTTTGTGGATTGCACCGCCCACATGCATCTTAACAGGTTCTTCTGTCCCCCGTACCTGGTTATACTGACAGTCAGACCTAGAGGCTTACGTATATACTGAACAGGGATATGTACTTCCGTCACAACGCACATCATTTCTGGTTGTCTGTCTCGTGTTGGTAGCCATGGATACTCATCGCCTAGATCCATTACATCAGGCAAACTTTTCCTGTAAATGGCAAGGCAGGAAATATTTTAGTCTTTGCAGGGCATATGGTCTCTGTCACAGCTGCTCAACTCTGCCATTGTAGCCTGAATATAGTAATAGACCATGTGCAAGAAATAAGCATGACTATGTTCCAATAAAACTTTATTTACAGAAATAGGCAGCAGGCTGGATTGAGCCTGTGACTGTGGTTGGAGGATCCTTGCTTTATCGTAATACATACAGGAGTTTTAGAAAAGAAATGCTAACATTAAAGCAAGTGGTATGATTACTGAAAACAGTTTGACTTCCCTGTCTGTGTTTTTATCTCTCAGATATATTCTATCAAGAATATTCAGACAAATTACTGCATTAAATTCACATGAAGTAACTCCTTTGTGTGTAGTAATGCCACCAACTCAATAGATATATATTTGTTTCATTTTGCTTTTCAGATTTTAGGTATTTTTCACTTCATTTTGTTTTATGATTTTGAGAAAAATTTAGATGATTCCAAAATTAAATATACAAAATAAGCTATACTTGGAGAAATCTAACTTTTGGTTCCTGTTCCTCCATATTACCTGTTCCTTTTTTTTCTTTTCTTTCTTTCTTTCTTTTTTTTTTTTTTTTTTTTGATTTAGGGTCTCACTCTGTTGCCCAGGCTAGAGTGCGGTAGCACAGTCATGGCTCACTGCAGCTTGGACCTCCAGGGCTCAAGCGATCCTCCCACCTCAGCCTCCTGAGTAGCTGGAACTACAGGCATGCACCACCATGCCCAGCTAAATTTTTTAATCTTTTGTAGAGATAGGGTCTCACCATGTTGCCCAGGTGGGTCTCAAACTCCTGGACTCAAGTTATCCTTCCCTCTCGCCTTTCCAAAAAGCTGGGGTTACGGGCATGAGTCACCGTGCCCAGCTCACATTCCCTGTTTTTGATCAGTTCACATGGGAATCCTACTTACAGGTAACTATTTTTCATTTTATGGTTTAATCTTTCCATTTTATTTTATTATTATTTTTTTGAGACGGAGTCTCACTCTGTCGCCCAGGCTGGAGTGCAGTGGTGTGATCTTGGCTCACTACAACCTCTACTTCCTGGGTTCGAGTGATTCTCCTGCCTCAGCCTCCCAAGTAGCTGGGACTACAGGTGTGTGCCACCACGCCTGGCTAATTTTTGTATTTTTAGTAGAGATGGGGTTTCACCATGTTGGCCAGGCTGGTCTCGAACCCCTGACCTCAGGTGATCCACCCGCCTTGGCCTCCCAAAGTGCTGGGATTACAGGCGTGAGCCACCCCATCTGGCCATACTCCTTCCATTTTAAAAAGTACAAGTAAATACATATGCACAATATATAGAGGCAGAGATCTTAATACCTTCTTCTTGAAAGGAATGGCAGCACCCAGTACATACCGTCTCATCCACCCTTCTTTCTTAATGTAACAGTATATCCTGGAGATCCTTCCACAGTTGAATATAGAAACATCCTGCTTTCCATTTGCAGCTCATAGTACTGCATTGTGTGGAGATGCAGGAGTTGATGCAACCAGTTCTCTATTGATAGACATTTGGCTTATTTCCAGTTAAGTGGAGACAATCTTTTAAATCACAGGAACAACAAACTCAAACAGACAAATAGCTATGCAAACCACCTGAGTTTTAAAAAGATACTTTGTAATTTTCCCACTGCTTTCCAATTTACAGAAGAAGAAAAAGAAACCAAATGACCCCAGACTTCAGCCGACAGTCACATGATAAGAAAAATAAATTGCAGGACAGAACTAGGCTAAGAAAAGCACAATCAATGGTAAGTATTGTTTATGAAAGATTCATCACCATAACATTAATGAAAATCTCCAGATCTCTAATCCTATTTGCAAAATTGAATTCATTTATTTAATCAGAATCATGGAGTGGTGATTTAAATTCGGGTTTCTGACACTGACTGGCAGAGAAGCCATGACCTTGAAGATACACTTTATTTAATCTCTCTGAGCCTCTGTTTTCTCATCTGTTAAAAAAAGAAAAAGACTGGATGAACTGATGTGTATGAAATTGCTTTGAAAACTGTATGATATAAGGGGAGTTTTTTTGTTTGTTTGTTTAAGACAGAGTCTTGTTCTTGTCTTCCTGGCTGGAGTGCAATGGCATGATTTCGACTCACTGCAACCTCCGCCTCCTGGGGTTCAAGTGATTCTCCTGCCTCAGCCTCCCAAGTAGCTGGGATTACAGGTGCCACCACCATGCCCAGCTAATTTTTGTATTTTTAGTAGAGACGGGGTTTCTCCATGTTGACCAGACTGGTCTCCAACTCTTGACCTCAGGTGATCCACCTGCCTCGGCCTCCCAAAGTGCTGGGATTACAAGCATGAGCCACCGCGCCTGGCCAAGGGGAGTATTTTTTTATCAGTGGTTCTTTCTTCTGCTGAGTCCTTTGGGGCAGGGGGAGGTGCTATCAGAAATTGCTGTCTGTAAGTGAAGGTTCTCCTCATCTAAGTGCATTTAGGCCAGGCATGGTGGCTCACGCCTGTAATCCCAGTACTTTGGGAGGCTGAGGCAGGAGGATCACTTGAGGTCAGGGATTCGAGCGCAGCCTGGGCAGCATGGCGGAACCCTGTCTCCACTAACAATACAAAAATTAGCTGGGCGTGGTGGCACATGCCTATGGCGGGTGCGGGGGAGGCAGGAGGATGGTTTGAACCTAGGAAGCAAAGGTTATAGTCAGCCAAGGTCGCACCACTGCACTCCAGGCTGGGCAACAGCGTGAGACTCTGTCTCAAAAAAAAAAAAAAAAAAAAAAAGGAAAAATGCATTTAAAGTAACTTTGGAAAAAATGAATTAAGAACTTTTCCCTTCCTAATTAAAAAACAGCGAATTGACTACCTAATAAAGCCAGTAATTGTGACTAGGGAGCATTATCATTGCCTAGCAGAGTTTCCCAAATCGTGGCTCCGAAGCCCTGTGGCTCTCTTTCAGCACATTATGCAAGTCTTTGGCACGAAGTAGAAAGGAATAAGGGTGGAATTCAAAGTTCATATATAGTAGTAAGGATTTAGAAAAGAGATGAAGATACACACTCAAGGAAAATTAATATAAAATGGATGTCAGCTGGGAGAGGAATAAGTACGTACTCAGGAATAAATCACTTTTATAGCTCTGCTTTAAAGCTCTATTACTTTCTGTTAAAATGTATTTTCAAGTGTTATGTTGCAAAAAAAAGAAAAAAGAAAGAGAGAGAGAGATGAGCTTCTTTAAACAGGGCCATCTGAATTCTGTAGGGCCAGTTTTGTTGGACTGGATGAGGCTTACCATAGACATGTGTCCTGATGCCCAAGGGAACGGGGGAGCTTAGAGCAAAGCAGTAAAATTGTCAGTGAAGCCATTAATTGAGAAAAATAACTTTATGAGGCTTATCACATGGGCCATTATGTCGTGCTTCTGCCTGGTTTCCAGCCCCTGATAGGCAAGGAGTGGAAGAGAAGTCCATGGGAGAACGGGGAATTTGAAGGACAATAAAAGTTGATGGTGATACATGCTGAGAAATTATCAGCACAGTCAAACATTTCTCCTGCTTCGAAAACACAAAACCCAAAGCTAAGCCATCCCCATGGGCTTTTGACATTAACCATCTGTCAAACCCTAGCAGGAACTGCTTAAGTGAAAGCATTCATTATAAATTAAAAAGTTAAAAAGTTGCGCTAATTAAGCCTGAAAGGGAAACCAGGGTACATTAAGCAGTGAGAGAAGAATAGCTCTTCGTGAATGGGACTCATGATTGTATCTGTCTATTCTTGTGTTTTTTGTAAATATACTAATTATAATCACTATTTATGTTTCGTAGTTTTGATAAAGAGCATACGGCATCATTAAATCCCCCAAAAAGTATGCTGCGATATTTTGACTCATGCCGGTGATGAGCTTGCCAAGGACAAGCTTGGCTGTTTGGGATACAAGGCGGGTGTGACTCAGTTCCTCTCTCCACAGGATGGTAGTTTGCCCTCATCGGCCTCCTAAGTGATGCAAGATGATTGTGAAAATGAAGAAATAGGCCGGGCACGGTGGCTCACGCCTGTAATCCCAGCACTTTGGGAGGCCGAGGTGGGTGGATCACGAGGTTAGGGGATTGAGACCATCCTGGCAAATACGGTGAAACCCTGTCTCTACTAAAAATACAAAAAAAAAAAAAAAAAAAAAAAAAGTCCGGGCGCGGTGGCTCACACCTGTAATCCCAGCACTTTGGGAGGCCGAGGTGGGCAGATTGTGAGGTCAGGAGATCGAGACCATCCTGGCTAACACGGTGAAATCCCGTCTCTACTAAAAAAAATACAAAAAATTAGCTCGGCGAAGTGGCGGGTGCTTGTAGTCCAAGCTACTCGGGAGGCTGAGGCAGGAGAATGGCGTGAACCCAGGGCGGAGGCTGCAGTGAGCCAAGATCACGCCACTGCACTCCAGCCAGGGCAACAGAGCAAGACTCCGTCTCAAAAAAAAAAAAAAAAGAAAAGAAAAAATTAGCCGGGCATGTTGGCACACGCCTGTAGTACCAGCTACTCTGGAGGCTGAAGCAGGAGAATTGCTTGAACCCTGGAGGCGGAGGTTGCAGTGAGCCGAGATCGCGCCACTGCACTCCAGCCTGGGTGACAGAGCAAGACTCCGTCTCAAAAAAAAAAAAAAAAAAGAAGAAATATTGGATGTGAGGCAAGAGAAGAGGAAATGGATACTGAGGAAATCCAGTCAGGGGAACAAAGGAAAGTGAGGGTAAAACTCTGGTAACAGCCGCCATAGAGTGAATTTGTTACACTAGACACAGCCTAGGTGTGATTCCAGTGCAGAAAATCATGTATTCATTTGATACATGAATGTTACCAGAAAGGGTCTGGATCCAGACCCCCAGAGAGGGTTCTTGGATCTAGTGCAAGTTCATACAGTGAAAGCAAGTTTATTAAGAACCTAAAGAAATAAAAGAATGGCTACTCCATAGACAGAGCAGCCCCGAGGGCTGCTGGTTGCCGATTTTTATGGTTATTTGTTGATTGTATGCTAAACAAGGGGTGGATTATTCATGTCTCCCGCTTTTAGACCATATAGGGTAATTTTCTGACGTTGCCATGGCATTTGTAAACTGTCATGGCAGTAATCGGAGTGTAGCAGTGAGTATGACCAGAGGTCATTCCTGTCGCCATCTTGGTTTTGGTGGGTTTTGGCCGGCTTTTTTATTGCAACCTGTTTTATCATTAAGGTCTTTATGACCTGTATCTCGTGCTGACCTCCTATCTCATCCTGTGACTTAGAATGCCTTAACCGTCTGGGAGTGAAGCCCAGTAGGTTTCAGCCTCATTTTACCCAGCTCCTATTCAAGATGGAGTTGCCCTGGTTCAAACACCTCTGACAGAAAGTTCCCCCATCATTTGGACAGGTTTATGGAGGAAGATTTCAGGAGGACCTAGAGAAGCAGGTGAGCAGGACAAACTTAGGGGAGCACCTTCTAAAGGCAAAGATGAAAGTGACATACCCCCAAACCCTGACCCCCAAACCTAGGAGGTTACCTGAGACCTGAACACTTGAAGATTCCTCACGCCTAATATCAGGAAAGAGGCTTTGTTAAATGGAGAGGGCAGGAAGAGAGAAGATAATGGGAGAATAAAAGAGGACACATGGCCAGGGGGCAGTGGCTCATACCTGTCATCCCAGCACTTTGGGAGGCTGAGATGAGAGAATAATTGAGGCCAGGAGTTTGAGACTAGCCTGGGCAACACAGCAAAATCCCATCTCTACAATAAAACATTTTTTAATTAGCTGGGCATGGCAGGGGCATGCACCTGTAGTTCCAGCTACTCTGGAGGCTGAGGTGGGAGGATCACTTGAGCCCGGGAGTTTGAAGCTGTAGTGAGCCATGATCTCACCACTGCAGTCCAGCCTGGGTGACAGAGCGAGACCCTACCTAAAAAAAAAAAAAAGTACAAGTAATATTCCTTAGTCCATCTCTCTGGGGATGTGGCTGTCAGATCACTGACACCAGCCTCCCTTTTTGCCTGTCATTACTTAGAGCCTTCAGATGTGAGCGCTGTCTCCAAAAACAGAACCATACTTGGGGAAACGGTTTCACATCTTGCACATGTTGCGGTGAGCTTGTCATGTTTCCTATTATTTGATGAGTTTGAGGTTTCAAAACCCGCCACCTTGAAAGTGTGCCTGATTTGCTCTTCTGCTTTTGATTCTAAAGCGGACCCCAAGTGCTGCCTTAGTCAGAACCACTTAGTCTAACCACTTTTTAGGGTGAATGATTGATGAAAGATGGGCTGGGCGAGGTGGCTCACACCTGTAATCCCAGCACTTTGGGAGGCTGAGGCAGGCGGATCACCTGAGGTCAGGAGTTTGAGACTAGCCTGGCCAACATGGTGAAACCCCATCTCTACTAAAAATACAAAAATTAGCCAAGTGTGGTGGCGGGCACCTGTAATCTTAGCTACTTGGGAGACTGGGGTAAGAGAATCACTTGAACCCAGGAAGCAGAGGTTACAGTGGCTTGAGATCGCACCATTGCGCTCCAGCCTGGGCGACAGAGCAAGACTCTGTCTCAAAAAGAAGAAAAAAGATGGGAATAAAGCTTAGACCTGATTGCTAATCCTTTACAGTTTTGAAGGCTCCTTATGAAAATTATGTAAATGTCAAGACACTCCCATTACAATTAGTTATGAGAACAAGATTCCATATAAAACAAAGCAATTAAAAATACAAATTCCGGCCGGGCACAGTGGCTCACGCCTGTAATCCCAACATTTTGGGAGGCCGAGGAGGGCAGATCACGAAGTCAGGAGTTTGAGACCGGCCTGGCCAACGTGGTGAAACCCTGTCTCTACTAAAAATACAAAAATTAGGCATGGTGGTGCATGCCTGTAATCCCAGCTACTTGGGAGGCTGAGGCAGGAGAATCGCTTTAACCCGGGAGGCAGAGGTTGCAGTGAGCTGAGATCGCGCCACTGCACTCCAGCCTGGGTGACAGAGCAAGACTGTCTCAAAAAAAAAAAAAAAAATACACACACACACACACACACACACACACACACACATATATATATACACTGTGGAGTTTATATATATATATATAAACACACATATATATACACACATTATATATATATATAAACTTCACAGTAGTCAGATACCATCTTCATTAAACTTCAAAGATTTTCAACCTTGTGTAAAGACATACAATATTTTTTTTTTAGTTTTTTTTTTTTTTTGAGACGGAGTTTCACTCTTGTTGCCCAGGCTGGAGTGCAATGGCGCGATCTCGGCTCACTGCAACCTCCACCTCCCAGGTTCAAGCGATTCTCCTGCCTCAGCCTCCTGAGTAGCTGGGACTACAGGCACCTGCCACCACGCTTGGCTAATTTTTGTATTTTTAGTAGAGACAGGATTTCGCCATGTTGGCCAGGCTGGTCTCAAACTCCTGACCTCAGGTGATCCACCCACCTTGGCCTCCCAAAGTGCTGGGATTACAGGCGTGAGCCCCTGCGCCCAGCCCTATATTTTTAATTTTAACAGCAGATGCATGTAATTCTTAGGGAAGGAAGGAGCTGTCTTCTTGAGGGAGAGACTTTGCTAAACTCATAGGGAGAGAGGAGGCCTTGAGAGCAAGGATGTCAGCAGACTCTAGGACTTCAGAGGCAGGGAAAACCTGCTGGTCTAGAGATTAGGGGACGAATTTGTTGTTTCTGCTCCTGGAAGGGAAGAGGTGGAGGAGGAGAGGGAGTAGGGAGGAAAGAGGTAGGAGGAAGAGGAGGAGAGAAGCCAACATTAGGTAGGGGAGAGAGGCGGGAACAGTATTAGATACCACCTGTTCCAATTAAACCTGTTTGCCGTTACTGGGATGTAAATACCTCCCTCCATCTCTGCAGTAAATTCTACTCCATTTACACATGGAAGCAAGATCTTAGAAGTCTAGAAAGCTATGAAAATGAACACTCCTTAGGACAATTCACAGAAAACAAGGAGATGGGCTTTGAACTTCCGAGGCCCTGGAATTGGGCTAAGGGGACCCTAGCTGACATCTTGTTTCTTTTCTTTGTTTTTTCCTTTATCAAGTATAAACACAAATACCCTTTGTCTAGCACTGAACTTTTACTTGGGAGTTAGATGTCCTCACTTTCTAGGTCCTGGTTCAGCCATGGATTTCAAAAAGCCTGCCGTTTCAGAGCATTCACTTAAATACAAGTAACAAAAGTCTTTAATTGCCTGCTTACCCTGATTGCCTTAGATTAGCCCTTATCTTTTCCTGTGCTCTGCTAATTCCAGCCTCTGAAATTACCTTCTTCACCTCTTTCCAGGGATAACTTTACTCTTAGTGTCCTGATTTTTTAAAGTGCTTCTTCAAGCTTTCTCACCTTTTTTCCTTCACTCAAAAGGGGTGGGGGGGAACCACACACAGGAATATACTCTAAAGTGATTCCTGGATCATATTGTGGAATGAACAATGGTTTAAGAATCAGGAAACCCCAGTTCTAGTTTCAACTGTACCACTAATGAGTAGTCACTCAAATTCCCAGAGTCTTTGTTTCCTCATTTATAAAATGAGAGTTTGGTGGGTCCAGTGGCTGGGAAACCCCAAGGATGGAGGAGGCCGAGGTGGAAGGATGGCTTGAGGCCAGGAGTTTGAGACCAGCCTGGGCAACATAGTGAGACCCTGTCTCTGCAAAAAAATAAAATAATTAGCAAGGTGTGGTGTCGCATGCCTGTAGTCCCAGCCACTTGGAAGGCTGAGGTAGGAGGATCACTTGAGCCCAGGAGGTTAAGGGGGCAGTGAGCCATGATTGTGCCACTGCATTCCAGCCTGGGTGACAGAGCACTTAAATAAATAATAATAATAATAATAGTAATAAAATAAAATGAGAGTTTGCTATGGGGCCCCATGGGTTTCTAAGCATTCACACCCCTTTCTCCCCGATGCCTGAAGAACACAGCTGTAATTAAAATGGCTTTATGCAGAATACAAAAAAAAAAAAATCCGTTACATTCATGAATCCTAATTTAAAACCAACACAAACTATTTTATGTTTCCAGTCTTTTTCTTTGAACTTTAGGAAGTATAATGAACCAAAACAGAAGAATTTATAGAACAGAGTTTCTGCAGAAGCTTCCTTGCAGGCAATCTTTGATATACTTCTTATCAAATTCTGATGCACTTCTCAGGTGTTGGGGGTTTTTTAAATTTAAATTTAATTTTTTTTTTTTTGAGACAGGGTCTCACTCTGTCACTCAGGCTGGAGTGCAGTGGCGTGATCACAGCTCACTGCAGCCTCAACAACTCCCAGAGCTCAGGGGATCCTCCCACCTCAGCCTCCCAGGTAGCCGGGACCTGTGCACCACCAAGTCTGGCTAATTGTGGTTTTTGGGGGTATTTTTTGTAGAGACAGGGTCTCGCTATTTTGCCTGGGCTCGTCCCAAACTCCCGGCCTCAAGCGATCCTCCTGCCTCAGCTTCCCAAAGTGCTGGGATTACAGGCATGAGCCACTGTGCACGGCCGGGTGTTCATTTTATAACAATGTCTGTTTGGTTTGAATGTGCAGAACCAAAAATATCCATTGGAGAGGTTTTTAACTATTTAATTCAAGCAATGAAATTCCTGGGAATTCCATTTGGAAGGAAGAATAACAAAGAATATGGGCTTTGCAGTCAGACAGACCTGGGCTCTTGTACTAAACAATATGACTTCAGATAAGTTACTTAACCTCTCTAGGCCTCAGTTTCTTCATCTGTAAAATGGGAATAATGACACCTACCTAAATCCCCAGTATATTATATTTAGCATGTAATATGTGTTCGTGCTCTCATTCAATATTATTTTTCTATTTTCTTTTCTTTTCTTTTCTTTTTTTTTTTTTTTGAGACAGGTTCTCACTCTATTGCCCAGGCTGGAGTGCAGTGGGGCCATCTCACTGCAACCTCTGCCTCCTGGGTTCAAACGATTCTCCTGCCTCAGCCTCCCAAGTAGCTTGGATTACAGGCACTTGCCACCACGCCCGGCTGATTTTTGTATTTTTAGTAGAGATGGGGTTTCACCATATTGGCTAGTCTGGTCTCAAACTCCTGACCTCAAGAAGTCCATTTGCCTCAGCCTCCCAAAGTGCTGGGATTACAGGCATAAGCCACCACACCTGGCCTATTTTGCTTTCTAAGGACACAGATTGGGATGCAAATAGCCTAAGTTCAATGCCCATCGTACCACTATTTTAGTAGTCTGGTGATTTTGGCCAAGTTGTGTAACCTCTCTGAGCCTCTTTTTCCTCATGTGTAACATGGAGTTAGTAACAAGACTAACGAACGTCACTGAATTGGGAGGAGGATGTAAAGCATTAGCACAGTACCTAGCTCAAAGCTAGTGGTAGTAATAGTAGTAGTAACAGCAGTAAAAATCATACTAAGCCATCACCCTGAGCCCACAAGGAAAGATGAGAGAAATCTGATGGTGAGCTGTGGCTGAGAGACAGGTGGAGGAGGGACCTGCCAGGCAGCCAGAAGGCATTGGTGGGAGGCCCTGGCCCATAGAACAAGAGTCTCCTTTTTGCTTTTTCCTTGACCGTCCCCATTTCTCTTCTTCTTCCCCCTTTGTCTTTTCTCTTCCTTATAGTCAGTTTCATTTAGTTTTTATTTTATTTATTTTTTTAGACACAGTCTCACTCTGTTGCCCAGGCCGGAATGCAGTGATGCAATCTTGGGTCACTGCAGCCTCTGCCTCTCAGGTTCAAGTAATTCTCATGCCTCAGCCTCCCAAGTAGCTGGGATTACAGGTGTGTACCACCACGCCTGGCTAATTTTTGTATTTTTAGTAGAGACGGGGTTTCTCCATGTTGCCCAGGCTGGTCTCGAGCTCCGGGTCTCAAGCTATCTGCCTGCTTCAGCCTCCCAAAGTGCTGAGATTACAGATGTGAGCCACTGCACCTGGCCCTTATAGTCAGTTTCCACTGTGTAAGAAACAGTTGCATCAATAGCTGTGTGGAATATAAGCCACATATTTTCAGCTCCTACATGGCCTCCGTATAGTCTTGTGCCTACGTGTGGACTCCTCATCATTGTGGTGTTTCTTGTTTTTTCTTGTTCTTTTTTTAGAGACAGAGTCTCGCTCTGTTGCCCATTCTGGACTGGAGCAGTGCAATCAGAGCTCACTGCAGCTTTGACCTCCTGGGCTCAAGTGATCTTCCTGCCTTAGCCTCCTGAGTAGCTAGGACTACAGATGCACACCACCACACCTGGTTAATTTTTCAAATTTTGGTAGAGACAGGGTCTCACTATGTTGCCCAGGCTGTTCTTGAATTCCTGGCCTCAAGCAGTCCTCCCGCCTTGGCCTCCCCGAGCACTGGGATGACAGGTGTGGGTCACGGCGCCTAGCCAGTGTTTTGTTTCTTACTCCATGCTCCTAGACTGAAGAATGCATGTGTGTTGAACTCAGTGCCATGGATTATGTGCTATGTGCACTCCACAGCCTAAGAACTACAATCTTGGTTGTTGTTAATTTTTGATACCTAAAAGATGAATAAGCCTCCCTGGGAAGAATCCTGGGGGCAAAATCAACTCTCAGGTGAGCCCGCTACTTGGAGTCTTTGCATTTCTCCTTTGCCTGGAAGAGAGCCGAGTTTACTTGTTGTGTCTTGTTGCCTCTTGTTTCATCAGGCTATCCATAATAAATTACTGTGGCATTTCCAATGGAAATGATTCTACCTGCTCTCGTTCACTTAGCATTTAGACCAATGCCAAATGGCTATTTGTTTTTATTTTAACACAAAATATGTGACACAAATTAACTTCTATTCAGGACCTACCAGAAGAGAACTGTGTTTGTGATTTATGTAATATTATTAGTTATATACGTATTTGTTATAACATGCTTTAGTCACTGTTACCATTGGGGTTTAATATATATGTATGTAGGTTGGATGCAGTGGCTCATGCCTGTAATCCCAGCACTTTGGGAGGCTGAGGCAGGGGGATCACTTGAGTCCAGGAGTTTGAGATGAGCCTGGGTAACATAATGAGGCCCCACCAATCTCTACAAAAAATGAAAGTTAGCTAGGTATGGTGGTGCACACCTGTGGTCCCAGCTACTGGGGAGGCTCAGGTGGGAGGATTGCTTGAGCCTGAGAGGTCGAGGCTGCAGTGAGCTATGATTGTACTACTGCACTTCAGCCTGGGTGACAGTGAGACCCTGTCTTAAAAATATATATATAACATAAAATAAGATATATGTATGTAGCATGTGTGTGTGTATGTGTGTTTCGTAATATGGTATTTCACCACAAACTACACTGGAAGCCAATTTTTTAAGACACAGGTGTTTTGAAATATGAGTTCACTCAGACCTTATGGCCTTTGAACATTTGCACCATCCCTACCTATTTCACCTACTTGGAAGGCTGAAAGATGTAGTCACATAGTCTTGGATTTGAATTTCAAAACCCTGGCTCGAGTTGCTTAGCCTTCCTCTGCAGCTAAAAATATTACCCCAAGGTTACTTAAAAGATAAAACAAACACAAAGCCAGGCCTGTGGATTCTTTAAAACTGCGTTGGTTATTTCTTTCTAACACCTTGCCTCTGTTTCCGCCAGAAGCATAAGCGGGGAGTAAAAGGGAATGTTTTGCTCATAGGCGTTGGCCAAAGCAGGGCCCTCTGGAAGGTGTCCCTACAGGACTGAGCAGCTTTCTGGGCTCCTGAGCAGACAGGAGACAGCAGGGGTCCTTCCCCAGAATTCCTAGATGGAAAGTCCTTGAAGCAACTCCATCCTGAGGATTAAGCATCCTATCAACCGGATGAAGCTGGGACTGGGACTAGCATCAGCCTCTTAGGCCTTCTTCTTAGAAGAAGGCCCCCGAGGGAGGACCTCCTCAGCCATCTCCTCTGCACTCTGAGCCTTTGTCTCTACCCATGACCTCAGCCCCCAACCTATGCTTTAGGCAATTTACAGGGGTGAGTTTAAACTGTGCTTGCACTGCTAAAACCAACAACTTCTGATTTTATGTTTTTCAAACACAATAATCCATATTTATATACAATATTACCACATCACTCTGATAGCAGCAGGAGGCAGCCAAATGCCTGGACAGATAGGGGTGGGTCCCTGGTGAAATCCCACCGCCAAGCTATAGACAGTTGAAAGCCTGAAAGCCACGCTACAAGTCAAATCCACAGACCAATTGAGAATCTGTCTTCCCATTTGGCGTGCTTTCCCCTGATTGATCCCCACCCTTCACCTATTTTACATGTACCTACCCTTTCCTAATCGGTTTTCTACAACATTGTGCCCACCTTTGAATGGTGTCTTTGCTTTAACCTTTTCTGTATACTCACAAACCAATCAGCATGCACTCCCCATTCTGAGTCCATAAAAAGCCCTGACCCAGCCACGTGGGGAGAGAGAAACCACCCAACTGTGGGGGTGGGGCATTTCCTTACCCCTCTGCATCCCCTCTTTGCTGAGAGCTGTTCTGTCCTCAATAAAATTACCTGCCCTCAGGCCAGGCACGGTGGCTCACACCTATAACCCCAGCACTTTGGGAGGCCGAGGTGGGCAGATCACCTGAGGTCAGGAGTTCAAGACCAGCCTGGCCAACATGGTGAAACCCCATCTCTGCTAAAAATACAAAAAAAATTAGCTGGGTATGGTGGTAGGTGCCTGTAATCCCAGCTACTCGGGAGGCTGAGGCAGGAGAATCACTTGAACTTGGGAGGCAGAGGTTGCAGTGAGCCAGGATCGCACCATTGCACTCCAGCCTGGGCAACAAGAGTGAAACTCCGTCTCAAAAAAAAAAAAAAAATCTGCCCTCATCACCCTTCAGTTGTCAGTGTGACCTCATTCTTCTCGGATGCTGGGCAAGAGCTCAGGACCCACCAAGTGTGGGTACCAAAAAGGTTGTCACACTGGCCTTTTGCCCTCACCAGTGGAGGGCAGCTGCCCCACACGACAGGGCCAGGGGCCGACTGAGCTGCTAACATGCTGCCGTCCATTGGGCTATGGACAACGGAACTAAAAGAGCTAATTAGCACACTGACACCCCCTCTGGGGCTTCAGGGTCATGGGCACCCTTGTCTGGGAGCCACCACGTTCCCTTGAGGTAACATGCCTGGCCTGGCCTCGGGCCCTGCACGGAGCTTGCTCCTGTGTTTGAGCTTAGAGCGGCCGACTGGGTCCCGCACTCACTCACTCACTCGCATGCTCCCTCCCGCAAGGGGCTGAGCACAGCAGGCCCAGTAGACAGGGCACCCCTGCTGCAAGTCTGGCAAAGGGGCCGAGAAAAATCCTGCATCAACTCCTCAACTGGGAGTCATAATAAAACGTTGAGAGGGAGATTTTTTTAAAGGGAGGAGGTGAATCTTCTACAAAGTGAAGATTGTCACAAAAAGTGAAGATGTGGTAAGATTCTTTACCACATCACAGGCATGTTGTGAAGAAGAAATGAATTAATAAATGCATGTTAGCACAATGCCTGGCTGTCAGGTATTTGCAGTTATTACTGTCATTGGTATTCCTAGAAGAAGGACTGGCACAAAGCAGGTGCTGTCATTGTTGTTACTATATTTATCTATTTTCCACATCCACTTGCTTCTTTACCTAATGTGTTCACTTAACTGATCCTTGGGTTGATCCAATGGTGTTGTTTGCATCAGTGATCGTTTGCAGATGTCTGCAAATAACATGAATGGACAACAAACAAAAAAATCAATCAGGGGCCAGGTGCAGTGGTTCACACCTGTAATCCCAGCACTTTGGGAGGCCAAGGTGGGCAGATCACCTGAGGTCAGGAGTTCAAGACCAGCCTGGCCAACGTGGTGAAACCCCGTCTCTACCAAAAATACAAAAATTAGTTGGGTGTGGTGGCAGGTGCCTGGAATCCCAGCTACTCAGTAGGCTGAGGCAGAAGAATAGCTTGAGCCCAGGAGGCAGAGGTTGCAGTGAGCTGAGATCGTGCCACTGCACTCCAGCCTCGGCACCAGAGTGAGACTCTATCTCAAAAAAAAAAAAAAAAAAAAAATCAGGGAGTGAAAAACACAGGTCTGTAGACAAGCTGGTATATACAGGCTGTTCCTGTTTCTACCTCTTCTTGGGCCTTAGCCTCCTGTGGGACCCTCGTCTTTCTTGGGCCCCTCACCCTCAATAGCCTCTTGGCATTCTCACCCACTTCTCTGTGCCCAATAAAATGGCATCCAGCCTGAAAAAAGGAATTTTCTATCCCCATGCAAAGTCCACCTGCAAGGTTGTTTCAGCCATTGCCCTGAGATGAGAAAGAAGAAGGAAGCATTGGTATGTTTATCATTAATGAACAAGGATTTTACAGGCACTGAACTAGCCCTAGGGAGATAATCATAAGATACAGCCCCTGCCCTCAAGAGCTTCCAGGCTACAGGGGAGAGCTTCCGGCCCAGGAAGGGAAAAGTCCCGGGAATCTTGGGCAGGCAGTTGTATTAAGGTTCATGCCTCTCCCCACTGGTACTGGAAACCTAGCAGGAAATATCAGGTTGGAGGTACCTATGGGACCACAAGTATACGAGTTCAGAAGAGGGCTGAATAGATGGGCCCGGAGCCCAGGGGAACAGCAGGGCAACAGAAACACATCCAGCCATGGAAGATTCAGGCGCTGATTGGCCAGGAAGCAGGCCAAGAACAGAACCCTGGAGAATTCCAATGTCAAACGCATGGCATTGCATTTCTCTTCTATTTCCTTCGCTTTAAAGACACTATAACGGCACATCAGGATATTGGGTAAATACCTCTAGAAAAAGAACAGAAAGCTCAACTGATGAGAAAAATATCTTTGAATTACCTGATCCCATCCCTCTTCATAGGGACAGATGGAGGATAGGAAAATTATTTTGTTGTTGTTGTTATGTTTTGTTTGTTTGTTTGTTTTTTGTTTGTTTTTTTTTTTTTTGGACGAAGTCTCACTCTGTCGCCGAGGCTGGAGTGCAGTGGTGCAATCTCGGCTCACTGCAACCTCCGCCTCCCAAGTTCAAGTGATTCTCCTGTCTCGGCCTCCCAAGTAGCTGGGATTACAGGAGTGCACCACCACGCCCCGCTAAATTTCTTTGGTATTTTTAGTAGAGATGGGGTTTCACCATGTTTGCTAGGCTGGTCTCGAATGCCTGACCTTAGGTGATCCACCCGCCTTGGCCTCCCAAAGTGCTGGGATTACAGGCGTGAGCCACCATGCCTGGCTGGAATATTCTTATGATGGTGTTCCAGGGCAGCACTAGGAATGCTGATGGACGGCATGGCCATTGGCAACGTCCACCTACCAGAAAGCAGACAGCTGCAGCAGAGGAGGCTGCACATTCGTAAAGGGTCATTCATGTTGGTGTCGTTTGTGAAAGCAAACGTTGAAAATGGCCCAAATATCTATCGGTATGGTTCATCTGGATGTGAACTGCTCTACAGCCATTGAAAGACTAGGGAAGTTCTTCCTGTATTAATTTGGGTTTTTGTTGTTGTTGTTGTTTTGTTTTGTTTTGTTTTGTTTTGAGATGGAGTCTCACTCCATTGCCCAGGCTGGAGTGCAGTGGTGCAATCTTGGCTCACTGCAACCTCCGACTCCCAGGTTCAAGCGATTCTCCTGCCTCAGCCTCCTGAGTAGCTGGGATTACAGGCACCCGCCACCACGCCCCGCTAATTTTTGTATTTTTAGTAGGGATAGGGTTTCACCATGTTGGCCAGGCTGGTCTCGAACTCCTGACCTCAGGTGATCCGCCCACATCGGCCTCCCAAAGTGCTGGGATTACAGGCGTGAGCCACTGCACCCGGCCTCGTGTATTGATTTGTAACAGTCACACACACACACACACACACACACACACACACACACACACTCCATACATAGCCTCTCACATATATAGTGAGCAAACAGCAGTGGTGTTCACAGCATGCTGCCAGTTGTGTGAAAAAGGAAAGGGGGACAGTACATTTGCGTTTTATGTCTACGTTTGCTCACTACATATGCAGTATCACTGGAAGTAGACAAAACCAAAAACAAAACAGAAAAAAAAACACAACCCTGGTAACTTTGAGAAAAGGAACTAGGAGGCTCAAGGATGAGGTGGGGGGAGATTTTTCGCTGAATGCTTTTGTAATTTTTGAATATTGAGCTATGTAGAAAAGTAACCTATTCAAAAAATGAACAAGCTTAATTATTTTCAAAGAGTGAGAAAAGCAAAAATAATCCCTGAGGAGCCATAGGAAGATGCCCTTTAGGGAAGATTCTCACAGAGAATAGAGGTGTCATGAAATGTGCCTTGCCGCGTCTGGAGGTGCTCAGAAGTTAAACCATGTGAAACTAGTCCTCAGTTAGCCCGCTAAGATGCTTCTTGCTGTTAAGTCTATGTGCTATGAAGACGGACCTTTCTGGGGGAAGAAGGTGGGGGTGGATTCACAGCCAAGGGAAAAGATCAGTAGGAAAGAAAAGGTTTTGGAGACCCCAACATTGGTATAGAAGAAACTTCTAGTTATTTCAGCCAGATAGTCAGGTGCTATAGAGCAGGATCCAGAAAGATTTTTACCCATTTATAGGACTTCCCCATGTTTTCTCCCTTAAATCTTGTCTTTTCTCTTGTAATAATGGACATGAAAGTCTCAAAATGAAGAGGGTCTGTCAGCTTGTGTTCCGGGACCACAAGGAATGGTGGCCGAAGGAGACCATCTTCCCTCAGCCCATCTTGGAGGGACGAGAAATGCCATAGTCTGGATGGGTGGTGACAGCTACCAAGAGGAGAGGAGAGCAGGGGAGGCCCTGGGGCCTGCCATGGTGAAAAGGGAGGGCTGTGAGGAGCCTGCCTGGACCTGTGAACTGCCCGGGGACTCAGGAGAAAGGGGTTTTGCAAATGCAGTGACAGATAAGCGTTGCATGGTAATAGGGTTAAATTTGAAACTGTTACAGGTGAGATGTGACTAGCCCATTCTTGTGTCATAGAGAGCTAGGCCTTTTCTTCATTTAACAGGTATTATTTTATTTTATTTATTTATATTTTTTGAGATGGAGTTTCACTCATGTTGCCCAGGCTGGAGTGCAATGGCGCGGTCTTGCTCACTGTCACCTCTGCCTCCCAGGTTCAAGAGATTCTCCTGCCTCAGTCTCCTGAGTAGCTGGGATTACAGGCACCCACCACCATGCCCAGCTAGTTTTTTTCATTTTTAGTAGAGACAGGGTTTCACCATGTTGGCCAGGCTGGTCTCAACTCCTGATCTCAGGTGATCCGCCCGCCTTGGCCTCCCAAAGTGCTAGGATTACAGGCATGAGCCACTGCGCCTGGCCATTCAACAGGTATTATTTTTATCTTCATTGTTACTAAAAGAGCATAGAGGAAGCTTCCTGTTTATTTTCTTACCTTATGCTGATCTTGAAACAGCAATGAAAATACTTCTGCTACAGGGACCTTAAACAACACCGAAAACTTCAAACGAGGGAAGATTATTTACTCCCATCTCTTACCCCTTTTCCTTTTCGATGCTAACAACTTGCTACTTTAACCCCAGTTTTGCCCACTCTTTCCCAGAAAAATCAACAAACATGTCTGCACCTACTATAGGCAGACACCTGTCGATTCAATGAAGTGTAAGCTTTCAGCTTTGGCCGGGCACAGTGGGCCTGTAATCCCAGCACTTTGGAAGGCCAAAGCGGGAGGATTGCTTGAGCTCGGGAGTTCAGGACCAGCCTAGGCAACATAGGAAGACCCTCATCTCTACAAAAGAAAAAGTAAAAAAATTAGCCAGGCATGGTTGTGCATACCTGTAGTCCCAGCTACTCGGGAGGCTGAGGTGGGAGGATTGCTTGAACCCAGGAGGTCAAGGCTGCAGTGAGCTGTGATTATGCCACTGCACTCCAGCCTTGGAGACCGAGTGAGACCCTGTCTCAAAAATAAAATAAAATACAGATTTCAGTTTTGCTTGCAGGGAGTTTGCAGCCTCATTGGGGGACAAAGAATTACACTTAGAAGTGAGTACTAATGCTTTAGAGCATACGTTCAACACAAAGCCAGAGAAGTCAATAATAAAGGCTTCGGGAATCCACCTGCTGGAAACTTCCTGTGGATGGAGACATGCAAGCTTCTTGCAGGAAGGCAGGCCTGGAAGGACAGGTTAGACTTACGGGAGGACTGCAGAGAGCACTTCAGGCAGGTGTGGAGCTTCCTTGTGGAATGAGAGGGAGCACGTTAGCTGGAGGGGAAGACCAGGGAGCTGTCATCGGCGGATATCATTGATGAGTCAAAGAAAGTCTAAAGTAGGATTTTCATAGACTTACAGAAACCCTGTGTATTGCAAACATACCCACCCACCACGGTGTTAGAGAGATGTGACAAGGACTCTGATCTGACTCCTGTGACTTGCCAGCTTAGTATGGAGTAACGGGGGGGCATTGTGCTTGGGGGAGGCTACGATATCTGTGTTCAGCCCAATCCTCTTAGGTCTCTCCTTGCACAGTTGGAACCAAGATAAGGGCGAACTTTGAAGAGTGCCTCACTCTCTCTCCCTTCAAGCTCAGCTCGGATTATTTCTTTCTTTTCCTCTCTCCATTCTCTTCCCTTTCCTGCTCGCGGCCAGATGTCGAGGAGAAATCCCTTCCCACTGTGAGTTTCGGTTGTGATATCAACCTGTGACATTTGCCTTTTTAGAGAGATCGTGTGCATGTATTGATTAATGGAGAGTGTAAATTATGGGAACAGGCTGGGCACAGTGGCTCACGCTGATAATCTCAGCACTTTGGGAGGCAGAGGCGAGAGGATCAAAGAATTCAAGACCAGCCTGGGCAACATAGGGAGACCTCATCTCTAAAAAATATCTATTTTAAAAAATATTTAAAATTAAAATATGGGAATGATGTCAATACTCTCATCTAAAAATCCCAAGTCTCTAGCCCCAGCTGTGACACTTTTTAGCGGTGTGAACTTGGACTGTCACTCAAATTCCTCAGTTTCATTTATTTGCAAAATGAAACTTATTAATACTATCCTCTCTACCACATGTGATCTTGAGGTTCAGATGAAATAAAGTTAGTGAGAGCACTTTGGACGCTAAAGACCGTATTATCTGTAGCTCAGGGTGAAGATTGCATGGGGGCAGAGGGGAGTGAAGTTGGGAAATCTCAATAAATCCCATCCAGCCCTATAATTTTGTAAAATCGTTTTATGTCATTAAAAATAAGTTTAACTAGATAGCTCCCTTGGTATTTCAATAACCCTCGCTTTCATGATTCCTTTTTCCTTTCTAGATGTCCCTAAGTGCCAGCTCTCCCCTAAAAGTTCCAGCTCATCTCGCCTGGCCTCCCCCTGAGTCAGTGGGACTCCCAGACACTGCCACCACAGCTGAAATTCTCATGCAGCATCCTCACAGGCACCCTGGGCCCCAAGCATGACTCATCCAGGTTCCAGAGCCAAAGTGGACTGAACATGGAAAGACTTTTATTATAGAAATGACAAGATGCTTTGCACAGTGGAGAGCTGAATTTACTTGGCTCCCATTAGAAACTCTTTCAGCTTAAGTACTTATTGTGGTAGTGAGTCCTACGGTATTTCAGTAAAAAGGAATTCATGGCATAAATGTGGACAGATTTACGGATGTAGAAACATGATGATAGATATCATGAGGTTGGTGATGGGACATATGATGGCACCATTGGTAATATTGGGTGGGTGAGGCAGGTCCCAGAAGGCTACAGGCTCACTCCCAAGGCTGCATGAGCAGTTGAATGGAGGGGCTGTTTACCGTGGTATCTTAGTTTGCTAGGGCTGCACCACAGACCGGGAACCTTCGACAACAGAAATTTATTTCCTTGCGGTTCTGGAAGCTAGACGTCCAAGATCTGGCAGGGTTGGTTTCTTCTGAGGCCTCTCTCTGGGCTTGTAGATGCCGTCTTCTCCCTGCATTCTCATGTGGTCATCCCTCTGTATGTGTCTGTTTCTTAATTTTTCCTTCTCCTTCTTTATTTTTTTATTTTTTTTTTTCTTTTCTGAGATGGAGTTTTGCTCTTTTTGCCCAGGCTGGAGTGTAATGGCACAACTTCGGCTCACTGCAACCTCTGCCTCCCGGGTTCAAGCAATTCTCCCACCTCAGCCTCTGGAGTAGCTGGGATTACAGGCACCTGCCACGACACCCAGCTAATTTTTTGTATTTTTAGTAGAGACGGGGTTTCACCATATTGGCCAGGCTGGTCTCGAACTCCTGACCTCAGGTGATCCACTGGCCTTGGCCTCCCAAAGTGCTGGGATTACAGGTGTGAGCCACCACGCCTGGCCTTAATTTCTTCTTAAAAGGATGCCAGTCCTATTGGGTTACAGCCCACCCTAACCACCTCATTTAACCCTAACCATCTCTTTAAAGACTCTATCTCCAAATACAGTCACATTCTGGGGTCCCAGGGGTTAAGATTTCCGCATAGAATTTGTGGGAGACATAGTGTAGCCCATAACACATGCTGTGGGCAGAGTTAAGAGGGTGAAGAAGGAGCCGGGTACAGTGGTTCACACCTGTAATCCTAGCACTTTGGGAGGCTGAGGTGGGCATATCGCTTGAGCCCCTGAGTTCAAGACCAGCCTGGGCAACATGGTGAAACCCCATCTCACAAAAAAAAAAAAAAAAAAAGAAAGAAAAAAAGAAAAGAAAAAATTAGCTTGGCATGGTGGTACATGCCTGTAGTCCTAGCTACTCTGGAGGCTGAGGCATGATGAGAATCTCTTGAGCCCGGAAGGCAGAGGTTGCGGTGAGCCGAGATGGCGCCACTGTACTCCAGCCTGGGCAACAAAGTGAGACTCTGTCTCAAAATAAATAAATAAAAAGAGCATGAAGAAGGGCTGGTGAAGTGCCCAGGAACTGGCAATAGCAGAAAACCTTATCATCCCTTAGGCTGGAGAGCAAAGGGGAGAGAGAAGGTGGAGTTCCTGGGGCCAGTGAGAGCTGTAGCCACGGAAGAGGCGCCGTCCACCAGAACATGTGCAGTGTGGCCAAGCAACACAGCCACGTCAAAACTGAAGCCTGGGAGCTGGGTACAGTGGCTCACACCTGTAATCCCAGCACTTTGGGAGGCCGAGGTGGGAGCACTAGAGCCTAGGAGTTTGAGACCAGCCTGGGCAACATAGTGAGACTCCATCTCTAGAAAACAAAACCAAACAACAACAACAAAAAAAACCCCAAGGCATAGCAGGGAGGGAAGAGGGAGAAGACCCCACCTCTCTCCCTTCCCAGCCTTCCTCACTTTCAACAGCACCTCCCTTTGATTAAACCCATCTGGAAGTCAGAGCAGAGAACCCCAGAGTGCTGGCAGATGCCAGCTTCCCAAGGCAGAGACAAGGCTGGCAAGGGTGGCCCGTGGGTCTGGGTGGGGAGGGTGGGATATGAGTGGGATGCTGGGGAATGACCAGCACAGCGGAAGAAAAGCACACACTTCCAGGGGAGGAACTGTCACTGTGTTTGAGCAATGGGAAAGGGCGTGGAGGAGTTATTAGAAAACAGAAAATATCACTTAGCTGCAAATATATTAGTCATACATTCTGAACTAAAACACCTACTCATGTAACCAATTCAGTGTCCTAGAAGTTGCCATTCTAGGATTCTTTTTTTTTTGAGACAGAGTCTCATTCTGTCGCCCAGGCTGGAGTGCAGTGGCGCGATCTCGGCTCACTGCAACCTCCGCTTCACAGGTTCAAGCAGTTCTCCTGCCTCAGCCTCCCGAGTAGCTGGGATTACAGGTCTCCGCCACCACGCCCGGCTAATTTTTGTATTTTTAGTAGAGACAGGGTTTCACCATGTTGGTCAGGCTGGTCTCGAACTCCTGACCTCAGGTGATCCACCTGCCTTGGCCTCCCAAAGTGCTGGGATTACGGGTGTGAGCCACCGCACCCAGCCTCTAGGATTCTTATTTATCTAGGTAAAGCAGAATGATAGAAAAACAAATGTTAGCTGGGTGCAGGGGTTCATGCCTGTAATCCCAACACTTTATGAGGCCAAGTTTGAGCCTGAGAGTTCAAGATCAGCCTGAGTAACGTAGGGAGACCTTGATTCTACAAAAAATCAAAGAACAATCAGCCAGGCAGCATGTGCCTGCGGTCCCAGCTACTCAGGGGGTGAGGCGGGAGGATGGCTTGGGCCCAGGAAGTCAAGGCTACAGTGAGCTGTGATTGCGCCACTGCCATCCAGCCTGGGCAACAGAGCAAGACCCTGTCAAAAAAAAAAAAAAAAGAAGAAGAAGAAGAAGAAGAAGAACAGGCTGGGCATCATGGCTCACGCTTGTAGTCCCAGCACTTTGGGAGGCCAAGGTGGATGGATCACTTGAGGCCAGGAGTTCGAGACCAGCCTGGCCAACATGTGGAAACTCCATCTCTACTAAAAATACAAAAATTAGCCGGGTGTGGTGGCAGACACCTGTAGTCCCAGCTACTCATGAGGCTGAGGCAGGTGAATCATTTGAACCCGGGAGGTGGAGGTTGCAGTGAGCCGAGATCGTACCACTGCACTCCAGCCTGGGTGACAGAGTAAGACTCTGTCTCAAAACAAAACAAAACAAAACAAAAAAAAAAACCACACATGTTTGCCAGGCTTGTAATCTTGAACACTTGTGTCCTTTTGCTACATACTGTAAATATATACTTTTGCATGGTTTAAGATAGTGGCCTGGGAGGATGGTCCCAGACACAGTGGTATTGATGCCCAAATGATAGGTGAGTTCAGCTGATTTGTTTGTCCCATCCAGGGTGAAGCGAATGTGTCTCCCTGAGTTGAGACCTTGTGTTCCTCCCATGTGTTCCAAAAGAAGATGGCTGTCAGGAAGGGTTTCCTCCTGGGCGGCCCCCAGGAGCCAGGGACAAACGGATAAGCTGGGATGGCCTGCAGCTCCGCATGTACAACCCCCTTTGTCCCAGTGCATTCTTTGATTATATCATGAGCCTGTCACATTGCAGGCAGATGTTTGAATGGGCCAGACCAGAGTCCATTCCCAGCCCCTTTCAGAATAAGCCAAGATCCCCTGGGGCAAGGACATATCAGGAGAAAGAAGGGCTCCTCCAGTGCCAGAGACTGTGTGTTGTCTTTTTTTTGAGATAGGACCTCTCTCTGTGGCCCAGGCTGAGTGCAGTGGCCCCTTCACAGCTCACTGCAGCCTCGACCTCCCAGGTTCCAAGTGGTCCTCCCACCTCAGCCTCCTGAGTAGCTGGGATTACAGGCATGTGCCACCACACCCAGCTAATTTTTTAATTTTTTGTAGAGATGGGGTCTCCCTATGTTGCCCAGGCTGGTCTTGAACTCCTGGGCTCAAGCAGTCTTCCCGCCTTGGCCCCCCAAAGTACCGGGATTCCAGGCGTGAGCCCCCACGCCCGGCCTGCATGTTGTCTTAAGCTGTATTTGGGTTATCTACAGGTAACAAATCACCCTGAATGCACTTGCTTGCAACAAGTCTGTCATTTTCCTCATGAATCTGTGGTTTGGGCTCTTTGGGGAGGGCTTGTCTCCGACCCACACAGCATCCTCCGGGTCCTCTCAACCGAGGGCTGCGGGATCCATGTCCGAGGGGATACAGGGACATGGCTGGAAAGTGGGTGTGTGCCACCCACTGAGAGCTCAGCCAGGACTGAGGGCGGGGCCTCTTTACCTCTCCATATGGCCTGGGGTTCTCATTGGCAGCGGGGTTGGGTTCTAAGGATGAGGGTCCCAAGAGAGAGCCAAACTGAACCGGAATCAGCTTTGAGGTCCCAGCCTTGGAAGTCTCCTAGTCTCTTCCACCATCCCCAGCTGGCCGGAGGGGTTTGTCCAATTTCAAGCAGAGAGGACACAGACTTGGGAGAGCTGCAAGGTTCTAGAAGAACATGTGGGATGGGAAATAGTCTTGTGATCATTTTGGGGTAGACTCTCTGCCTCAGGATGATTCCCTGGGCAACCCTTGCCATACATAGGACACAGGCATGTGAAGTGGCACATCTCCCATTGTGGTAGGAACCAGGTAATGGTTGGTAAACTGTGCTGATACTCATTCATTCAGCAAAACTTTTTTTTTTTTAAAGTATCGCTCTTGTCCCCAGGCTGGAGTGCAATGGCGCGATCTCGGCTCACTGCAACCTCCACCTCCCGGGTTCAAGTGATTCTCCTGCCTTGGCACCCCCCCTCCCCGAGTAGCTGGGATTACAGGTGCCTGCCATCATGCCTGGCTAAATTTTGTATTTTTAGTAGAGATGGGGTTTCACCATGTTGGCCAGGCTGGTCTAGAACTCCTGACCTCAGGTGATCCACCCCCCTCGGCCTCCAAAAGTGGTGGAATTACAGGCGTGAGCCACTGCGCCCGGCCACATTCAGCAAAACTTTATGAATGCCCACTTTGCACCAGACTCGTGCGAATCTCTGGGAATACAGGTATGAGAAAGAAACTGTTCCTGCCTTCGATGAGCTGATCATAGCTGCGAAGGAGACAGAGCAGCCAGGCTGTGAGAGCTCACAGAAGGAAGAAGTAAGCCACTCCACGGGGCATTGCAGAAGTGATGTCCAAGCAGAAACTCCAGATGGGTCACGCACGGTGACTCAACGCCTGTCATCTCAGCACTCTGGGAGGCCGAGGCAGGTGGATCACTTGAGGTCAGCAGTTCGAGATCAGTCTGGCCAACATGGTGAAACCCTGACTCTATTAAAAAAGTACAAAATTTAGCCAGGCATGGTGGCACGCGCCTGCAGTCCCAACTACTCAGGAGGCTGAGGCACTAGAATTGCTTGAACCCAAGAGGCAGAGGTTGCAGTGAGCCGAGATTGCACCACTGCACTCCAGCCTGGGTATCAGAGCGAGAACCTGTCTTGAAACAAAAAAAAAAAAGAAAGAAAGAAACATAAAGAAACCTGGGATGGGATGAATGGTATTTCATAGTAACTAGGAGGTGAGTGTACAAGGAGGAGCATTCCAGAGAGAGGAAGGAGAGGAATAAAATAAGCAGAGACCCCAGGCCAAACCTGGGTGACCAAGCATCCTGGTTTGCCAGGGCTGTCCTGGCGTTAGCACCACAAGGTCCACATCCAGGAAACCCCTTGTCACTGTGAGTGGTCCTTGGAAAATGTCCAGTGCAGCTGGACCCTAGAGAACTGGGGCTGGGTTGCAGCAGGGTTGGAAAAGAGAGATAGCGGAAAAGGTAGCCAGGAGCCCAAACAGGAAGCCAAGCCGAGCAGTTAAGACTTTATCTCCAAGATAGCTGAGCAATCAGGACAGGATTTTAAAGACGAGAGTGACTTGCTAAGACTGGCATTTGAAAGAGCTCTGGCTTCTGGATAATGCAGGAGAGGGGCAACACTGAAGACCAGTTTGGGGCCATCACAGTTTTCCAGGGAAAAGATGCTGGTGACTTGAACTGAAAGTAGTGGAGGAGGGTAAAGAGAAAACAAGGAGGTTGTAGAATGTCTTCAGGAGAAATAGCAGAACTTAGAATTTTCTTAGCCGGGTGAGGTGGCTCAGGCCTGTAATCCCAGCACTTTGGGAGGCTGAGGTGGGCAGATCACAAAGTCAGGAGATTGAGACCATCCTGGCCAAGCTGGTGAAACCCCATCTCTACTAAAAATACAAAAATTAGCTGGGTGTGGTGGCACGCACTTACAATCCCAACTACTTGGGAGGCTGAGGCAGAAGAATCGCTTGAACCAGGGAGGCAGAGGTTGCAGTGAGCCGAGACTGCGCCACTGTACTTCAGCCTGGCAACAGAGAGAGACTCCGTAAAGAAAAAAAAAGAAAAAAGAAAAAAAAACTTTCTTAGAGTTAGGAGGAGAGAGGAGGAGAAATTAAGGACTCTTAGTTTTCTGGCTTGGGAAACTGGAGTTTTGGGAGGTAATTAGGATGGTTTGGAAATATCTTCCCCACACCACCCTACCCCAGAATGCCAACAAAGCAATGATGCTTCTGCTTCCCATGCAGCTCTTGTTGCCATAAAAGTCATCTCAGTTATTGTGCAACTGACCTAGAAGCCTCAGACAGAGCCGTGACACTTACAGAAACTTCAGGATACAAAGGAGGTGCGGAGGGCAAGGGGGAAAGCGACAGGTATTTACTAAACCAGATACTTCCTCAACTATTTTTGTGCTCTATCTTATCCAATCTTCACAAGAATCTTACGAGGTAATAGGTAGGTATTTTTATCCTCATGTGCTGAAAGTGGCCACAGCTATGAAGAAGCAGAGCTGGGATTTCAACCCAGATGTGTTTGACTCCGAAGATCTGCTCTTTCCACCTTGCAGCTTCCCCAGAAACTCTGGTTTCTTTCTATCTGGGTATTTCTCCCTATCTCCTGCCATGCTTTGATTCCACCTTCATTCAGCATTTGTGCTGAGAAGCAGTACTTCCGAGGAAGAGAGGTCAGCACCAGGCCTGGGTTGGTGGCTAACGCCTGTCATCCCAGCCCTTTGGAAGGCTGAGACGGGAGAATTGCTGGAGGCCAGGAGTTTTAGACCAGTCTGGGCAACATAGTGAGACCACGTGTCCACAAAAAATTTTTTTAAAACTTAGCTGAGCACAGTGGTGCATGACTGCAGTCCCAGCTGCTTGGAAGGCTGAAGCAGTAGGGGTTACTTGCACCCAGGTGTTCAAAGCTGCAGGAGTTCAAGACTCTAGTCTGAGTAACAGAGCAAGACTCTGTCTCTAAATAAAATAAACAAGCAAAAGCCAAATAAAAAAAGAGAGGTTAGCTCCAGTACAGTAAAGAAGGATGCATGGCCGGGCGCAGTGGCTCATGGCTGTAAGCCAGCACTTTGGGAGGCCGAGGCGGGTGGATCACTTGAGGTCAGGAGTTTGAGACCACCCTGGTCAACATGGCGAAACCCTGTCTGCACTAAAAATACAAAAATTAACCGGCTGTGATGGTGGGTACCTGTAATCCTAGCTACTCAGGACAGGGAGGCAGGAGAATCACTTGAGCCCGGGCAGTGGAGGTTGCAGTGAGCCAAGATTGCGCCACTGCACTTCAGCCTGGGCGACAGAGTGAGACTAAAAACAAAAAACAAAACAAAACAAAACAAAACACACACACACACACACACACACACACACACACACACAAAAATGTTTGCCAAGCCTGTAATGTCGAACACTTGCATTCTTATGCTACAAAAAAAAAAAAAGAGAGAGAGAGAGGGAGAGATAGACAGAAGGATGCAGACCAAGGGTTGGCAGCGTCACCTCCTCAGGGCTCTAAGAGGATGGCAGAAGGCTGCTCTCAGAAACAGAGATTTCAAGAGGTACTTAATCCTTTGTAACTCATCCCTACCCTGATTATATTTGCAAAATCCTAAAACCAGGGGACCTATGTAAGTTTCTTTGTGTGCATGACGGACAGCGGAAGCTATGGAGGCAGTGCCCCTGCCATCAGCCAATTTAGGAAAGGGAGAGTTCGGGGGATGAAACTCAAGAGAGAGACAGCTGTGGGAAGGGCACTACTGAGAAGACGGGGAAATTGTGAGTTCTGGGGTGCTCGCTCCAAAGGACTAGGGAACCCGACAACTAGACCTATGTGGTTGGCCCTCCCAGGTCCAGACAAGCGGAAGCTGGTACCATTAAAAAACCCCAGTGCTGGCTGGGCGAAGTGGCTCACACCTGTAATCTTAGCACTTTGGGAGGCCGAGGTGGGCAGATCACTTGAAGTCGGGAGCTCAAGACCAGCCTGGCCAACAGGGTGAAACCCCGTTACTACTAAAAATACAAAAATTAGCTGGCCGTGGTGGTGGGTGCCTGTAATCCCAGCTACTTGGGAAGCTGAGGCAGGAGAATCACTGGAACCCAGGAGGCAGAGGTTGCATTGAGCTGAGATTGCGTCAATGCACTGCAGCCTGGGCGACAGAGTGAGACTCCGTCTCCACACACACACACACACACACACACACACACACACACACACACACACAGCAAAAAAAAACAAAAACAAAAAACACACAAAACCCCAGTGCCATCTCAAACTCCTCCTTAACCGGCCAGGTTTACATTTTGATGTGAATCTGGACTTCTCTCCCCTTCGAAGTCTTGATCTTCCCATATTCACATTATATATACTGTCCATTTTGCTCAATCTGTCTTCTACTCAAGTGATTTCTGCATGTATCTTATCTCCCCACTAGGTTGGAAATTCTTCAAAGCATTCCAGTTTCATTCATTCCATATTTCCACATTTTCTTTCACGTAGTAGACACATGATTGGCGTTTGACAGTAGCACTGTCATTGGAATGTCTTTGGAAGATCCGAAATGTACATTTCTCAGCAGGCTTCTGTAGTCACTGACACCAGCTGAGAATGGACACAAGAGGGCGCTTCTTCCCCTCTTATTTGAGTTCAGGGCACATCACTACTGCCCATTTGTGTCTCAAAAACTCAAACAGGACTGGCGTTCCTGAAAACACAGCTTTCCCTACTACTACGGAGGGGCTCTGGGAAATTTTGAATATATATGCTGACACCCTTAGAGAATCACTCACTTATTCCACTCAAGTCTTTGATTCCATTAGCATCATTCAAGCAAATAATCACATTGTCAGTTTTTGAACAACTTATAGTCTAAAGAAACATAACCACTTTAAAAGGTAACCAACTGGCGGGGCGCGCTCGCTCACACCTGTAATCCCAGTACTTTGGAAGTCCGAGCCGGGTGGATCACGAGGTCAGGAGCTCGAGACCAGCCTGGTCAACATGTTGAAACCTCGTCTCTACTAAAATACAAAAATTAGCTGGGCAAGGTGGCGGCGCGCCAGTAGTCCCAGCTACACGGGAGGCTGAGGCAGGAGAATCGGTTGAACCCGGGAGGCACACCACTGCACTCCAGCCTAGCAACAGAGCAAGACTCTGTCTCAAAAAAAAAAAAAAAAAGTAACCAACCATGTCACCCATTAGGATGGCTGTTATCAACAACAAACAAAACAGAAAATAAGTTTTCGAGGAGGTGGAAAAATTAGAATTTTTGTGCATTGCTGATGGGAATGTAAAATTGTGCACCTGCAATTTAAAAAAAAACAAACAGTATGGGCCGAGAGCGGTGGCTCACGCCTGTAATCCCAGCACTTTGGGAAGCCAAGGCAGGCAGATCATTTGAGGTCAGGAGTTCAAGACCAGCCTGGCCAACATAGTGAAACACTGTCTCTACTAAAAATACAGAAAATCAGCAGAGCGTGGTGGTGTGTGCCTATAATACCAGCTACTCAGGAGGCTGAGGCAGGAGAATTGCCTGAACCTGGGAGGCAGAGGTTGCAGTGAGCTGAGATCATGCCACTGCGCTCCAGCTTGGGTGACAGAGTGAGACTCTGTCTCAAAAAACAAACAAAACACAATATGACGTTCTTCAAGAAACTAAACAGAATTTCCATGTGATCCATCATCATACATCTGGGGAAATACACAAAAGGACTGAAAACGGGCTCAAACAGATGTTTGTACACCCATGTTCACAACAGCATTCTTCACAATAGCCCAGAGGTGGAAGCAGCCCAAGGGACCATTGAGAGATGAATGGAGAAGCAAAATGTGGTCCATTCATACCGTGGAATATTATTCAGCCTTAAAAAGGAAGGACATTCTGACCCATGCTACAACATGGATGAACCTTGAGGACATTACACTGAGTGAAATAAGCCAGATACAAAAAGGAAGCTGAATCTTTTTTTTTTTTTTTTTTTTGAGACAGAGTCTGTCTCTGTTGCCCAGGCTGGAGTGCAGTGGCACCATCTTGGCTCACTGCAACACCTCCCTCCCAGGTTCAGGTGATTCTCCTGCCTCAGCCTCCTGAGTAGCTGAGACTATAGGTGTGTGCCACCATACCCGGCTAATTTTTGTATGTTTAGTAGAGATGGGGTTTCACCATGTTGACCAGGCTGGTCTTGAACTCCTGACCTCAAGTGATCCGCCTGCCTCGGCCTCCCAAAGCACTGGGATGACAGGCGTGAGCCACCGCACCCGGCTACAGGAAGGTGAATCTTGACCTAGGCCTGGAAGCAAGAAGGGTGATGCTTGGATAGACACAGAGTAGGAGGTAACAGTAGTAGCAAGAGGACAAAGGGAGGAAAAAGTTTGCTACCAGAGCCTTTGTGGGTTCCTGCGTACAGAAGTGATATGATAAAAGAAATATTTTTAGAAGATTCATGGGACATAGGATAGATCTGAGGGAGAAAAACTGTAGGTAGATAAATGACTTTAGATGCTGCAGCAATAATTTGGGACTAGATTAAGGACAGTGGTATTGATGAAAATAAATGGATGGATTAGGCTGGGCAAGGTGGCTCATGCCTGTAATCCCAGCATTTTGGGAGGCCGAAGCAGGCGGATTGCTTGAGGTCAAGAGTTCGACACCAGTCTGGCCAACATGGCGAAACCCATCCCTACAAAAAATACCAAAAAAAAAAAAAAAAAATTAGCGGAGGATAGTGGCACACGCCTGTAATCCCAGCTACTCCGGAGGCTAAGGTATGAGAATTGCTTGAGCCTGGGAGGCGGAGGCTGCAGTGGGCCAAGATCATGACACTGCACTCCAGCCTGGGTGACAGAGTGAGACTCCATCTCAAAAAAGAAATGGATGGATTAAAATGATGGACCTTGAGAAAACAAAACAAAACAAAAAAAACAGGGTAGGGGTTCGAGGGTGAGTCAAGGAAGTAGAGTCCAAATTGATTACCAAGGGTCGATAAAGCCTCTAGCCCAGACTTCTGGAAGGTTGGTGCCAAAACTCTCCATACAGCATCTACATTCCAATTGCTGCATGTTGTTAAACAAAGTAAATATAATCCGACAAGTTTTTCCAAATATGCTATGAGTGACTTGCAGACTTTCATAAAATATTAAAGTTTTAGTCTGCTTGTTTTGTTTCTTTTCTAAGTCACTCCCTTCTTTAAAGAAGGATACATTTATCTCCGCTTTCCCTACAGCCTTGCTATGGGGTGATTCTTCCGTGCCCATGAGAAAACCAAGCTGTTGTAAATATGATCTGCTGTGGCCGAATCTTTATGATTTATTTGCCGCTTGTTCATTCATTTTGTCATCTACAAGGCTAGGAGAGAAAATGCATTGGCATTAATGGGGCACATGTTAGAAATGCAGAAGCTTGGTCCCTACCCCAAGCCTAATGAATCAGAATCCCCATGATTTCTTTTCTTTTTTTCTTTTCTTTTCTTTCTTTTTTTTTTTTTGAGACAAGAGTCTCGCTCTGTTGCCCAGGCTGGAGTACAGTGGCGTGATCTCGGCTCACTGCAATGTCTGCCTCCCGGGTCCAAGCGATTCTCCTGCCTCAGCCTCCTGAGTAGCTGAGATTACAGATGCGCACCATCACGCCCAGCTAATTTTTGTATTTTTAGTAGAGATGGGGTTTCACCATGTTGGTCAGGCTGGTCTTGAACTCCTGACCTCGTGATCTGCCCGTCTCGGCCTCCCAAAGTGCTGGGATTACAGGCATGAGCCACTGCGCCCAGCTGATTTCTTTAAAGACATGGAATGCTTCATGTATTGGCGTGTCATCCTCCCACAGGGGCCATGCTAATCTCTGTATCATTTCAATTGTAGTATATGCACTGCTGAGGCAAGCACAGAATCTGCATGTTTAATAAGCTCTCCCTCCATTCGTATGCCTATTAAAGCTTGTAAAGTAGGAAACCCTGTGCTGCAAAACAAAATCTGAACTCCTAACAAAGTTCTCCAACAGCTTTTCAATCTTATTTTATCTTACTCCAACACTTGAACTCTCTGCTTCCAATGCAATTCAGAAAGGAAAGTATCCTTGCATTGACAAGTAGAAGAATTGAGTTTTTTATTTTATTTTATTTTTTTATTTTGAGTCAAAGTCTAGCTCTGTCACCCAGGCTGGAGTGCAGTGGCATGATCTCGGCTCACTGCAACCTCTGCCCCTTGGGTTCAAGCGATTCCCCTGCCTCAGCCTCCAGAGTAGCTGGGATGACAGGCATGCACCACCAGCCCAGCTAATGTTTTGTGTTTTTAGTAGAGACGGGTTTCATCGTGTTGGTCAGGCTGGTCTGGAACTCCTGGCTTCAGGTGATCCACCCACCTTTGTCTCCGAAAGTGCTGGGATTACAGGTGTGAGCCACAGTGCCCGGCCAGAAGAATGAGTTAACTACAGCTGAGCACACAAAAAAGTAAGAATCCACTAGGCAGTACTTGATTAAGTGCCAGATGACTAGCAGAGGCAAGACATGCTCTGAGTTAGAAGGAGTCATCATGATTTTTGAAGTTTTCACCAAGTAGAGAGTTAATTTGGTCTTTTAAGGTTGGGGAGGTTTCTGCAGTCAGGAATAGGGGGAGAGTACCAGGGACATGGAGTGGTTTATGCAAAGCAAACAAATAAGAAAGCAAAAATGAACAGAGATTAGACAACTTTGCTATCAAGGGGAGTAGCTGCGATCTGGCTGGAAAAACTGTGAATAAGAGGCCAAGTATTTGTTCGGGAGGGCGGTGTTTTCTCTAACTTATTCATGATAAAATTTTGATATATTGCATTCCATCACAAAACAAACAGAAACGCTTTTGAAGAAGGAAAATGGCTATATAATTAATTGACGTGCATTATAAAAATCACAACCACCCGTATGTGCCCATGAGAAAACCAATCTATCGAAGTAAATATGATCTGCTGTGGTCAAATCTTTATGATTTATTTGCTGCTTAATCATTCATTTTGTCATCTACAAGAGTAGCAGACGAAAGCTTGGATTTACTACTACAGAAAAACAAGTACATATAGGGAAAAAATATTTACAAACTGAGAAAGTTCTATCCACTAACTTCTTTTCTCTATGAATTGGGGAAAGGTCAGGGTTATCTGATACAAGGGCAGACCGTTTTGGTTCAGCTCATAGACCACAGTCTTCCCAGGGAACATGGATTAAGTCCTGCAGTGGACCGTGGGAAGCAAGGTCTTGAAAGGATAAAATGTGCTTTTAGGCAGATTACTCCGGTAACCCTACACAGGATGGGTTGGTAAAGGGAGCAAGGAGAGACAGGAAGACCCGTTAGGAGATTGCAGCAGTAAACAGCAGTAATCCAGGCTTGAGTTGGTGCAAGAAGATCTTGTGTTTATACAGTACTTTAGGTATACAAATTCTCTTCACAGACACTACTTAAAATGATTATGTGAGGTAGGTAGAGTCATTTTTTTTTAATTTGGAGATTTAATTAAAAAGGTAGCTATGTGAGAGGTATTTTAAAAAGAATTAGCAGGACTTAGGGTGGTGGGGAAGTGGGCAGGGGAGGGATGGGAGAGGAATCAAAGATGATACTGAAGTGTTTAAGCTCGGGTGACTCGGGGAATGTCGCTGCTATTGAGGGAAAGCTGGTGTGGAGGGGGGGTTGTGATGGTAAATTTTATTCTTTCTTTTTATTCTGAAATAATTTCAAATTGACAGGAAATTATCTGAAAGAATCGAACAAAATAACTCACCTATTCTCTGCCCAGAGACTCATCGCCTTTCATCTGTGGCCTCTATGACATTCTTTTTTTTTTTTTTTCCTGAGATGGAGTCTCGCACTGTCACCCAGGCTGGAGTGCAGTGGTGCGATCTCAGCTCACTGCAATCTCCACCTCCCACATTCAAGTGATTCTCTTGCCTCAGCCTCCCAAGTAGCTGGGGCAACAGGCACCCACCACCACATCCAGCTAATTTTTGGATTTTTAGTAGAGACGGGGTTTCGCCATGTTGGCCAGACTGGTCTCGAACTCCTGACCTCAAGTGATCTGCCCGCCTCAGCCTCCCAAAGTGCAGGGATTACAGACATGAGCCACGGCGCCCAGACTTCAATGACATTCTTTACAGCGCAATAATCACACGTTGGACACAGTTGCTCTGCTGAATCTACTTCCACCTGGGGCGGCTCCTCAAGTTTCCTTGGCTCTCAAGGTCTCGACTTTTTTGAATATTACAGGCCATTTTGTAGGCTGTGCCTCAATTTGGGTTTGTCTAGCGTTTCCTCATAAGACGTGGGTCCTGCATCTTTGACGGGAACGTGGCAGAAGTCACGCTGCGACTCCTCATTGGGTTTCACCAGGTGGCACGCAATGTCAACTTATCTCTTTATCTGTGGGTTCACGTTCATGATTTGATTAGGATGATGTGCGCCTGGTCTCACCATGGTAAAATTACTTCTAAGGGCTTTCTAATTACTGAAATATTTTGTGAGGAGATGCTTTGAAAGGCTGCTGGCAAGCCTGGCTTCGGGAGGGTTCCACCTGCATAGCTGCAAAGCATCCTGACTTTGAAGGGTACGAGGTTCGGTTTACTTTTTGCTCAGGAAGGAAGGGGGCGGGGAAGGGAGGAAAGAAAGAAGATTGATAAAAAGGGAAGAAGGAAGGGAGGGAAGGAGAAAGGAGGGAAGGAAAGAAGAGAGAGAAGGAGAAAGGAGGGAAAGAAAGAAGAGAGGGAAGGAGTGAGGAAGGAAGAAAGGAAGGAAGAAGGAAGGAAGGAAGGAAAGAAAGGAAGGAAGGAAGGAAAGGAAGGGAGGGATGGAGGGAGGGAGGAAGGGAGGGAAGGAAGGAAAAGTCAGGCACGGTAGCTCACGCTTGTCATTCAGCACTTTGGGAGGCCGAGGTGGATCACTTGAGTCCAGGAGTTCTAGACCAGCCTGGGCAACATAGGAAGGCCCAATTTCTCCAAAAAAAAAAAAAAAAAAAAAATTAGCCAGGGGTGGTGGTTCACACCTGTCATCCCAGCTACTCGGGAGGCTGAGGTAGGAGAATCTCTTGAGCATGGGAGGTAGAGGCTGCAGTGAGCCACAATCATGCTACCACACTCCAGCCTGGGCGACAGAGTGAGACCCTGTCTCTATTTGAGACAGCGTCTAGCTCTCTTACCCAGGCTGGAATGCAGTGGCTCCGTCTCTGCTCAATTTCATTTTTCACTGGGCCCTGCAAATTACGCAGCAGCGGGCCCAGGGTAATAGAGCAAGAGTCAACTCTTCTTGCCTTTGGGAATATTTTGGGGTGACAATGAGAGGGCAGGATCTTGTCCTACCGTCAAAGTGGAAGTAAACTTGGATTTCGCCTCGGGCATGTGTGTCTGCAGGGCAGAGTGCGGGGCTGGCAGGGATGGGTTTACAGATGGAGGTGAAAGATGGGCCCAAGGCCTTTGGTGGATCAGACTTAGACAAAGAAGCTGAGGTAGAAAAACAGTGGGGTTGGCCGGGCGCGGTGACTCATGCCTGTAATCCCAGCCCTTTAGGAGGCTGAGGCAGGAGGATCGCTTGAGCCCAGGAGTTCAAGACCAGCTTGGGCAAGCCCCATAGCAGGAACCTGTCTCTAAAAAAAGATTTTTCAAAAATTAGTTGGGTGTGGTGGCGCGCATGTGAGTCCCAGCTACTCAGGAGGCTGGGGCAGCTGGATCGCTTGAACCTGGGAGCTTAGGGCTGCAGTGAGCCGTAGTCACGCCACCGCCCCCCAGCCTGGGCCACACAGCACCCTGTCTCAAAAAAAAAAAAAAAAAAAAAAAAAAAGAAAAGAAAAGAAAAAGAAAACGAAAGAAAGAAAAAGAAAAACAAAGCCAGGGCAAGGAGGGGGCCGCAGCAGGCCGAGGACGAGCCACGCGCCCAAAGAAAAGCGGGTGCAGTGCTCAGTGCTCAGGCCTGCCGGGGATCGGGCCCCGGAGAGGCCGTGGGGACGCCGTGCCAGGGCGCGCGCCAACGGATCAGACCGGGCAGCCTCCCCCGCTGTCCACACAGATGCCAGCGCGCGCGCTCGGTTTGGCTCCCCAGGATCCCCGGCGGAGCAGGACTACGGGACAAAGGGGCCGGTCCAGCCGCCGGCAGCGAGACCCGAGCGTTGCGGCCGCAGGCATGGCCTGCCCCCTTGCCTGGTCCCCTGCGCACGGCCGGCAGCCTGCAGCGAGCGGCCTGGGAGGCGGGGGGCGCCCTGCCCGGTCTCCCCTGCAGGCGGCGCGCAGGGGTGGGGCGGAGGCCTTCGTGGGCCCGGGCACGTCCCAGCCGCGCCCTCCCGGCCCCTTGCCCAGGGGGTTGAGCCGGCAGGGAGGTGCCTCCCTCTCCCTCCCAGGCCCGGGCGCTTCCGCCGGCCGCAGCCGGGGTTGAGGACCGAGCAGGAGGGGGACGCCGGGCTGAAGCCGCGGGTTGTCCCCGCCTCGAGGGCAGGGCCGGGGAGCGCAAACGCAGCCTTTCCAGGAACTCGCACCGCGCTGCAGAGGGGCTGCCGGGCCCCAGCGAGCCGCAGGACAGACGCGGCCCGGCATCCTCGTCCGCACTCGCAGTGGGGGGAGCAGCGCGGAAACCCGACGCCGCCGCTCCCTGGCCGATGGCCTCTCGAATCTTCCCGGCGGCGGCCGGCGCGGGGCTGCGTCACCTGCAGAACTTTCAGGAAGGGGCCTGGAGGAAATCAACCTGATGCAAAGGATTGGGAAGGAAACCGAGGAGATTGGAGATCGTTTTCAACCTCCTCCCGCCGCTTTATAATAAAAGTAATATGTGCTTAGTGTATACACTATGGCAAATCAGAAAAGTGTAAATAATTAGCCCCCCCCACAAAAAAAACCCCGCAGAAACGCACCCATAATTCCACCACCCGAAGCAAACACTTTACGTAGTGGGATATTTCTTCACGTTTTGCTCTATTTCTCTTTACAGACTTGATCATTCTGTGCAAGTCATTAGTGTCTTGCTTTTTGTACTTAATATCTTAGAAACATTTCCCATTTCCTTAAACACATCATAAATATGTTTAATGGTTCGATGTTAACATTGTACAGCTGTACCAAAATGTAATCATTTTCATTTTTTTAAAGGATCAAAGGATACAAATACTTTTAAAGTTCTTTTTTTTTTTTTTAAGATAGGGTTTTCTATCCACTGTCTAGTTTTATATATATATAAAATTGGGCAGTGGCCCAATCTCTGCCCCCTCCCTGGGGTTCAAGTGATTCTCCTGCCTCAGCCTCCCAAGTAGCTGGGACTACAGGCGTGTGCCACTATGCCTAGTAGAGACGGGGTTTCACCATGTTGGCCAGGCTGATCCTGAACTCCTGACCTCAAGTGATCCGCCTGCCTCAGCCTGGGATTACAGGCCTGAGCCACTGCGCCTGGCCTGGTCATAATTTTATGGATGGTTTGCTCTGGTCACTCTGCTAGTTGCGTCCCCAAGGCTAGGACAGTGCTCTTTCTTGTAGAACAAGCAGCCTCTGGTCACTGGCTGTTTCTTCGGTTCTAGCTTCAGAGCCAGCTCCTGTCGCTTATGGGAGCAGATAACATATCATCGCCTGCAGGCCAAGCCCAGGCTTCTGACCCTTGGCTTCTCAGAATGGTTGCTCCTTTTTGTTTTGTTTTGTTTTGTTTTGAGACAGAGTCTTGCTCTGTCACTCAGGTTGGATTGCAATGGCGCAATCACAGCTCACTGCAGCCTTGACCTCCTGGGCTCAAGAGATCCTTCAGCCTCAGTCTCCCAAGTAGCTAGCTGGGACCGCAGGCACCACCACACCACACTAATTAAAAAAAAAAAAAAATTGGTAGAGACCGGGTCTCACTATGTGGCCCAGGCTGGTCTCAAACTCCAGGACTCAAGCCATTCTCCTGCCTCAGCCTCCCAAAGTGTTGGGATTACAGGCATGAGCCACTGCACCCAGCCTGATAAATTGTCCTTCTTATGGATTTACATAGGCTGAACATCTGCTCCTTTGTAGTGTGACAGGGACAGAGCAGTAAAAGGCTGCCTTCGAAGAAGCCAGACTCTACCATGCAGAGGACATGAGCCTTCCTTTGCTGGTCTGTGTCTCAAACCTTCCTTATTAAGCTGGCAAAAGCCTTATTTTATTATTATTTTTTTCTTTTTCTTTTTTTGTTTTTTGAGACAGGGTCTCATTCTGTTACCCAGGCTGAAGTGCAGTGGCACGAGCACGGCTCATTGCAGCCTTGACCACCTGGGCTCAGGTGACCCTCCCACCTCACCCTCCCGAGTAGCTGGGACTACAGGCATGTGTCATCATGCTGGGCTAATTTTTTGTATTTTTTGTAGAGACAAGGTTTTGCCATGTTGCCCAGGCTGGTCTCGAGCTCCTGAGCTCAAACAATCCTCCTGCCTCGGCCTCCCAAAGTGCAGGAATTACAGATGTGGGCCACCATGCCTGGCCTACTGTGTTTTTCAATGACTTAAAATTTATTTTAAAAATTACCACAAGTGTATAGCATATTCACACCTTTACAAGTCATCATCAAGTTTTTAAAGAAAATAGTATTGTTTGTGTTGTATTTTCATGTAATTTCTATATTGTTTCAATTCTGCAATTTGCTTTCCTGCCCTTAAAAGAAATTAAAGTAGAATATACACAAATCACAATGTACAGTTTGATGAATTCTTTCAAACTGAAGACACCTAGTTATTTGCATTCAGCTCAAGAAACATTTCCAGCGCCCCATACACAAGGGCACCTCGTAGAGAGCTTTATGTTCTTGCTCTTTCTTCTCTCTTTTCAGAAATTTACCTGATGTGAAAATTGATTTTTGTTTGATTTAAAGTCCCCAGCTTTCTAGCATGCAGAATGTGTACAATGGAAGAAACATTTCCTTCTTTCCTTCCTGCTCTGATGAGGCTAAGTTAAAATTAAGTGCAAAATGTTGACCTCTCAGGAGAAAGCTTGAGGGAAGATGCATAGATTCATAGATATTTAAAGCTGGAAGAGACTCTAAAAAGAGGAGGTTATGACCAAGGTGTTGTACCTCCTGAGTGGCAGATCTGGGACTTGAGCCCAGGCCTTCTAACAACCAACCATTATTCTCTCCTCTGCTAATGTTATGTAAATAGCCATAACCCAGGGTGGAAGGAGGTACTAGGAAGAGAGACTTCAGGAAGATTTCCTGCAGACCATGGAACAATGACAGGGTGGCCAACTGTGAACAAGGATACATACAGGTGGTTCCCTGCTTCTATTCTCCTGGAAAGAACCATACTGCTTTTTTGGGGGGGTGGGGATGGAGTCTGTTGCCCAGGCTGGAGTATAGTGGCGCAATCTCAGCTCACTGCAACCTCCGCATCCCGGCTTCAAGCAATTCTGCCTCAGCCTCCCAAGTAGCTGGGATACAGGCGCATGCCGCCACGCCCGGCTAATTTTTTGTATTTTAGTATAGACAGGGTTTAACCATGTTGCCCAGGCTGGTCGCAAACTCCTGAGCTCGGGCAATCCGCTGGCCTTGGCCTCCCAAAGTGCTGGGATTATAGGTGTGAGCCACCGTGCCTGGCCCATGCTGCCTTTTGGTTGCTTCCTGATATAGCCTCTAACAGTTTCCTTAAGTCCATGTATCCCAAATTGTGTGTTGAGGTGCCCTAGGGTGCTGCCACAAATTCACAGGGGCACGTCAAGATATTTTATTTTTTTGAGACAGAGTCTCGCTCTGTCGCCCAGGCTGGCATTCAGTGGCATGATCTCGGCTCACTGCAACCTCCACCTCCTGGGTTCAAGGGATTCTCCTGCTTCAGCCTCCCCAAGTAGCTGGGACTACAGGAGTGTACCACCATGCCAGGCTAATGTTTGTATTTTTAGTAGAGATGGGGTTTCGCCATGTTGGCCAGGTTGGTCTTGAACTCCTGGCCTCAAGTGATCCGCCCACCTCAGCCTCCCAAAGTGCTGGGATTACAAGTGGGAGCCACTGCGCCCGGCCTCATCAAGATATTTTAAATGTTGCAGAGGGACACAGTGACACCTGCCATCTGTCACACACTGCATGAACTGTTAGTCAAAGGCAATGCACAGTTTCAACATTACATTGCATTACATTCCTTTCAGTGGCATCGTATCTTGACAGAATTGGGTTTTGCCGGATACTGTGTTAAAAAGCAAGCACTGCATATGAAAATGGATGGGAAATAGGAAATCAGGACGATTGTGTGCATCTGATTCTAAGGTTTGGGAAATTGTGCAGTGCTCAACAGGTGCACTCATCCTGTTAGAAAGAAATTGCAGTCATTTAAGAATAAAATAGGCAGGGGGCGGTGGCTCATGCCTGTAATCCCAGCACTTTGGGAGGCCAAGGTGAGTGGATCACCTGAAGTCAGGCGTTCAAGACCAGCCTGGGCAACATGGTGAAACCCCGTCTCTACTAAAAATACAAAAATTAGCCGGGCGTGGTGGCACACACCTGTAATACCAGCTACTCGGGAGACTGAGGCAGGAGAATCACTTGAACCCAGGAGGCAGAGGTTGCGGTGAGCCAAGATCATGCCATTGCACTCCAGCCTGGAGGACGAGAGCAAAACTTCGTCTCAAAAAAAAAAATTAAAAAAAAAAAGAATAAAATAAAGGCCAGGCGCAGTGGTTCACACCTGTCATCCCAAGACTTTAGGAGGCCGAGGCGGGCGGATCACCTGAGGTCAGGAATTCAAGACTAGCCTGGCCAACATGGTGAAATCCCATCTCTACTAAATATACAAAATTAGCAGGGAGTGGAGGCGCATGCCTGTAATCCCAGCTACTCAGGAGACTGAGGCAGGAGAATCACTTGAACCCGGGAGGCGGAGGTTGCAGTGAGCCAAGATCCTGCCATTGCACTCCAGCCTGGGCAAAAAGAGCGACACTCCATCTCAAAAAAAAAAAAAAAAAAGAATAAAATAAAAACATCAATTTCCTTCAATTTCTATGTATTGTTTTTGCAAATAATTACTAAATTGTTAAGACATGAATACCTATTAAGTTGTTTGGACCTTTGTACTTAACAATCCGTTAGGTATTTCTTTTGACCTAGGGGCTCTGTGAACCTTTGCCTTTGGGATAAGGCTAGGTGAGATCAGGTTCAAGTTACTGCAGCATCTCTAGTATTATGTCTCAACTGGATGTTAAGCTGGTAGACCAGAGTCCAGGATGATTTTATCCAGATACAGAAACTAAGTCTCAGCAAGTAACTTGATAGAGGTCATCTACCTTCAGCAGATTCATGTTTCATGAGGCCTGAGGTTTACACAATCGTTGAAGCCCTGTTTCAGGACAATAATGCAAAATTAGGGATTTGAAAATTGGGCAGCAGGCTTGCAAGGGGCCTGTGTAAAGTGAGGGGGCCTGAAGCTTAAGGTCCATCAGAGTCATGAGCCTCTGCCACCAGCTAGTAAGTAGTGGAAATGGAAATTCAAACCCAGCTTTGACTTCAAGGAACCTGGCATTGAGACCCCAATTCCTGTATCTTCTCATGGGAAGGTTTCGAGAAGCAATTGGGGAGGGCTTTGGTGTCAAAGCTGAATTTGTTTGAATTCTGGCTCCACCACTTCCTAGCCCTGTGCGCTGGGAAAGTTACTGACCCTCTCTGGGGGTTACTGAGGCAATAACACCCACTCCCCACAAGATTGTCAGGATTAAATGAGATACTACTGCTGGTGAAATTGTCTAGTCTACAGCAGACACACCAACCATGTTAATCTCCCTCCCCTTCCTCTGCTCCCAACAAGTATCATGTGTATATGGAGGCAAAATAAATATAGACAAGCTAGCTGGTGGAGTTTCCTTTGTGTGGGGGTGAATTCAGTAAATGCATATATATGGCAAGCAACTGTCTGCAAAAGATGCAAATCAGATCACATTGGCAGACCTTTGCCCGGTGTCTTGTCTTGGTTCAGTGCCTAGCTGTGTCTATATACAGGGGTTCCTCATTGCCCATAGACTAAGGTAGAAACTCCTTATCCTGGCATTTGAAATTTCCCACAATCTGGCCTCAACCTAATCCTCCAACATTTTGTCTTACTATGGTCCGTGCAAACCCCTCTTGTTTTCCCATGGCCTCAGCAGAAAGCTACCTCCACTCCCAGGACTTCTATTTCCTGAATCCCAAATCCTACCCATCCTTCAGGGTAAGTTCAAACCCTCTTTTGCAGTGAGCATTTTCTGCCCAATCCCAGGCCTTGGGGAATCCAGTCTTCTCAACTTGAGCCACACCTACCATATGTACCATGCATTCGAGTCTTAACCACATACTGCCTCATTTAATTCTGTAAGTTTTAGGGAGTTTGTTTTTCGTTCCAATTGCATTGTAAGTACAGAGCAGTGTGAAGGAAATAACATCAGGTTGAAAGCAGAGACTTGGCCTCTGTTTCCAACTTGTCATATAACCCCAGGCAAATATCTTTCCTTGATTCCTTTAACTCTGAAGTGAAAGAGTTGGATAAGGGAACTCTAAAATTTGTTAAAATTAGGAACCTCTCTACAGGGCTCAGTGTGGTGATACATACAAAAGCTTAGCCTGCGCAACACAGAGAGACCCTGTCTCTACAAAAAAAATTTAAAATTAGCCGGATGTAGTGGCTCATGCCTGTAGTCCTAGCTACTCAGGAGGCTGAGGTGGGAGGATCGCTTGAGCCCAGGAGGTTGAGGCTGCAGTGAGCTATAATTGCACCACTGCACTCCAGCCTGATTGGCAGAGCAAGACCCTGTCTCAAAAATCAATAAAATCAATAAAATAAAATCTCATTGAACAAATATTCAAACATTTGTTGATCACTTACACCCCAAGCACTGAGCTAGGTGCTAAAGGATGAATAACAGTAAACAAAACACGGTGTCTGCTCTCAGGAAACATACAGTGCAAGGGAAAGCCAGACATACATACTCACTTGTGAATCAAGAGCTCAGAGACCAGGAGATGTCAGACTACCCGTCCACATTGTATCTGGGAGTTACTTTGTCTCCCCACTCCACTGCCTGGACCCATGACTTCCTTCTCTGAACCCCATATTTCCCCATTCCAGCACTGCATCATGCACACCTGTGTCAATAGAGCTACCTTGCCCTCCAACCCTCCATTCACTCTGCTGGTAATCTTGAAGTCAGTCCTAAAGCTGAGGTGAAGGAGGGATCAGGAAGAGTGGTAGGGACACTAAGAACACAGCACAGAGTGATTGTTTTGATGGCTTTATTAGATGCCAAATGCTGCCTGCACACTTTACCTACTTTCGCTCATTCAGTCCCAACAATATCTCTAAGCCGTAGTTACTATCACCATCCCAGGTTTACAAATGAGGAACCGGAGGCAGAGAGAAGTCAAATGACTTGTCCGAGAGAGCAAGTAGGCGGAGGAGCTGGTTTGGAATCCAGGTAGTCTGGCTCCATAGTTCATTCTCTCTCAACGCCTACCTGAAATGACTGCTTTTCTTTTTTTTTCTTTTTTTTTTTTTTTGAGACGGAGTCTGGCTCTGTTGCCCAGGCTGGAGTGCAGTGGCGCGATGTCGGCTCACTGCAAGCTCCGCCTCCCGGGTTCACGCCATTTTCCTGCCTCAGCCTCCCGAATAGCTGGGACTACAGGCGCCTGCCACCGCACCCGGCTAATTTTTTTGTATTTTTAGTAGAGACAGGGTTTCACTGTGTTAGCCAGGATGGTCTCGATCTCCTGACCTCGTGATCCGCCCGCCTCGGCCTCCCAAAGTGCTGGGATTACAGGCGTGAGCCACCGCGCCCGGCCATGACTGCTTATCTTGCAGTGAAGGTTTAGTGAAGGTTCTCCAGCTTCCTTTTCCGCCAGCTCTGATCTATTTCCTGGAGCTACCTTGAGACAGATAGAAGGTAAAGGGCATTTTCCCTGGGAGGGAAGATCTGGAGGGTGTTAACTGGATGACAATAGCTGGATACTGCCAGTTTCCGGGTAGTCATCTTGATGCAAGGCAGGTGAACCCCAAAGAGGGGTTTAGCCCGTGAGGGTTCTTGGCTTTGCTCAGGAAAGAATTCAAGGGTGAGCTAGTAGTAGGGTAGAAGATAACAGCTTTACTGAAGTGGCAATGTTACAACTCCAGCAGCGTTACAGCCCCTCAACTGCTCCTGCAGAGCAGGGCTACCCCATAAGGCAGTGTGCTGAGAGTAGCAGCTCAGGCTGCAGTCAGATTTACACCTACTTTCAATTACATGTAACAGATTAAGGGGTGGTTTATGCAGAAATGTCTAGGAGAAGGGTGGTAACTTTTGGGTCATTGAGTCATTGCCATGGAAAGGGGCAGTCATTCTGGGGTGTTGCCATGGCAATGATACACTGACATGGTGGGCGTGTCTTTCCCACCAGTGAAGTGTCTTTCCCACTTCACTGATGGGAAAGCTGCTTCCTCTCTGTCCCTCTTTTAGTTAGTGCTCAGTTTGGTCCAGTGTCCAAGCCCCACCTCTGGAGTCGAGTCCTGCTATCTACCTCCATTTGCCCCTGAATTACACAAAGAGATCAGGGTAGAAAGAAGCCCTTGGCAACAGGAGTTCTGAGTTCCAGTCTTGGTTCGGATCTAGGAAATTTTTCCACCTTTCCTTCCTTAAAATACCAGTTTTATTCAGGAATAATTTAGATAAAACACAATTTACCAACTTTAAGTGCACATTTCAATGAATGTTGACAATTGTATATAGCCTTGTGACCACCACAACAATCAAAATATAAAACAGTTCCATCATCCCCCCAAATTTCCTCTTGCCCCTTTCTCGTCAATCCCCTCCTTCTGACCCTGTCCCCTGGTAACCTCTGATCTGCTCACTGCCGTTACAGTTTTGTCATTTCTGGAATTTCACAGAAATGGAATCATTACAGTATGTCTGGCTTTTTTCACATAGCTAATACTTTATGTATTTTTATTTTAAATTTATTTGAGAGACAGGGTCTCATTCTGTCGCCCAGGTTGAATGCAGTGGTGAGATCACAGCTCACTGCAGCTTTGAACTTCTGTGTTCAAGTGATCCACCCACCTCAGCCTCTCCAGCAGCTGAGAATACAGGACTGCACCACCATGCCTGGCTAATTTTTCTAATTTTTGAAGAGATGCGGGTTGTTGAGGGGGGTGTCTCACTATGTTGCCCAGGCTGGTCTCAAACTCCTGGCCTCAAGTGATCTCCTACCTTGGCCTCCCAAAGTGTTGGGATTACAATGGTGGGCCACTGTGCCGGGTCCACCAGAGCGAATACTTCTGAGGTTCCTCCCAGGTAGTGACTGCATCAGAAGTTTATTTCTTTTTATTGAGTAGCGTTCCATTGCATGGGTATATTGCAATTTGGTTATTCACTTTCCTGTTCACAGATATTGTGATTATTTTCTGGTTGGCTGTGATGCACGTAGAAGTCTTAGTGTGGGCATCTGTTTTAATTTCTCTTGGGTAATACCTAGGAGTGGGACTGTTGTGTGGTCGATGTATGGTGCACACTGAAATCCTTCCAGCTTTCTGAACCTCAAGTTTCCCCACCCTTAGAGAAGACAGCAGGACGAGCACAGGGTTAGGTGAGCTCCATTCCAGGAACGGAGAGGCGTGGGAGGCCCTACAATGTAGGCCTGTGTGTGCAGGAGGCAGGAGGGCGGGGTGTTTATGCAGCAGGAGCCTGTGCGTTCAGGGGGCTTGAGATGTCGGGTTCTGTGGACACAGGCAGGAAGCTTAAGAGGCTCTGCTGAGCAGGGACCTGGGGAAGAGGTGAGAGCCCTGCAGCCGGGCAGCGCTCCGAGGCTGCGCTGGCAGAAGCAGCAACCGCGGCAAAGTCGTCGGGGAACCCACTGCAGCCCTCGCCGGGCGGCGAGGCCATAGCCAGTTCCCAGCTGGACCCGTGGAGGGGCGGGGGCGGGAGAGCGGCGCCCCAGGCGGGCTCCACGAAGCTGGAGGAGACTAGGCCAGACCCTCGCCCCGCCCCTTCCCCTGCTTTCCCCTTCCCCCTCCCCTGCTTTCCCCTCCGTCCCTCCCCTCCTTCTCTCCCTCCTCCCCTCCTTCTCTCCCTCCTCCCCTCCCTCCGCCCCTCCACTCTCTTTCCTTCCTTCCCTGTCCCTCCTCCTCCCTCCCTCCTCCCCATCTACCCCTCCCCCCTCCCTCCCTCCTCCCCACCTCCTCCCTCCCTCCTCCTCCCCTCTTCTCTCCACCGACGCTGCGCAGGCCCCGCCTACAACAAGAGTCACGTGCGCGGCACGCACCCTCCCTCGGCTGGGGCTCTGGCCGCAGAATCCCGGGGGAAGAGGGTTGGGGCTGGCTGGGCACTCGGCACGGGCCGGGACCCCGCCGCTAGTAGGCGGACGCCAGGAAGGGCCAGACGGATGGCGCGGGGCGGGGCTTGTCGCGAAGGGCGGGGCCTGTTGCCAGGGCTGGCGCAGGAAACGGGCCGAGGGGCGGGGCTGCCGGCTGCCGACTGGGGTGCTGTTTACTCCTGGCGGGGGAGCTTTAACCCTCGGGCGCGGGGCGGCCGGGAAAACGCGGCGCCGGAGCCGCGGCCCCGGAGCCGGAGGTGGGGCGGGAGGGAGGGAGGGAGGGGCTGGCTGAAGACGCCCTGGAAGGCTGGGCTTTTATTTTTCTTATTTTATTTAAAAAATGTCTCGCCTGCTTTCCTTGCCGCCCACCTCCCATGCCACACACACAGACACGCGTGCGCGCGCGCACTCACACGTACACCCCCGAGTGCGCACACACGCACATACACGCGCGCACACACGACACACATACGTACACACATGCGTGCACACACGGGCGCGCTCACACATGCACAAATACACGCGCACACACACGGATACACACGCGCGCGTGCACACAAGCACATACACCCGAGTGCACTCACACGTGCGCATACACACGTACACACGCGTCACACACATACACACTCGCGCACCCACACATATACACGCGTGTACACACACGTACACACACTCGCGCACACGCCTGCGTGCACCTACACATATACACACGTGCACACACACGTACACACATGCGCACACACGCGGTAAGTGGTTGCTAGAGGCTGCGTGCACGCAGCGCTCTGGGCCCCGAGCGGCGCGTCCGGGCAACGCTGCTTGGGAGGTGGAGATCTGACACGTGTGGTCCCTGAGGGCGTCTCTGCCACTTCTCCTAATCCAGGAAATGACTCGGTGGCAGCATCGCCCTATGGTTTGTGTGCCTGCATGAGACTCCAGTCACGCACTAAGCTGATCTGAGTCTGTACTCTAGGCAGTCTGGCCTCCTACGCTTCATTTTCTAATTTATGCAGTCGATGCAAGAGTTTTCCGTAAACCGTGGAGCGCTCCACGAGGGTATCTGCATGAACACTGAGGACAGCAGGCTCAGTTGCGGTGCCTTCCTCCACGAAGTCAGTTTTCCATTATCTGAGAAATCCAGAGTAGAGAGACGCTGTGACACGTAACTTGGTAATGTCTTAATAACCACCCAGGTAACCGTTTTGCACCTGAGGAACGGAGGCTGAGAAAGGCAAAGCGGTTTGTCAGAGGTCGCACAGCTAGTGAAAGTGCACGTGTCCTTTGACTCTCAAAGGTGTCCCTTCTCCCTCGTGTAATGGACATATGTGATTTTCTCTGTCCCGCATCCCTTCCTATGGGACCTCACTTCTCTATTCCCTGTGGTTTTTTTTGGGCTGGCCACCGTAGGATTCCATCTCTGGCAACAGCGGTCCAAAGGGTGAGCGTTTTCACTGAGCAGAATCAATTACAGTCTTTCCCTGGAACTAATATATGAATGTGCGAGAGAAAAATTTGTTTTCTGCTGGTGCTGCTAAATTAGGATGTCATAGCTGGGAGCTGCCAGCAGCCATGTTCCCAAGTGCACGAGGGAAGCTCATTTTTGAGGGCTGGGGGCTCTTTTGAAGTAGGAAAAAATGGGACTGATATGAAGGAGCAAACCAGAAATGAGAGATTTAGAGAACAGACCCTACCAACTTTGTTTAAACCCAGGGTCGTGCTGTGCCTGGGGCCAGTTATACTCCTGAGTTTCCCAGTTAAGGAAGCTAACAAGTTCATTTTTTTTGCTTAAGCTAGCATGAATTCAGTTCCTGTCACTTGTCTCCAAAAACAGGCCTGACTAATAAGTTTGGCACGGTGGTATTTATTTATCCCTCAAAGAATAATGGAAATTGGGTGCTGGCCACAGCTATCACTTCTTAAGTGTTCCACTTCCCAGAATGAGTCATAGCAAGTGTGAGTCCCGTGAAAATCTAATTCTTCCTCAATATTATTGCTTTTATACACAGAAAACAATTCAACAGGCCCAAGTTAGAGATTGGACAGATAACACTTGACCTTGGGATATGATGATGGTCTGGATCGTGCAGAGGGTAAGACTGAGATTGTCGAGGTGAGATTACTAGAAGGTTTTTAGCAACATGGGGAAAGACAAAGAAGGAGAGAGAGAAAGAAAAGAAAGGAATAAAGGGGGAAGGAAGGAAAGAAAGGAAAGGAAAGGAAGAAAGAAAGACTGATAGAATAATAACTATTCTTGCCAGGCATGGTGGCTCACACCTGTAATCCGGCACTTTGGGAGGCCGAGGTGGGCAGATCACTTGAGGTCAGGAGTTTGAGACCAGCCTGGCCAACATGGTGAAACCCCATCTGTACTAGAAATACAAAAATTAGCCACGCGTGGTGGTGGGTGCCTGTAGTCCCAGCTACTTGGGAGGCTGAGGCAGGAGAATCGCTTGGACCCGGAAGGCCAAGGTTGCAGTGAGCCGAGATCGTGCCACAGCACTCCAGCCTGGGCAATATAGGAAGACTCCCTCTCAAATAATAATAATAATAATAATAATAGTAATAACTTCTATCAGTTGGTTAAAGCTGAAGGATGGAAAAGGTGAGAGGGTCAGTTTTAAAGAAGCAATTAGAGGACAGAATATGAATTGCAAGGAGCAGGGGCATTTGGAATCACAGAATCTTAGAGACAGAGTCCCTGACAGATCATTCTCCTTTCTGCTGAACAATTCCAGTGATGGACAGCTGGGTAGGTCACCAGGCAAAAGGTGGTCAGTCGTCCATGGAGAGGAGGGAGGGATGGTCTTTTCATATCCTTTGCCAGTCATGGCCATTCGAGGGGTCTGGGGATAAAATTATAAAGGCCCTATACGTACTCCTTGGGAACACATCAGGTAAACTGAGACTAGTCTGATATTGTCACCATGAAAAGAAAAAAAAATTAGATATTTTACCCTGACAGACAAAGGGGACAGGTTATTTGCTGGCTCTGTCAGCTGCTAGGCCTTTGACAAAGTTGAGAGTTGGGAAGTCAGGAGCAGGCTGTATTTCTCTACTTGAGAAAGAAAAGAAAGGAAAGGAGTAGTTAGGAAGTGAGGAGAACAAGGTCGAGGACAGCAGAAGAAAGAAGGAGGAAGAGAAAGAAACAGCAGCTATAGGCAGTAGGATTTTGGTGGGAGAAATTTGGAAAGAGGATTTTTGAAAGCTTCTTGTGTGTTGTGCAATGAAATTCCTCTTTGACTTCCTCCTATAAGAATGTCAACAAAGACATATTACTTTAAAGGCTTTTTTTCAATTGGATTTGTTTTTTCTCCTGGCTGTGTCATCCAGACACCACAAGTCTGTCTTCAGTATTTCACAGCCTTTCCAGCTAACCAAAGGTGCTGTAGCATCTTACCTCCTGTGCCTTTCCCCAATACATACAGGAGGTCAGAGTGACAATGAATACTTCCATTTATCAAATGGTGGGTTAGCACATTGGGAATGGAGTGGGTGGATGCTAAAATACATTATAGGAATGATTTTCTGGTCATTTGACTGTTAGTATTCATTTGAAGGAGCCTGGCAACTCATTGGCTAGTGAAGTGGCTCTTTGGGGTGATTAGCTTGGATCAAGAGATAAGCCACAAAGAAAGAAGGGAAATATCAGAGGAACAACAATCTAGAATGGTCTAGAAGTGGATTGAGATCTAGTTTCTATATAGGGCAGATCTTCACTCCTACCTTGGGATCTGAATTACCAAACACCTAGATGCTAGTCATTTCTTGTGCCTTCAAGAATCACTGACAGTTTGTCAGGGGTGATTTGAGAAGCAATCAATTGCAGTATAAGAGGGAGAAGGCTGGGATTTGTAAATCAACAGCTTATAAGTGAGAAGATTGTGAGATGGGCCATCTCTAAGACAAGCATTGGAAAATCAGAGTTCTCCCAGGTGGATAATATAAAAGGGTAATTGAACAGGATTTTAATAATTCACAAGACTTCTGCTCCAATGTATTATAAGGATTACTAGGGCAACATGTGGCCTAACGTCAGATGAATTGCAGGTTAGAAGAATAGTTAATATATATCATATCAAGGTAAGACTCTGGGTTTTATGGGCAAATATTGTATTGATTCTCTCCAAAAAAAACTAAAGATAAGTCTCATTCTTGGCCGGGTGCACTGGCTTATGCTTGTAATCCCAGCACTTTGGGAGGCTGAGGCAGGTGGATCACTTGAGGTCAGGAGTTTGAGACCAGCCTGGCCAACATGGTGAAACCCTGTCTCTACTAAAAATACAAAAAAATTTAGCTGGGCAGGGAGGCATGTGCCTGTAATCCCAGCTACTCAGGAGGCTGAGACAGGAGAATTGCTTGAACCCGGGAGGCAGTGGTTGCAGTGAGGCGAGACTGTGCCATTGCACTCAGCCTGGGAGACAAAGAGAGATTTCATCTCAAAGAAAAAAAAAAAAGTCTCATTCTTCCTCACCTAAATGAATTTAGGTAGGCTTATGAAACAAGGAGAAACTTTTTGCCAGTAAATGATTCAAACTTGGTGTCTTAGTCTGTTTTGTGTTGTTGTAAAGGAATACCACAGACTGGGTGATTTATAATGAACAGAAATTTATTTCCTCACAGTTCTGGAGGTTGGGAAGTCCAAAATCAAGGTGTGGGCATCTTGCAGGGACCTTCTTGCTATGTCACAACATGGTGGAAGGGCAAAGAGAGGGCAAGAGAGAGAGTGAGAGAGGCTGAACTCATCCTTTTATAAGGAACCCACTGTCATAATAAGGGCATTAATCCATTCAGGAGGATGGTGCGCTATGACCCAAACATCTTCCATTAGCCCCCACCTCCCTACACTGCTGCACTGGTGATCAAGTGAACTTTGGGGGACACATTCAAAACATAGCACTTAGAAAAATTAAACTGGAAGGAGAATCTAGGTGTTAGACCTTGCTATCTATACTGAAACTCAAGAGGGAATTTCTTTTCTTTTCTTTTTTTTTTTCTTTTTTTGAGATGGAGTCTTGCTGTGTTGCTCAGGTTGGAGTAGGGTGTCATGATCTCAGCTCACTGCAACCTCAACCTCCCAGGTTCAAGCGATTCTCCTGCCTCAGCCTCCCAAGTAGCTGGGGTTATAGGTCCCTGTCACCACACCTGGCTAATTTTTGTATTTTTTGATAGAGACGAGGTTTCATCATGTTGGCCAGGCTGGTCTCGAACGCCTGACCTCAAGTGATCTGCCCACCTTGGCCTCCCAAAGTGCTGGGATTATAGGCGTGAGCCACTGCGTCTGGCTCAAGAGGGAATTTCATGCTGTGTGTCAACCCACTTGTGCTCCCAGTGTCTTACAGACCAGTCTTGTGAAGTTGGGTATACCACTGGGGAGTGATGGAGGCCGATCTCTGATGGATGTAAGAAACTGTGCTGACTGTGAATACAATAAGATATCTGGTACAAACAGCATCCGCTATTCAATTCTGAAGGGCCAGAAGTTGTCATAAAATGATTGGCACCATTTAAAATGCTTTTAGAAACAGCCTTTTATATTTGGGGTTTTATCTGATTGGCATATGGGGTTACGGACTTTTGTTTTTTAATCTTTTCATTTTGCTTGTCAAGAGGTTGTTCAGTTGACCAACCCCACATCCTGGGCAATGGTTCGTTAGCACATTGCTGTTGTGGCCCTGTGCAAATAATAATAATAATAATTACATATAATAATTATTATTAGTGTTTCCCAATGCTTCATGGCTTTGCCATTCCACAGTATGCAGGATCACCCTGTGCGCTTTGTCAAGATCTGTGATATTTCTGCGTGATGATTGTCTCAAGATCTGGGCCATTCTTGACCATCTGGGCAGGCTGGGTTGCAGAAGGCACATCTGCCTTGGGCGGCAGTTTGCTGCTATAGAAGGATAAGGAAGAAGGATGGAATGCTCATGTGGGGCTGGCGACCAGAATGGAATATATTTGAGAGATGATGATGTTTAACAGCTGAACCAAAATGAAACTCTGGTAAGTTCACTGAAGAAAAGGCCACCAGCCCCCTTCTGTGGAGGGCTAGGGGTGATACTGCCAAGGGACGAAAGTGGTCCTTAAGAGCAAAGTTATGTGACAATAAACACACTGCAGAAAAATAACCTGTGTGTGTGTGTATGACAGGGTCTCACTCTATCACCCAGGCTGGAGTGCAGTGGCATGATCATGGTTCGCTGAAGCTTCAACCTCCTGGCCTCAAGTGATCCTCCCACCTCAGCTTCCCACCTCAGCCTCCCAAGTAGCTGGGACCACAGGCATATATGACCATGTCCAGCTAATTTTTTTTTTTTTTGAGGCAGGTCTCGCTCTGTTGCCCAGGCTGGAGTGTGGTGGTGCAATCTTGGCTCACTGCAGCATCAACCTCCCAGGCCCAAGCAATCCTCCTACCTCAGCCTCCCGAGTAGCTGGGACCACAGGCCTGTGCCACCACACCCAGCTAGGTTTTATTTTTTATTTTATAGAGACAGGGTCCCCTTATGTTACTCAGGCTGGTCCCAAACTCCTGGGCTCAAGTGATCCTCCCACCTTGGCCTCCCAAAGTACTAGGATTACAGACATGAGCCACTGCACCTGACCCAGTAAAATAACTATTACATGTTGATTTGGACCCAAGAAACTAAAAGAGGAATGTCAGGGGTGAGTATTCCCAATGTGCACTTTCCTGCCAATTCTTCACTTCTTTTTTTTGTTTTTTGAGACACAGTCTCTCTCTGTTGCCCAGGCTAGAGTGCAGTGGTGTAATCTTGGCTCACTGCAACCTCTGCCTCATGGGTTCAGGTGATTCTCCTGCCTCAGCCTCCCAAGTAGCTGGGATTACAGATGTGTGCCACCATGCCATGCTCAGATAATTTTTGCATTTTTAGTAGAGACAGGGTTTCACCATGTTGGCCAGGCTGGTCTCGAACTACTCATCTCAAGTGATCTGCCCACCGCCTCCCAAAGTGCTGGGATTACAGGTGTGAGCCACCACACCCGGTCCAATTCTTAGCTTCTTATTGGCTATTTTACTTCTGCTGTATCTCTCCTCCTTCTCTTTTGGGAGCCCCCAATCAGTTTCTCTGGTACCATTTGTTATCCAAGGGGTCAGATAACTTCAGGCTTCTCCTCGGGGTCATCTTGTAAGTCTAAGGTTCTCGGTGCTCTGCCATATAGTTTAATATTATTATTATTGTTGTTATTATTACTATTATTTTTTTTCGAGATGGAGTTTCACTCTTATTGCCCAGGCTGGAGTGCAATGGTGCGATCTCAGCTCACTGCAACCTCCACCTTCCGGGTTCAAGTGATTCTCCTGCTTCAGCCTCCCTCGTAGCTGGGATTACAGGTGTGTGCCACCATGCCCAGCTAAGTTTTTGTATTTTTAGTAGAGATGGGGTTTCACCATGTTGGCCAGGCAGGTCTCAAATTCCTGATCTCAGGTGATTCACCCACCTCAGCCTCCCAAAGTGCTAGGATTACAGGTGTGAGCCACCGTGCCCGGCCATTTAATGTTATTTATTTCTTTCACAGCTCTGTTATCTCCCTTGTGAGTGGGAAAAACTGGCCACTGAATTTAGCCTCTGTTAAGAACCTTCTATGAGAAGAGTATTCCTGCAGAGGCTGTAGTGTGGTACCCTAAGGGAGAGGGTCTCCCAGTGAGATTGGGGACTACTCAAATTCTGTCTGTTGAGTTGAGCTGAATTGGTGTTTTCACCATGTGGTATGTTCCTGGACCTGGTCTGCTTCAGAGGGAGAGCCAGGTCTAGATTTTGTTTTTCTTTTTTCTTTTCTTTTTTTTTTTGAGATGGAATCTCACTCTATTGCCCAGGCTAGAGTGCAGTGTCACAATCTCAGCTTACTGCAGCCTCTGCCTCCTGGGTTCAAGCCATTCTCCTGCCTCAGCCTGCTGAGTAGATGGGACTACAGGCATGTGCCATCACGTCTGGCTAATTTTTATATTTTTAGTAGAGACAGGGTTTTGCCAGGTTGGCCAGGATGGTCTCAAACTCCTGACCTCAAGTGATCTGCCCGCCTCAACCTCCCGAAGTGATGGGATTTCGGGCATGAGCCACTGTGGCTGGCCATGTCTAGATATTCTTTAACCTGTGCATAAATCTTTTCCTTGGCTTCCCACTCCTCCCGTCTTAGTTACGAGCTCCTCCCTGGGGCCACAAGGTAGGATGAAGCCTCAGCTGATTCACCCCCAAAATGGTTCTGTTCTGGATTTTATCATCATGGCCTGAGCAGTGAGATAAACATAATTTTAATCCCCACTTTTAATGCACTCACTAGAAAGCAGACAGGGTTGTTCCAGAATGGATTTCCTGTGTCATAGAAACCACAGAAGCATAAAAGGGAAAAACCAGATGTGTACACTGAGCCTGCCCAGGCTTACACATTCCTTCATACCAAGAGTCATAGGGCCTTATGTTCCCTGTTCCCAAAGCCAGTTCATTTTCCCCCTTTTTGAATATGGACATTTGCTCAAATTCACTGAGTTTCAGAGATAGGAGGAAGGAGACACAGATCTGGGTGTTTATGTGTTTGGGTGTACACGTGGCCATCTTTACACATATGGGGTCTTGGTGTGAAAATGTCACTGTGCAGATCAAAGCAAGAAATTTGAGGGATACCCTTAGCCTTTGAACACCTATTTGCAACCTATCCATCCTTTCTCTTCAATGGAATGCAAAGCCCACTTCGTCCAGAAAAGCCTTACAGATTGAGTAGATTAGAGAGAAGATGCTATTGGCCCCAGGGCACACTTGCCCCACCACTTTCTCTTAAAATTCCTGACTCTTGTGCTTCTTAGAGTGAAAATACTTCCAGTGGGTGCTGGGCCTGTTTTTGTCCACTAAGATACATTGTAATTTCTTCAATCAAAAGAAAAGCACAAAGTATGCCACAGATGCAACATTAATAGTATTATTCTTTTCATTTGAAACTCACAGCATGGTTTGAGATTGTGGTATGAAAGCTTTGTTTAGAACTGTGGCTCACGAGCCAGGTGTTGTGGCTCAGACGGTAATCTCAGCACTTTGTGGGGGCCGAGGCGGGTGGATCACTTGAGGCCAGGAGTTCGAGACCAGCCTGGCCAACATGGCGAAAACCCGTCTCTACTAAAAATACAAAAATTAGCCAGGCACGGCTAGGCGCAGTGGCTCACGCCTGTAATCCCAGCACTTTGGGAGGCCAAGGCGGGAGGATCATTAGGTCAGGAGATCGAGACCACGGTGAAACCCCGTCTCTACTAAAAAATACAAAAAAATTAGCCGGGCGACGTAGCAGGCGCCTGTAGTCCCAGCTACTCGGGAGGCTGAGGCAGGAGAATGGCGTGAACCCGGGAGGCGGAGCTTGCAGTGAGCCGAGACCGCACCACTGCACTCCAGCCTGGGCGACAGAGCGAGACTCCGTCTCAAAAAAAAAAAAAAAGAAAATCAGCCAGGCACTTGGGTTGCATGCCTGTAATCCCAGCTACTTGGGAGGCTGAGGAAGGAGAATCACTTGAATTGGGGAGGTAGAGGCTGCAGTGAGCTAAGATCATGTCACTGCACTCCAGCCTGCAGTGAGACTCTGCAGTTTAGACAGAGCAAGGCTGTCTCAAAAAAGAACTGTGGATCACAGAGGTAATGTGGTCCCTAGTCTAAGTGAATGAGAAGCATAGCGGCGAAGAATTTAGTATCTGGCATCCTGATGGGCAACTTTTTGGAAGTCTAACCAGACCCTTGATTCATGATTATTTATTGAGTGTCTGCTATATGCCAGACACTATTCTAGAAGCTGCGGATATAGCAGTAAGTAAAAGCAAAGTCTCTACTGTCATTGAATTTGTAGTTGAGTGGATGAGACGGACTATCAGGCAGTCATGAGTGCAAATAAGAGAAAAAAGGCCAGGCAAAGGGGCAGTTCAGTGGTGGTATTATAGTTATGTATCTTACAATGAGTGCATTGGAGCAGGACCTGAATCAAATGATGGAACAAGTTCCATGGGTATCTGGAAGAAGATCATTCCAGCTCAAGGAACAGCCTTGGAAAGGCTGAGTTAGGAGTGGGGTTGAGGAAGAGTAAGGGGGCCAGTGTGGCTGGAACTTCAGGAGCCAGGGAAGAGCGGTGGGGTGGTAGGACTCGAGAGCTGATTGGGACAAAGATCATGTAGGGTCTTGCAGTGAGTGACATGGGAAGCTGTTGGAGTTTTGAGCAGAAGAGTGATATGATCTGACTTAGGTTTTTTTTTTTTTGAGACAGAGTCTCACTCTGTCACCCAGGCTGGAGTGCAGTGCACGATCTTGGCTCACTGAAACTTCTGCCTCCCGGTTTCAAGCAATTCTCCTGCCTCAGCCTCCTGAGTAGCTGGGATTACAGGCGTGCACCACCATGCCCGGCTAATTTTTGTATTTTTAGTAGAGATGGGGTTTCACCTTGTTGGCCAGGCTGGTCTCGAACTCCTGGCCTCAAGTGATTCACCCGCCTCGGCCTCCCAAAATGTTGGGATTACAGGTGTGAGCCACTGCGCCCAGCCTGACTTATGTTTCAAAAGAATCTTTGTGGCTTCTGGGATGTTGAATAGACTTTTAGAAAGGCAATAGAGAAAGCACGGAGACCAGGGGGAGCCCATTGTGGAAGGCCAGGCTAGAGAGATGGTGGCTGGACCAGGGAAGTTGTGCTGGAAATGCTGGAACATTAATTAATTCTGGATGTATTTCACTAGAACCAATGGGATTTTCTGATGGATTAGATATGGAGTATAAGAAAATAAAAAAATAATAATAAAAAAGGAGTTAAGGATGATTCCAAGTTTTTGTTTGTTTGTTTCCTGAGCAACTAGAAGAAGGGAACTGCAATTTACTGAAATGGGAAGGAGCAGATTTTAAAGGGAAATCAGAAGTCTGGTTTTGGACACGGTACATTTGAGATCTGATTAGACATCCAAGTGGAGATGCTAAGTAGGTAACTGGTTTTAAGAGTCTGCAGCTCAGGAAACCAAGTAAGGTATAAATCAAGCCTCTGGTGGAGCCTGAAGCCTCAGTTCATTCTGTTGGCCTCATCTGCTCTAAATATATGGGCAAGAGGTCTTCAGTATCCCAGGAATCTACTGAGCATCTGAGGCATGCTTTGAAGCAGGGATCACCTGCACCATGGAATAACTCTAATCTGTCCCCCATATGCAACCGGCTATTCATTTATTAACAAATGTTTATTAAGTACCTACTACAGGCCAGGTGTGGTGGCTCATGACTGTAATCCCAACACTTTGGGAGGCCGAGGTGGGAGGAACACTTGAGCCCAGGAGTTCAAGACCTGGGCAACATAGTGATACTGTCTCTACAAAAATTTTTGTAAAACATTAGCTGGGTGTGCTGGCATGTGCCTGTAGTCCCAGCTACCCAGAGGCTGAGGCAGGAGGATTGGTTGAGCCCATAATTTGGAGGCTGCAGTGAGCTATGATGGTGACAGAGTGAAGCCCTATTTCACACTCAAAGAAAAGTGCCTACTACATGCCAGCCACTGTACTAGGTATTGGGTATACAATGGAAAACAGGACATACTCCCTGTACTCACAAAATATTTAGTCTTTTGAGGCATTGGGACAAGAAAATGGAGATTTCAGTGCAATGAGTCACAGTGCTTTGGACACATGGGAGGGGCACCTAGTTCCAGTCTTGGAGGCCCATGAAAGCATTTCAGAGAAAATGCTATCTAGGTTGACCCCTGAAGGATGAGCAGAGATAGCCAAGTAAAGAGGTCAAAGGGTAGGGTAGAGAGTGTTCTAGGCAGAGAAAACGGCATGTAACAAGCAGAGAAAGTCTGTTCAGGCAAAGAACAGAAGATCAGTTGGGCATCTGGAGTGCCATGTGAGGGGTAGAGGCAGAGGGGCAGGTAGAGGCTGGAGATGTCACTGGAAGGCACACCATGAAGGACCTTAATGTGCAATGTTGGGACTTTATTATCAAAGCCATTAAAAGCTTTTGAGGAGTTTTAAGCAGAGGCAAGAGGTTGAGGAAATAGAGTGGATTGTGGGGAGGCAAGCCTGGAAGCAGTTGCATCCGGGAGTTGGGAGGGTGGCAATCTCAGACTCTTACTGCTCTAAAATAGCACCTATAAATGAGTCCATAGCATATGAAGCAGGGAAGGGAGGTGGGACCTGCGTCTGCTGTGCTTAATCTCAGCTAGTGGGAGACACTCTCCAAAGAGCTAATTACTTAATGGAAATGAGGCAGAAGATAACTACATTTTTTTTTTTAAGGGACAGGGTCAGCTGGACGCAGTGGCTCATGCCTGTAATCCCAGCACTTTGGGAGGCTGAGGTGGGTGGATCACCTGAAGTCAGGAGTTCAAGACCAGCCTGGCCAACATGAAACCCTGTCTCCACTAAAAATACAAAAATAAACCAGGGATGGTGTTACCCAGGCTGGAGTGCAGTGGTTTCAGTCATAGCCCACTGCAGCCTCCAACTTCTGGGCTCAAGTGATCCTTCCACCTCAGCCTCCAGGTAGCTGGGACTAGAGGCATGTGCCACCATGCCTAGCTAATTTGTAAATTTTTTTTGTAAAGACAGGGTTTCCCTGTGTTTCCCAGGCTGGTCTTGGAACTCCTGGCCTCAAGTGATCCTACTGCCTCAACTTCCCACAGTGCTGGGATTATGGGCATGAGCCAATATACCCAGCCTGCCTACATTTTAACAGGGTGTGGGAGAAAGCAGGGTGAAGGGCAGTTCTGAGATGGGACAGTCCCCCAGGAAGGGCAAGCCTTAGTCATTTATAGGGGAAGGGGGAAGAAGAGGGAATGAGACTGGAAACCAAAAAGTGATTGTCTTTGTAAGTACGTCTTGCTTTGTGTAATGTGAGTGTTGTGCACTGTGTATTCAGGTCAGGGCCTGGATTCTGTGTGAAGGTGCTGAGCGCTGTGTGTGTTGGGAATGGATGTTTGTATTGGGATGATTTCTCTACATCTGTGTTAATGTGCAAAACTCTGGAATGCATACTGTGCAAGTACCTACCTGCAGTAAAGAGATATGCATCCAATTTATGCAGAGAGAGAGCATATGTCCTTTGAAGGCCTGTGTTTGCAAGACACAGTCTCAAACATAACAAGTTCTCAAACAGAACAATTCTGTTGAAATGTAGAGACTATTTTGGCTCACTTTGCACGTAAGACGCACTCATGTATTTGTCAAACGAATGAGTGTTTTGGTTTTATTAAAGTGCAATCATTTAAAGAAATATATAGGTGTGGTTAAAAGCTTAAACTAGATGTTTTAGGAAGAATAAATTGGCTGGGCACAGTGGCTCAGGTCTATAATCCCAGCACTTTGGGAGGCTGAGGCCAGAGGATTGCTTGAACCCAGGAGTTAGAAACCAGCCTGGGCAACATAGTGAGACCCTGTCTCTCAAAAAATAAAAAAGTTAGCTGGGCATGGTGGTGCACGCTCATAGTCCCACCTACTTAGGAGGCTGAGGTGGGAGGATCGTTTAAGCCCAGGACATTAAGGCTGTAGTGACCTGTAATCCGCCACTGCACTCCAGCCTCAGTGACAGAGTGAGGCCCTGTCTCAAAAACAAACAAACAAAAACGAAAGAATAAATTCACAACCAGACACCAACATCCATTGATGAATCCTAGCAGTTTAAATCCTGTTATGGAGTTTACATACTAGTCCTACCTCATGTAAGAAACATTCACTATTTCATTTCACTCAATAAACATTTCCTGAACACCTTAGTCTCAAAGGCAAGCCCTTGGCTTTTGCTGCCGGACTCATTTCCCTTTTCTCTGAACCACTTTACTCTGGGTGTTGCAATTAGAGCATAATTATATGTTATCTTGTATTGTTCCCTAATTGTTGCATGTGCATTAATCCACTTCCTCAGAGGCTGTATAGTCCTTGGGGGCAGGGACTATATTACAAACCTCAGGATAGGTGAGGAATTTAGCAGAGAGGTAAATATATAGAAGTAAGTAAACACCCACTGTTTGAAGAAAAATGGAAACAAGAACATAAAACTATTCATGAACTGTAGTAACATGTAACATACAAAAATACCTTAAAAATAAGAGAGGATACATTGTTAACTAACAAAACTATTCATTTTTTTTGGAGAGAAGAGGTCTTGCTGTTGCCCAGGCTGGTCTCGAACTCCTGGCCTCCAGTGAACCTCCCACATCGGCCTCCCAAAGTGATAGGATTACAGGCATGAGCCACCTTGCATGGCCTAAATATTCCTTGAATAATTAAATATAAAATTTCAGTCTGCATTTTCATATTAATGTAATTGAGGTGATCCCCACAACGTTTTGTTCCTCTTCTTAGTGCAAACCAGAAATGTTTCCTTAAGGGTGAGAGTTAAAGGGTAGAACCAGTCTTTGCTGAATTACTGGGTAGCAGGATTATTCTATAGCGGGACTTCTCAATGGCAATACCAGCATTTTTTTGGACTATACAATTCTTTGTTGTGGGGGGCTGTCCTGTGCACAGTAGGATGTTTAGCAGCCTCCTTGGCCTTTACTCATCAGATGTCAGTAGCACCCCTCTCCCAATTGTGACAATCAAAAACGTCTCCAGACATTGCTGTCTCATCACCCCCAGCTGAGAACCAGTGTCCTATAGAAATTTTGGTTCTAGTTAGATAATGTTCTTATTTCACAAATGGTGGGAGATGGAGGAAGGGAAATAATACTTATTTGCTATGAGCTAGACACACTTATCTATGTTATTCCATCTTGGGGCAGATGAAGAAGCTGGGGTACAGAGAGTGGAAGAACCTGCTGGAGATCATAAAGTGAATGTAGCTCAGTCAGGACTGCAAGCCGGTTTGTCTGACTACAAAGACTTTAGCCCTTTTCCCGGACACTCCCACTGACTCTTTGCCAGAAAAACAGCACACCTTAAATCCAAGGTGAACTGCAAATTCAAACATTATGTCCAACACAGATTTTAAAACCTTTTTTGGGGGAAAGGAATTACTACCTTTGGAGTCATTAAATTCGCTTGAATAGAAATATTGATGCCCACACATATATAGACACGGGGCCCCCTCACTACCGTTGTGGCGCTGGTCTTATCTCTGAAAAACACAGAACAACACAATGGAACAACTTCAATTCTCCTTGTTACAAATTATCCAAAAGCCAGAGCCTAACGGTGCCAAAAGCAACCGGTCTTGTTTACGTAAGGATTGAAGGCTAACAGTTAACTTTCTCCCATTTAATTCCAGCAACAGTAAATAACGCCTCACTTTACACCGACAGAGGAGTGAGATGTCATGAAATGGGGAAGAAAACATTGAGTCCAAAGGAAAATGGGAAGGCGCTTTCCAGCCTCCTCCCACTAGCGCGGGCATGGGCGCTTGGGGCGGCTGGGGCTGCGCCGCCTGGGTCCCCCAGGCCCCAGCCGAGCTCCCGTCCGCGGCGCCCCAGCTGTCTGGCTCCCTTCCCGCCCTGGGTCGAGCCCGGCCCCTCTCGGAGGAGCCTGTCCCAGAGGCAGGCCTGGAAAAACAACAGCGAGAGAAACTTTGGCTCGGTGCGAAAAGCCAAGCCTCAAGTTTGGCTCCGGGCTGCAGCTGCCGGTTCCGATCGAGGGGCGGGGCGGGGTGTGTGTGTGTGTGTGTGGAGGGGGGGGTCACCACTCGGTCAGGTTCAAGTGCGCATGTGCGCGAGGAGTCGCTCGGGCACTTATTGAGCGCCGACTGTCTACGGGCGGCCGGGGGTGTGTAGCCCAGGCGCGCTGGGGGCGTGCTGGGCGGGTGCGGGGGCGCGGAGGCGCGGGGGGCGGGCGGGGGTGTGTCCCGAGTGTCGCCGCTGGGCGCCGGCTGGCAGGGGCTGGCGTGCTGCTCCGCTCCCTTCCCGGGCGGGAATCCGGGCCGGGTTGTGGCCGCGGCCGCGTACGTGAGCGCAGTGTCCCGGGGAGGAGGGCAGGCCGGCCAGGTGGGCGCCAACCGAGCCTCGGCGGGCGGCCGGAGCGGAGCCGGGCCGCGGGCCGCGCCGGGAGGGCGGGCAGGGCCGCGGCCGCTGCAGCCCGGAGCTGAGCTAGCCGTCCGAGCCGAGCCGTCCGAGCCGGGGAAGCCGGGCGCGTGCTGCCGCTCGTGGCGGGCCGAGGTGAGCTGCGCGGGGACCTAGCGGCGCGGCAGCCGGGGACGGGGGCGGCCGCGAACTTCCCACGCCCCGCGCGCCCGCGGCTGTCGGGCCGGCGGCCTGGGGGGTCCGGGGGTCTGGGAGGCCGGGGCCGCGGCGGGCGGGGCGCGGGACGCTGCGGCAGGGCCGGGGTGGCGGGCGGGGTGGCTGCCGCTCCCGCGCGTCGCCTTGTTTACCTCGCCCTCCGCCGGCGCCCCCACTCTCGGAGCCCCCTCCCGACTTCGGGCAGTCGGGACTCGCCCCTCGCAGGGACAGGGACCGGCCCGCCTGCCCCTCCCCGGCCCTTTCCGGCGGGGCCGCCCGCCCGGCCCTCCCGCGCCCGGCCCTCCCGCGCCCCGCGCGTTTCTGCCGGTTCCTGCCCACTCCGGCCGGCGCGCGAGGCCAGGCTGCGGGACGGGCGGGACAGAGGGACACACCCTCCGCCCGCGGGCGACCCGCGTCCCTCCCGCCCTGGCGGCCACCGCCCCCTCTGCCCGCACGCTCTCGCCCGGTCCCGCCTCCGCCCGCGCCCCTGGCCCTCCCCGGCGGTGGCACCGTGGGCTCACGCGGGTGCCCGGGGGGGGGGCGGGGCTGCACAGGGAGTTTGTCTTGTGCAAACAATTTCCAAGGCAGCGTTTTCTTCCCTGCCTGGGAGTGCAGGGCTCAGCGCCTTCACTTTGGAACTGACTCAGAGACCTAAAGAAGCCCACCTGGCCAGCGGGAAGGGGGGCCGCCGCCGCCTCCCGGTTTTGGGCAGCCCTGGCCAGCTCCCTGTGGCCTTGGAGGACTTCCACCGGGCAGGCGTTCCCATGATGCCAGGCTACCAGGCGCGGGGGATTCCTGCAGGCCGGCGCTGCTTTTCTTAGAACCCCCTTTCTAGAAAAGTACACCTGGGGGTTTTGCTTCAAAGTGAGTGATCCACAGGTATCTAAGGCCTTCTTGACACCCTCCCTAGGCGTTGTGTAAACAGAAGCACCTGGTCGCAAACACCTCGAAACACAGGGAAACATGGCCATTAAGTTCAACTCCACAGGTCCTGTCAGGGAGCTGCTGTGCTCTCAGCACGGTGCCAGGCCCTCTGGGAGGTGGGAGAGGCACCGAAGAGACCCCAGGCTTCAGGAAGCCTAGGACTAGGTGGAAGTGATTTAGGAGTTTACGTTCAAGTTAATGTGCAGTGGCTGCCTGAGTTAGTGGAGATGCTGGAGAGGGAGTATATCAGATAAAGGAAAAACGAGATTGGGGAAGGGACTTGGAGTACTAAGTTTTGAAGTAAATTATGCCTGTGGAGAGTAACTCACCCGTAGGGCCCAAAGACAAGAGGAGAAGAAAGTAACAGGTGGGATAATTTACAAAGTGGAGCAGAGGAGCAGAGGCTCATACCTGTCTCGGGGAGAGAGGAGACAGAAGGTGTAAGAGATGATTCCCTCCCTCCAGGGCTTCTGCCCTCATAGAGGGGACAGAAGGATGTCAGCATGTGAAATCAGACGCCAAGAGAGGGAATGGTAACTGTCAAAGTGCGAGGTGCAGAAATAGTTCTGTTGGAGTCAGAGAAGGGAGTTGTGGGCAGGGATCAGTCACCAGGACTGGAGGCTGACGCTGTTGAGATAGGCTGTGAGGTGGGAATGAACATGGCTTTCCAGAGAGACAAGGAGATGTCCTTAGCCATACCAGGGAATGTATCCTGAACAGTAGGAGATAGAGGTGGAGAGGAACAATGGTTGAGATTGTGAAAGTCTTAGCCCTTTTGGTGATTGCATGCCACCCTGTGTGTCCTAAGGAGACATTCAGGGTTTTTGAGTGAGGGAATGGTGTAATGAACAACTGTAATGGAAGGGTTTTGGAAAGTTGTGTTAGGGGGACACATCAGTGAGCAGGCTGTTGGAGTTGCAGGGTGGCCAGAGTTTGCACTGGGATCACTGGAAGTGAAAAAGGTGGGTTTGAGAAACATTACTGTTGAAATAATCTGTTTACAGGGCAGGGTGAAGGGATGAGATGAATGGAAATTAATTCTTGGTGGAAATTGATTCAACGCCAGGGCCTTGGAGCTGCTGTAGTTGGTAACTTGAGAAATCGGAAATGTGTATTTTGGAGAGAAGGAATTGGCTACTCAGGCTATAGAGAAGTTTCTTGTGGCTGCTAAGATATCCAGATGTTAGTGTCCTGCAAGCAGCTATGGCTCTGAGATGGGGGAGCCCAGGGGGGACAGTGTTGCAGAGGCTACAGATGCCGGGAGAGGGAAGGGGCTCAGAGAAGTGGGGAGGCTGCTGGTAATAGGGGGGCAGCGGAGGATGCCTTTGAGTGGTACTCAAGGCCTGAACCGAGGGGCTTCTGTTTCCCTCTGCTGCACTGCCATTCACATGACATTGCTCGGTTCTGAACCTGAAGTTGGAAAAGCAACTGTGGGCAATTGGGCCCTGAGGAGTATGGGCTGTTGATTCTTCTAATCTCGAGGGTGGATTGGAGGTTAGAACGGTGTAGAATGGGATTTGCTAAAGACAGTAAATTGCTGGGCTTTGAAACATTTTGAACTTTTCTGGGGTGGAGGGTTGGAGGGTAGGAGAGAGAGAGTGAGGCAGGAAGACATTAGCCCTAGGGATATTGTGATTCCCAGGGCTGTTCCAACCAGAGCCTGGCACCCTGCAAGTAGAGGGGAGCTGGTGCTTTTTTTCTTGAGCTCTGTTCATGTTGCAAGGGTGACACAGGGTGATTTGCTGAACAAATTCCCCAAGCCTCAACTTGCAACATCTGAATTTGAATGATGATTGCAAAAAGTTGTGGAATGAGCTGAGAATGTAATTACTGTTACTTAGCCTCCTTGTTTCTCTGAAATGCAAGATCAGTGAACTAGTAGAAGAGGACTTGGGAATCAGATATTTTTCTTTATAGAGTGTGTCTGATTGTCCAAAGAATAATTGCATGAAGCAGTGGTCAAGCTAATTTACTCATTGTAAAGCAGTGTCTGTACTGTTTTGACTGTGACTTACATTAAGAAATGAAATTTACATCGTGACCTAGTACATACAATCATGTATATAAAAATCTAATCTAAGTTCATAAAGTACCTACCTCCCTTTGCTTGGTGTCATCTCTGACATTTCTATTTTCTAGTCTATTATTTTTCATTTAAAAACCTCTTGTCTCCCACTAAGTTGATCTAATCGTTCTCTAATGGATCATAACCCACAGTTTGAAAAATAGAGAGTTTTCGCATTCAGTGAGTATTTATTAAGCTGTTTGAAGAGCTACTGTAGTACTGAAGGTGGAAGAAAGCATGAGGAAGGGTGGAAGACTTACAGTCTCTTTGGAAAGATGAGAGACACCTTGATTAAGGAGCAAGCCAAGATGATTAAATGCCAACATAAAGAATAACTACCTGTGGGGTTCAGAGGAGTGGGGCGTGTTCTGTGCTGGTGGGGCTTGGAAAAACGTTTAGGGACAAGGAAGGAAGTCTGGGATGAACTGTTTTTGGTGTCTCAGGGTGCTGCAGATGTGGGGAGGTATAGAGTGGGCAAAGCCTTGGAGTTAGGAAAGTGTAAAGTCTATGATTGTGTGAGAGAGAAGAACAGAGGGTTCTTGTTAGAGATTAGGGAGAAATCAAGTTGTTAAAGTGGGCTGGGGTCACATATAGGGCAAAGGTTGTAAACCGGTGGCCAGGGAGTGTTTTAAGCATATGGATGTGTTCTAGTTTGGACTACATAAAGGTGTTTAAAAATTGGGGGAAAAAATACAGAAAAATCTCTGGATTTGCAGCTCTTTTAAAGAGTCAGATCTGGTGTTCATCTCAAGCTGAGAAGGCTGTCCCCTATGGACAGGAGACAGGCTTGTGGTCCCCGGGCTTCCTTTTGCCTCAGTCCAGTCACTTTCCATTCTTCACTTAGTCCTGTAGGCGTTTTGCTTTGCGACCTGAGTTTTCAAGAGACTCGAATGCTGGGCCAGGAAATTCGGGATTGCTGTCATGGGCTCTGGGTGGCCACTGAGGATTCCGGGTAGGAGTGTGGCATTATGGAATCTGAGATATTTCTGTGCACCGGATTTGTTTTAGGCAAGTCAATAGCACTTTTTGAGGAGCTGCTGGCTGGGACTTTGAAATATTTTTATGATGATGGGAATGGAATTATAGAGGGCTTTGACCTGTGTTCTCCGTAGTAAGGCAAGTTTCAAGTGACCCCAAGATTTCTCCAGCCTTTCCATTTTCCGCTTCTGGCTGGCAGGGATCTCTGAGAGTGATGTCGAGGTCATACCTTGGTGAGGTGTGAGTCACAGCCATCAGGTGCCATATGACGTACAATTCTCAGGAGCCTGGTATTGATCCAAATGGCTCCCAGCAGACGAGGCTGATTTGGGGTCCAGCTGAAGTGACTAAGTTCAGGACTCTGTGACCTAGAATAGTCTGATTTACCACCCAAGACTAAGAGCTCGTCCCAGATGAGCCACTGGTGAGAGAGACTGACAAATAGTACCCTGATGTTTACAGGTGGGACTAAAATCAGTTATTTAAAAATACTGATCCGGCTGTAGTGGCTCACACCTGTAATCCCAGCACTTTGGGAGCCTGAGGCAAGAGGATTGCTTGGACCCTGGAGTTTGAGACCAGCCTGGGCAACATGGTTGAGACCCTGTCTCTACAAAAGATAAAAAATCTAGCTGGGGCTGGGCGCGGTGGCTCACGCCTGTTATCCCAGCACTTTGGGAGGCTGAGGCGGGCGGATCACGAGGTCAGGAGATCGAGACCATCCTGGCTAACGCAGTGAAACCCCGTCTCTACTAAAAATACAAAAAATTAGCCGGGCGTGGTGGTGGGCGCCTGTAGTCCAAGCTGCTCGGGAGGCTGAGGCAAGAGAATGGCATGAACCCCGGAGGCAGAGCTTGCAGTGAGCCGAGATTGTGCCACTGCACTCCAGCCTGGGCGACAGAGCGAGACTCCGTCAAAACACACACACACACACACACACACACACACACACACACACACACTAGCAGGGTGTGGTGGTGCATGCCTGTACTCCCAGCTACTCAGGAGGCTGAGGCGGGAGGCTTGCTTGAGCCCTGCAGAAGGTGGAGGCTGCAGTGAGCTGAGATCACGTCATTGCACTCCAGCCTGGGCAACAGTGAGACCCTGTCTCAAAGAAAAAGTATACTGCTTTTGAAACATTAACAAAATGAAACTGAAGTGCATTTTAACAATGTGTGGCTATCGGATGCAAGGATAACCAGAAGCCAGCTGAATCGTATCAAATTAAATCTATTTCCTGTCTTATATGGTGGTTTGTTTACTAGGCCAGAGAATAGTGCAGCAACTATGGTACATTTTGGCTTCAGTAAAGTATTTAACAGTTTTTTGAGGTATGATGGTCCTTATTAAATCATAAGTGGTAAGACGTGGGCTGGATGGTGTTATTAATTTAACAATCCTATGTGAAACTGTTAATTATTGGCACTGAGGCAGCCTGGAAGGAGATCTGAAAATGAGTACAGTAGGGTTCTATTCTTGGCCTTGATCTGTTCAACATTTTCCCAGTGTTGGCGGTGAAGACAGAGAAGGCGCGCTCATCAGATTTGTTAGTGGCGCAGAAGTGAGAGGAATTGCTGGTTTTGCAGACAAATCAAGGTTCAGTCGTCTAGAATTAGGAGTGCAAATTAAAAAGAAAACAGAAAAAAATTCAGTAAGGGATGAATTTAAAGTCTGATTTAGGTTTAAAAATTTGAATTGTAGCGTTTTGAGATTTTCAGTATCCTGATAAGATAATACCACTTCTGGGGATGTAGCTGAGACCATATCCACAATGTAGATGATGATTTATGCACAGAGATTATTCAGAGATTTTTTTTTTTAAACTCTAGTAAAAACTTGGGAATAACCTAAATATCCAATGGTGTGGGCTAGAGGTAATAAATAAGTGAATTCTGATATCTTTAAAATAGAATGTTATGAAGTCATGAAAAATAATGTTTAGGAATAGCTTTAAAATAACAGGGAAAAATGTTTTTGCCAAAAGTTAAGGGACATCTACAGTGTGACTTCAAATGTTAAAAAAGCAATGTGTTTAGAAAATAATTGGAAGGAAATACACCAAAATAGTATATCAAAATACAAATACCAGTTGCTTCTGGTTGGGTTGAGGCATGCAGCTTTTTTTTTTTTTTTTAACGTTTGTATTATTTGTCTTTTCTAGTTGTGTATGTATTCCACAGTGGGGACATCTGCAATTTTTAAAACTTTTTATGGTTCAAGGACAAGAAAGGGTAAAGTAGATGATTCATTCAGTGATTAATCTTGAGTGCCTGCTCGCTGTGTCAACCTCAAGGTCAGAAACTAGAGTCACAGTGGAAGACAGAGTCTTTGACCCCAGGTTGGCACAGGTCCACTGAGGAGGGGCAGGGCATGGAGAAAAAAAGCGTTGGGATTTTTCTGTTGTTCATCAGTTCAGTGTGAGCCTTCAGTGGATGAGGCTTTTATTTTTATTTGTTTCTATTTTTATTTTTTTCAGAGAGTCATGAGTCTTGCCATGTTGTCCTGGCTGGATTCGAACTCCTGGGCTGAAGCGATCCTTCTGCCTCAGCCTCCCAAGTGGCTGGGTCTACGCACATGGGCCACTGAGCTTAGCTCTAAGATATGGCTTTTAAAAAATTGAATGCAGTTTATAACAGGATCAGAAATTCAGTGATCTAATCATAAGATCTAGTCTTAATGACCTTGGCTGGTCAGGTGACATTTGGACCCTGGAGAGCCAAGAGTTAATAGGGATATGAGCAAGAAGACTTGATCCTGGAAAGGAGAGTAGGATGCTGTAGGATAGGGAATAACTAAACTGTATTCATGCATTGGGTACACAGTAGCACCTTCAAATATTTTCCTGGTTATCAGACATAGGAAGGAGGAGACGTTCATTTTTACTCCTGGTGTTCGAATACAACCAATAGATGAAACAGTCACTTTATTCTCTGTAGCTGCAGATTCCTAATTTATGGCATGATTACATGATTCCTTGTCTGTAGAATGATCAGCGATCATGCTGAAGTTGATAGACTTTGAGGTCCCCTTTGACCCGAAAGACTGGGACAGCAGATTTCAGTTCAATATGAAAAAGGATTTTCTAGCTGGCAGATCTGTCCAACAGAAGAAATGTCTGCCCAGGAAGTAGTGAGCTTACGGCTGTTGGCGGTATTCAAGTAGGGCTGAATGCTGTTGATTAGGGATGCGGTAGAAGAGAAGGACAGGAATTAGGCCGACCTCCAAAGTCTCTTCCAATTTAGAGGGTCAGTTATTTAATATATGACTTGTCAAAGCCGAAAGACACATAGAATAGGGGCTTTACCTTCAGTGGCAAGTATTTGAGTCAATATCATCAAGTGTGTTCTTTAAAAATGTTTATAAATAGGTCCCAGCATTTTTGAGAGACCCTTCTGGGATCATTTTAGAAAGGATGAACAAAACAAAACAAAAAACAGGTGAGGTGCATTGACTCACGCCTGTAATCTCAGCACTTTGAGAGACTGAGGTGGGTGGATTGCTTGAGCCCAGGAATTCAAGACTGGCTTGGGCAACAGAGAGAGAACTTGTCTATGCAAAAAATAGAAAAATTAACCAAGCATGATGGTACACCTGCCCATGGTCCCAGCTCTTAGGAGGCTGATGTCGGAGGCTCACTTGGGCCTAGAGTTTGAGGCTGCAGTGAGCCAGGAGCAGTGAGCCGTGATTGTGGCACACTGCACTCCAGCCTGGGTGACAGAGTGAGACCTCGACTCAAAAAAAGGAAACCAAGGATGAGAACTATTTTAAGTTGGGTCAGAACTCAGTTTGTGAACCCAGGGCTGCTGAAAATTAAATTTGGTCCTTAGGAAAAGCAAGAAGGTTGGTGGTGGTGGGGGGCCGGGAAATGGCCAGTAATAATGAACAACACAGATTGACATGTAGACAAGTAGTAGGATCATGCTGGGTGTGGTGTCACACATCTGTAATCCCAGCACTTTGGGAGGCCGAGGCGGGTGGATTGCTGGAGGCCAGGAGTTTGAGACCAGCCTGGCCAACATGGTGAAACCCCGTCTCTACTAAAAATACAAAAATTAGCTGGGCGTAGTGTTGCTTGCCTGTAACACCAGCTACTCGGGAGGCTGAGGCAGGAGAATCACTTGAACCCAGGAGACAAAGGTTGCAGTGAGCCGAGATCATGCTACTGCACTCCAGCCTGGGCGACAGAGTGAGACTCCATCTCTCAAAAAAAAAAAAAAAAAAAAAAAAAGTGGGATCATCATGCCACTTCTATTCGGGATGATGACTAAATCAAGAGGGGGCTGTTAGTGGGTGCTGGGTCCTCTGCTTGGCCGTGGAGAATGTGGAGTGACCTTGAATGTCTCCTCCCACTTCCTGTCCCGCACTGTGGATTTATATCCCCAGGAGCACCTTGCTCAACAGCATCCTGACACCAGTGATGAGATGGAGCCATCTGATTGCTCTTCAGTTTAGCGATAAAGAGAATACAGGGCAGATCAATTTAAAGACATTTTAAAGTGGGATTTTCCAGGAAAACATATGTTTAGTTTATATCAGACAATAAATTTGTAATTTGAATTAAAAAAAATTTTTTTGAGACAGGATCTTACTCTGTTGCCAGGCTGGAATGCAGTGGCGCAATCATGGTTTACTGCAGCCTCGACCCACTGGGCTCGAGGCATCCTCCCACCTTAGCTTCCTAAAGTGCTGGGATTATAGGCATGAGCCACTGCTTCTGGCTTAAATTTTTTTTAAATTTTTGCATATGTATTACTTATAGCTTACATATGAAATTTTTTTTAGTTTAATTCTGCTTAACTTTCACTGAAATATATGCTTTATTTAGAATCCGCCCTGATTATTTAAAACTTTTAGATTCCTCTTCCTGATATTTTTGGATTACTTTTGTTGTTGTTTTTGTTGTTGTGCAGGTCACTGCTTGGACTAAATCACTTAGCAAAAGTTTCTTAGCTCTGCAAAGAGAATAGAGGTTTATCTCATCTTTGGAGAATATTGTAAGATGATTTTTGTCTCCACATGATATATGCTTGCATTTTGGCATTTGAGAAATCAGTATTTGGCAAGAAAGTGCTCTTTTTATATGGGATGAAGCAATTTTGGGGTGCGCTGACTTAACAAATGGCAGTTTTAGATGTATGTGAAAAGCATAGGCAGGACCTAGTTATTTAGAACTAGAGTTGAAAATTTTTGTACATTTGATGACAGGCCTTAGTCTCCTTTGTCTCTGTATCATTTATGCCTCACATGGTGTCTGTCACATCAACTGTGCTTGTTGAATTGCTGTGATTTGGTTCCCTGGGCTACATATAGTGGGTTTGGGGGAAAGTTGGGCTAACATGCCTTTTTTTTTTGTTTTGAGACAGAGTCTTGCTCTGTTGCCCAGGCTGGAGTACAGTGGTGCGATCTCAGCTTACTGCAACCTCTGCCTCATGGGTTCAAGCATTTCTCCCTGCCTCAGCCTCCGGAGTAGCTGGGATTATAGGCTCCCGCCACCATGCCCAGCTAATTTTTGAATTTTTTTTAGTGGAGATGGGGTTTCACCATGATGGCCAGGCTGGTCTTGAACTGACCTCAGGTGATCCTCCCACCTCAGCCTCCCAAAGTGCTGGGATTAACAGGCGTGAGCCCGGCCTTTTTTTAAAAAAAGCAAAATATGATAAGAAGTAATAGTTCCCAGCTGGGCATGGTGGCTCACGCCTGTAATCCAAGCACTTTGAGACTACCTGTGGTCCCAGCTGCTTTGAGAGGCTGAGGTGGGAGGATTGATTGAGCCCAGCAGTTCGAGACCAGCCCGGGCAACATGGTGAAACCCCATCTCTATAAAAAATACAAAAATGAGCTGGGCGTGGTGGCATGCACCTGCAGTTGCAGCTACTTGGGAGGCTGAGGAAGGAGGATCACCTGAACCCGGGGAGGTTAAGGCTGCAGTGAGCTGTGCTGGTGCCACTTCACTCCAGCCTGGGCAACAAAAAGAAAATAAAAAGAAAAACAAAACACAAAAAACCAGTTGTCAGCCTTTTTGTCCTTTGAGTATCAGGAAGCCATATACAACTCTCTTAGTAAAAACACCCGCATTCAGTCAGTGGCTGCTTGTCAAAGTGCCGGAGGAATTGAAAACTCCCTCTCCTCTTTCTATTTTTCTTCTGCTGAAAATGAATTGCTCTTGGTGTGCTGTTCTTAAATTCATGTGTCCTGTGTCCATTTTAATCTTGTTATCTATTTTTATGGTGACTGTCGCCATGGTACTCATGCTCCTTGCATAGCACAACAGAGATTTCCAACGTCTGATAGGACAGCTCAGAGTTCTGCTGCAGCCGGGAGAGAAACTGTGTGTGAGGAGTTCTTTTTTAAATTGAGGTGTAATTTACATACAGCACAGATCTTAAGTGTGCTGTTTAATCAGTTTCGACACATACGTATGGAGACAGAACATTTCCATCACCCCAGATGAGTTCCTCGTGACCACTTCCAGATAAGCCCCACCCCCAACCAGAAGTACCACAAATCTGATTTCTATTGCCATAAGTTAGTTTTGCTCAGTAGGTTCTAAATATTATAATTTTGTCTCTCTCTCTCTTTTTTTTTTTTTTTTAGACAGTCTTGCACTGTTTCCTAGGCTGGAGTGCAGTGGCACAATCACAGCTCACTGCAGCCTTGACTTCCCCAGGCTCAAGCCATTCTCCTACCTCAGCCTCCCAAGCAGTTGGGACCACAGGTAGGTGCCACCACACCCGGCTAATTTTTAAATTTTTTTTAGAGACAGGGTCTCACTGTGTTGCTCAGTCTGATCTCAAACTCCTGGCCTTAAGTGATTCTCCCACCTTGGCCTCCCAAAGTGCTGGGATTACAGGCATGAGCTACCTGTGCACAGCCAATTTTGTATTTCTAAGGACTCTATAGGTAGTGCTTTGAGGAGGAGGCAGGGGGTGCGTGTCTGTTTAAAAAGCAGTAACCTATGTGGTTAGGAGTCCCCAGTGAGTGAATAATAATGTTTTAGAGTTTGTGCAATGGGATGTTCAGATTCTTTTTTCTCATTAGCTCAGGGGATTTGGATTTATATTAGGAATCCTGATTCCCATCTGAAAGAGTCAAAACCACAGACAGCTAGGCCTGGTATGGAGGAAGTGTGATTGGGCAAGGGCTGGCTTATTAGGGAACGTGTGTGTTGTGTTGGAGTGCTGCAGTGCTGGGTTGGAAGAACTGGAATTACTCCTAGGACATCCCTTTGGATGATCAGAAGTCCCATTGACATACTTTCTCTTTTTTCCCTGCCTTTTCCTTGAACTAGCATATAAATTTAACAATCCACAGAGTTGCGGAGTTGGGCTTGTAATATTGAAACAAGATCTGTGCTGCAAAGCCCACTGCTGACTGGAAACGCAGATGTGCACTGCTGAGCTCACAGCCCCTGGGAAGCATGGCCCAGATTCAGGGTGAAATTGCCCCCAAACATATTATTGAAATGCATTGAACAGGGACTGTTTCTTTTCTTTTTAAAAAAAAAATTTAAATGAAAATTTCATTGCGCAAGTTAGTACACGAACACATTCTCTGGAGGGGAAAAATGCAAAACTTCTGCAGCAATCAGAAAGTTTTCCTTGATGACTGTTCCTAATCCCAGTCCCTTCCCCAGAGGTCCAGCACTTTCATGGACTTGCTGTTCTTCAGATGCCTCACATACTCACATCTATACCTATAGGACTTACAAAAAGTTAAGTGCATTGGCTGTGGATTACGTAAGGTCTCTTTACTGAATTGCCTCTCCCTCCCTCAACAGGGTGCTTGGTGATAGTTCCCGGCTCCTATGCAAAGGTCTCCTTGATTTTGTTTAACCTCTGCCCGGTCTCCCTTTGAATTAGAAGGCTACACAAGTACTTCACCTTTCCCTAATTCATGGGCACTTCAGTCATTTCCAGATCCTTTACTGTTAAAAACGCTGATACCAAAAAACATTGCTGCACAGACCTCTATAGCACCTGTGAGTTTTCTCTGGGGTAGGTACTGAGAAAGTGGAACTGCTGGGCCGTAGGGTTCTTGAGTTGTACATTGTAACAAAGATGCATTATGGGGTCAGTTCCTCACTTAGAGTTACTGTGGGACGGGGGATGCCTGCCCTGTGCTCAGACATTAAGCAGTTATTTGAAGACAAGGGGGCAGGATTTAGAGTGTGCTAGGTGGATGCTCACCGGCCTCACAGGTCGCACATACCATTGCTGGTTTGTGGGAAGGGTTGGTATTGGGAAGGGCTCTTCTGGGCCTCCTAGTTAATTCTACCTGGTTCCCGCCCCCCAACCCCTGAGGACTTTGACCCGTATGTTGATAGTGGTTGTGTGGAAAAGAATCACAGGCCGAACGGGCAGCCCGTTGTGGACTCTGGATGGGAAATTCTAAACTCAGTTCACTTGGCCTGGAGACCGTCACCGCACCTGCGGTTCTTCTCCAGGCTGCCTTTGTAATCCAGTGTGGCTTAAACACTCAAGCAAAGCGTGAGGCGTTTGGAAGCATGATGTTCTTTAAAGGCATCTAGAATGCGGCCACGTGGCTGTTATTAGCAGTTTATGTTAATTACAGAAGAATGGCATGTGCCACTGTTTACGATTCTGGCCTTCATCTCTATCTCTCTATAGAACTTGTGGAAAACATGAGAATTAATCCTATCAGATCAAACCCATGCATTTAGGAGCCAGTGTGGCAAGGGAGGGAGTGGCTGTGCCCTTCCCGAAGACAGCTTTGTGGCCGGTTGTGGGCCGGTGTCCCTGGCCACCTGGGTGGGGAGAGGCAGAGGCCCCTTTGCAGCCTTCACGATTTTACGTGCATTCAACCTCAAATCTCCATGCAGTCTGTAATGAAGCAGTGCTAGTTGGAGCCTAGGGCAACCCCACTCGTGCATTCATTCACTGTCCAAATGCAGTGTGCACTTCATTTGCCTTCACTGGGGTATTCCAGCATCCCCTCTTTGGTCTCCAGCTGATGTTAGTGGGGCCTCCCTTTTCTGTCATTTCAATATTTGGTGACCAAGTTGGCATTCTACTCCTCTCTCCAACTTGGCGGATTCTCTTGGGGCCCTCCTGGCCTTGATCCTTTGTCCTGAAGAGCGCTGCCTTCTTAGCTTGCCCTCCCTGTCACACAGCACATTTAGGTTAATGGTCCTCTGGCCTCATAAGTCATCTTTTTTTATCCCCGCCGGCCCTGAGACAGGGTCTCACTCTGTTGTTCAGGCTGGAATGCATGGGACAATTACAACTCACTGCAGCCTCAACCTCCCAGGCTCAAGTGATCCTCCCACCTCAGCCTCCTGAGTAGCTGGGACTGCAGGCACATGCTACCACGCCTGGCTGATGTTTGTATTTTTTGTAGAGATGGGGTCTGCCTGTGTTGCCCAGGCTGGTCTTGAACTCCTGAGCTCAAGCCATCCTCTGCCTCGGCCTCCCGAAGTGCTGGGATGTGACTGTTTCCATAGAGCTCTTGCATGGTTTTCATTTTTTTCTTACCATCTATTACACTGCCCTTGTTGATGTTAAAATTTACTGTATTTCCCCCGCATTTGCACAAACTCTTTCTGATAATTTTCCGATAGGTTTGGCTCTTCACTGCCCGGGATTTGGTGTCTACTTTTTTTCAGGTCAGCATTTATCGCGCACTTTTGCTAGGCACAGTGCTCAGTATCCAACATGCATTTTCTCACTGTTTCCTCTCTCAGACCTGGGGGATCAGAATCTCTAGGAAGGGGAGCTTGGGAACTCTTAACAAAATCAAGGCACTTCTGGAAAAAAAAATTCATTGCCTCATTAAAGCCCCAAATTATCCTCTGGGATAGGATCAATACTTTTTCTCATTTTGCACGTGAGGAAACTGAGGCACAGAGTGGTGAGGTCATTTGGCCAAAGTCACAATGGGGAAGTTTGAGCTTTTTTTTAAAACTATTTTTTTTTTTGAGATAGGGTCTCACTCTGTCACCCAGGCTAGAGTGCAGTGGCATGATTTTGACTCACTGCAACCTCCTAGGTACAAGCAATTCTCATACCTCAGCCTCCCCAGTAGCTGGGATTGCAGGTGCCCACCATCATGTCCAGGTAACTTTTGTATTTTTAGTAGAGATGAGGTTTTGCTATGTTGGTCAGGCTGGTCTTGAACTCCTCACCTTAAGTGATCCACCTGCCTTGGCCTCCCAAAGTGCTGGGATTACAGGCGTGAGTCACTGCGCCCAGCCGGAAGTCTGAGCTTAAGGCAGCCCTGACTGTTTGTGCATTCTCTTTGGGATATTTGTAAAGGGTGAAATAAGAAGAATTGTCGCCCTGCTCCTGGGGGATCCCATGCTTGATTCTTTGCTGTCATAATGCACATTTCCCGTTCCATGCCACAACCACTAATACCACATTAGCCTCTTGGTGACTCAAGTTTTTAAAAACAAGGAAGCTTATGTGGTCATCTAGTTTGGTCTGTCACTTGATGCATACATTTCCTGGCTGTACAACATAGTAGAAAGAGCATAGCTTGTCTGGGTCTGGTGGCTCACACCTGTAATCCTAGCACTTTAGAAGGCCGAGGCAGGAGGATCGATTGAGCCCAGGAATTCGAGAAAAGCCTTGGCAACATGGTGAAATCCTGTCTCTACAAAAAATACAAAAATGAGTCAGATGTGGTGGCACGCACCTGTAGTCGCAGCTATTTGGGAGGTTGAGGTGGCAGGATAGCTTGAACCTGGGAGGTCAAGGCCGCAGTGAGCTGTGATCGTGCGACTGCACTCCAGCCTGGGTGGCAGAGGGAGACCCTGTCTCAAAACAAACAAACATAGCTTTTGAAATCAGACACATTTGGGCTCACATTCTGAGTTCTGTCATTTTCTAGCTTCGTGGCCTTGGGAAAATTACTCACCCTGAGATTCAGTTTGCTCATCTGTAAAATGGGAATGATGATGGTATTTATAATCTCATGGGTTATTTGTGGGGGATTAAATGAGACACAGTCTGCGAAATGCTCAGCAAGTTGACTGGCACTTAAGTCTTTGATAAATGATAGCTGTTAGAACATTCCTGAATGCACATCAGTCTTTGAAAGGCCACGGATTACATATAAGGGTTCCTGTTATTCTCTTGTCACTTAGATGTGATTTTATTTCTTGGGAACATCCTACTGCCTTTTCTTCAAAAGATTCTCCTCTTCTGCTGGCCTTGAACTAAGTCCAGTCTACCTGCTGGCCTGAGGTGGCGGGGGTGTGTGTGTCAGCCCCCTCAGTTGTGTTCCTGGGGCAGGCAGAACTCACCAGCACCCGGTGCTGATTTTATCCCTTCCTTCTCTGAAAACTCGGAGAGTATGTGCCAGCTGCTGTCTGCGATTGATGCACATTTATTTTGTCACTTGGGCTCAGAACGTCCTCACCAGTGAGCAGCTTCTGATTAATGCCGCCACCCCATCCATTTCAAGAAAAGCTTCAGAGAGTGGCACCCCAACATCCTAAGCTGGGACTGGGGTGAACTCTCATTCAGCCTGTTTCTCCATCTCTCTTTCGTCTCGAAACTCATTCTCATGCCCACAGTTATTGGGGCATAAAGATTCCTTAAATGGCTTCCTCCAGAGAAAAATACGTTTAAGGCACTTCCTTAGTGGTTTGAGCCCTGGGCGAGCCCCTCCTCCACTCCGTTTATTTTCCACTATGTATTTAAATCTTCCCCGATGGTGCCTGTCTTCTCGTCACTAAGGCTGACTTTCTGTTTTTGGGGTGAAACCTGTGTCTCCTTCAACCTCCAGTCACTCAGTGGATTTTTTTTTTTTAGATTCATAACATATTTTATTTTGACTTATCTAACTGATGTCAAAAATGGAAAATGTTCACATGGATATTCATCTAACTCATGGGCTCCATTCTAAAAACCCCCTTTTTAAAAATCAGGCTTCAGTGTCAGATTGCTGAATGTTTTTTTCATTTTCCTGAGAGATGCAAATGTTCATTCATTCATCTCATTATACAACACAGTACATAAATGTAGCTTCAGAGCGTATTAAGTGCTTTTATACACAAGTGCTGGCTGTGTGGACCAGGTGGTAGCTCATTTAGGCCCCAAATTCATTAAGGGCAGGGTCTGACTCTTAGGCTTCTTAATATTTGGTTTGGTGCATGGTCAAGAGCTGGACCCACATGTTGCATAGCAGCAGGGCTGATATGTTTAAAGACGCTGGGCTTTTTCTGCTCTGGGGCCCTTTCCCGGGGGTTCCGGTGAGTCCCTCCCCAGGTGGGTCTGCCCCCACCCGTGTGGGCGGGATTAGCTCCCAGAGGCTGGCCAGGCCCCACCTGGGGGAGGCTTGAGGGCAGGGCCCCAAGGCTGAGATTCAGGCTTGGGGGAACAGAGCAGGAAAGAGACCCGGTACCGAAAGTGAGCGGGGCAGGCACCTAGTCACATGGGTAATGGGCAGGGGTCGGTCACTGGCTTTGGCTCCAGGGCCAGAGCAGTCTGACTTAGTGTTGAGCTCCAAGCATGGAACACTGGAGTTGGTTCATTTTGACCAGCAAGCCTCTAAATGGGTGCCTTGATTACCCACCGCAAGGAGAGGGCAGTTGCCTTTTTATGACATGTTAATTCCAGCCAGGTGAGTCACCAGGTAGCTCTCATCCTCCTGCCAGGCTCCCCTGCCTGTCGGTTTGGCATTGTCAGATAATGTGATCATTCATTGAAGTGACATTTGAGTTCCAAACCAGTTTTCTCCTTTAACCATTTCACCCTCAGGAGTGATTCTCCTTTGTTTGGCATTGTCAGGGAATGTGATGATCCATTCAAATGACTTTTGAGTTCCAAATAGTGTTTCTACTTTAACTTCCTAAATGAAAAAAAAAAAAAAAAAAATTGGCCAGGCACAGTGGCTCATGCCTGTAATCCCAGCACTTTGGGAGGCCGAGGTGGGCAGATCACTTGAAGCCAGGAGTTCGAGACCAGCCTGGCCAACTTGGTGAAACCCCATCTCTACCAAAAAGGCAAAAATTAGCCCGGCATGGTGGCAGGCACCTGTAATCCCAGCTACTTGGGAGGCTGAGGCAGGAGAATTGCTTGGACCTGGGAAGAGGAGGCTGCAGTGAGCCGAGATGGCGCCACTGCACCCCAACCTGGTCGACAGAGCGAGACTCTATCTCAAAAAAAAAGAGAAAGAAAAGAAAGTAGAGTCCATGTTCCTGTGTTCCTCTGCTTTCTTCAAGGAGCGAGAATGTAGGAACCCTTTTTGTCCTCTTGGGATTGGCACCTGGGGCGTTGTTAGGCTTTTAAAACTCTCACGTCTGTGTTTTATATTTTTGGAATGGCAGCTTTTTTTTTTTTTTTTAATTGGCAGCTTTTGCTTGTTGTTACTGCAAGTGCTTCCAGTAAATCCCTTCTCCATGAAACTCACTCTCTTCCTCTGGATCCCCCCAACTCACCCTCCCCAGGCCTGAGCCGCGCCTTGCTGCTGGGTCTCCACTTGTGGGGAAGAGAGAACTGGACCAGGACAGCGCGGGAAACTGACAATGCCACTGCTTGCTAGCTTTGGGATTTTGGACAAATAGGTGACCTTTTTGAACCTGTGTTCTCAGCTCTAAAATGGGGATAATGTTGTTCCTTCATATTTTATTGAGTTGCTGGGAAGTTGGGAAAGAAGAGAAGCCCCCAGCGTGTGCATTCAAGAGAGTATAAACCTGAGTGCCATTCAAGCATTTGTGGGTGCTTTGAGGTCCTGTGCAGGTCTCTTAGAAGTTTACCCTGAAGACTGCTAGAATTGCTAGTTCTGTGAGGCTTGTTCTCCCCAGGGATACTCGGCTCCTGGTTCCCTCCCTCCAGTCCTGGCTCTGGGTAAAATGCCAAGTCAGCAATCATCCATCTCCCCACCTCCTTCTGGAACTGTCATGTGGTTTGAGAACAGTTTAAATCAGGTTTAACCACACTGCACGCTGCCCCTGCCCCACCACATACATGCACGCCCCAGCGCCCCATGCATTTACAAAAACACTGCAGGACAACTGCGTCCCCTCACCCAGACATCTGTCAGCATAGTCCTGCTTATACCTGCTTCCTTCTGTCTACCTGTTTTTAAGGAAACCCTGTCTTGGAAGCAAGTTCGAATGCTCTTGATACTTTTGCCTTCATTTTAGGGCCAGCAGCAGGTATTCTTTCTTATAACACGTTTTTCTTGAATCTGGGCCTCTTCTTACCGCTGGAAGATCAGCTGTTTAAGATCAGTCTAAGGAGGCTGCAGTCCCATCGGTGCCAGTAGAGAGGGTTGTGGATTCCTGAGCCCTCACTATGTGCCAAGGAGTGTCCTAAGAGCTGTCTTGTGTAATAGGGTAGTGTGAACTCCAGAGAGTCGTGAACAAAGGCACTGCGTTTCTGAGAGCAAATGGGGAGGTAGGTGTGAAGGAAGGGGAAGTGTATTTTTTCCTGGGTAGAGCTGTGGAAACGCTTTCCTGCCAGCAGCGCAAACAGAAACAGTCTCTTTTACTTGATTGAATGACTGTTGTGCAGTCAGACCAGCAGGAATATTTGTTGATCAGGATCGTTTATTATTTGCTGGAGAGAATTTGCTGTAAGCAGATCAGATGACCTATTTTTATGGCCCATCTGCTGGAATATGAAAATAGTAGTGTTAGTTGGGAGTCCCTTCTTCCTCCTTTCCATTACTGTATTACATCTATTACTTAGAGTAATAGGAAGGCTGGATGCTCAGTTATAGGGTATGCCATCAAGAAAATACCAGCCCTGAATGGGAGTTGGACAATTATTCTGGTCCCTATCAGTCTTGATATTCTATCATTTTAATTTTACTGGTAGTCTAAACTATTCTACACTGATGCAGTGTAGTCCAGTTTTTTAAAACCTTCAGAAAAAGACAATAATTAGAATGCCCTGAGAATCCACATTGTCACACTCTGACCAGCTGATTGAGAACTTGAATCAATCACCAATATGCTCAGTGCCATGTGTCTGAAGCTTGTACTGTGAAAATCCTAAGTACACACCACACCCCTCTTAAAAATAGGGTAACAGGACCTGGTAATTCCAGAGAGCTAGAAGTTTTAAGTCACGGCTTTTGATGCTCTTGCTAAGGCCCTGGCTTTCTATTGAAAGCCAGGAGGAGTTTTCTCCTATTTCTTCAAAGAAAAGGTCCATGTATGCTTAGCGAAGTGTCTTTTTTTTTTTTTTTTTTAAACTTTCTTTGGGGAAGACATACCAGGAAAAAAAAGGCTTGAGAACCAGCCACCAGGTAGCAGTTGGGTATGGGATGGGACAGTTTGCTTCTGCCAAGGTTCAAATGGTGACCTGCAAACCAGGAGGACCATAAACATATTTGCATATACTTACAAATATGCTTGCAAGTACTCATGGCATTTGTCAGCAGAGATGTTGGCTAAGAATTGCTGAAAATGAATTCTTTGGGAATCTTGTTCTCCATGGAGTTCCATTGTGAAATAAGAGATGCAAACATTCACTGCAAACATTTTGGCCTTTGATTATTTATTTATTTAGAGCTCAGACGATCCTCCTGCCTCAGCCTCCTGAGTAGTGGAACTATAGGCGTGTACCACTATGCCCTGCAAGTTTAGAACATCACACTGAAAAACTTAAGTAAAAATGTTATAGATTTAAAGGAAAAATTGGCACTTTTCTGATAAAAGATAAAGAATGATATGGTTAAATATTAACCAAACACCTAAAAACTTAAACTGTTGTTCCTGCAGTGATACCCGGTGGAGATAATAAAATATACAGAGAGCTGAGTTTAGCAGAGAACTGAAGCTCTTGGCAGGAGGGTTTATATCCCTCAGTTGACCTATAAATTATTCATTAGAGAAGTAGCAAGCACCCACGCTTTTGCAAATAGGAGTCTTACTCCAAACTTCACCCTTCTTAAGTTAAAATAAACCCCACGAGTTGTGCAGTGAATCACTTTGACTTATGACTTGTGTTCTGGAAGTGCTGCTAGGTGATATCATAGCTCGCTGCAGTGTCCCTGGGTGGTAGGAGAGCACAGCCACCGTGCGTGTGTGTGTGCACGCACACAAGTGTGGGGGCGTGCCTACGTGTGCTGAGACATGTGGTTGTCCAGCAACAGTTACATGACAAATAGCAGTTTGCAACCCCGAACCACAGAGAGAGTTTGTTTTACTGTTCTGCCTGTTCCAGTTCCTTAACTGATGGCAGATGTCCTCATTAAGGGCTATTAGCACATCAGAATGTGTTTGCTGAGCCCAGAAAAGAACTAACTCCTTTTGGACATGGACTGAAAGATGTTATCTAGGGTAGCCAACCCCTCCTGTTGGTGACGGCAGTAGGGAGTGAGGAACACAAGAGGGCTTGGTATCCCCTTAAAACTTTCCTGAGAAGCCTTCAGCACGAGTTTGTTTCAGTCAGGGAATTCCATAAGAGGAGAATGTAAAATCATAAAGTGGGATTTGGCTGTGTGTTGAACTACTGTTATTGTTACCCGGAAATAGGTGTTTCTTGATTTCTCTTGGCTGCTCCAGAACCATATGGCAAACTAGGGGATGGCTGGTTTATAGGGACCATTGATAGCTCCCAAGAAAGAACTTACCAGAGGAGTGAATGAAGTGGAGATTCTGGAGGAGAGAGGTTGGAAGGAGGCCACCGCTGGAATGGTGGAAGTGCACCAGGTGGGCAGGACCCCCGGAGTGATTATGAGGCAGCAGGAGGTCCTGAAAAGTCACGGGCGGCCCAGAGTTAACCTTGCTCCTTGACCCACCTGTTGGCAGACCTTTGCTGATGCTGTCATTCGCTCTGAGTCCCCAAAGACCCTTGGTTACTTGTGCTGTCTATCGAGTTGCATCTGTAAATGTCATGAGTGTGCTGATTAACACAGGCGAGGCATCGAGTGATGCCTGGTGATGCTGCCCAGCCTGGATTAGTCTAGATTTGTATTTCTCCCACTTCCATCCTATTAATCCCCAGTATAAACTTGGCTAAAGTTTTCCCTGACTTTTTGGGTTGATTCCATTATCCCTTTGCGTGCCCTGCCAGAGGGCAATATGTGTATAAAGGTCTTCCCCAAACCTGAACTGCTAAATGATTAACAGTGGCTTGGGCTGCTTAACAGGGTCAGATTAAAGCGTTGACCTTTATCCTGTAGGTAAGAGGCCAAGATCCAAGTGGAGAAGAGATTTTTTCAAGGAATGAAAGTACGTGAGAAAATGGATGTGTAGACTTTTAGATCAGGAGCTATTTTTTCTTTTTATCTTTTTGAGATGGAATCTCCGCCTGTCTCCCAGGCTGGAGTGCAGTGGTGTGATCTTGGCTCACTGCAACCTCTGCCTCCTGGGTTCAAGTGATTCTTTTTTTTTTTTTTTTTTTTTGAGACGGAGTCTCACTCTATCCCCCAGGCTGGACTGCAGTGGTGCGATCTCAGCTCACTGCAACCTCTGCCTCCCGGGTTCAAGCGATTCTTGTGCTTCAGCCTCCCAAGTAGCTGCGCTTACAAGTGCACGCCACCACACCTGGCTAATTTTTGATATTTTTAGTAGAGATAGGGTTTCACCATGTTAGCCAGGCTGGTCTTGAACCTCCCGACCTCAAGTGATCTGCCTGCCTTGGCCTCCCAAAGTGTTTGGGATTACAGGCGTGAGCCACTGCACCTGTCCAGGAGCTATTTTTCCCATCAAGGTTCACTAACATAGGGAAAAAAACACCAAGTTGATGAAAATCAACTTAATTGAGTGTTTTATTTTGAGAGATCCCACACCTACTAGAATCATGGCAGGATTGTGACCTCTGACACCAGACAGACGTGAGTTCATACTCAAGGCTGCAGTTCCTAGTTGTGCAGCTTTGGCATCCTGACCTCTCTGAGGTTGTCACCTCATCAGAAATAGAAGACCATTGGTTCATCTCAGATCCTTTTGAGGATTAAATTAGATACAATTTATGAAAGCTAGTACCTCTTAGGCACTTAATAAAGACAGTTTCCCTTCCTTCTTTCTCTTCTGCTTTTAAAAATTAAGATTTGGGAGTACTATAAATAAAGCCAATGAGAAAATGTATTTTGGTGTGGAATTCTGGCCAGTTAAAGGAGAAAGGGGACAGGAGGGCTCCAGTCAGAAGTGGCAGGTTCACCAGCTCCATGCGAATCCGGCAGGCCTGGAAGGTTGCAGGCACAAACAAAATAGGCAGTAGAAAGCAGTCTTTAAATTAAAAAAAAGAATAAGGCTTACAAAAAACATCGACCGAGTTTGTTGGCCAAACATTTCAGGCGCCGTCTGAAGACTGGGAGCCCAGGAATTTGGGAAATACTACCCTTTCTTCATTTTCAGTGGTAGAAACCCCAAACTTCCTGCTCTAGAACGTGGGGAGGCCATTAGTTTTGTTTTGTTTTGTTTTGTTTTTTGGCCAAGAAAAGTGGTGCAGTTTCTTTCTCTGGGTTGATGCTGCCATCTCATGTCTCTACATGGCATTGCGACTTCACCTCTGGATCCTATCAGCCCAGTGAAATTGAACTGAGAGTTAGAGGTGCTCCATTTTAGCCTGAGGCTCCAAAGACGAAGGTATGTAGGTGACAGTGTTTTAAAAAACAGTTTAAGGCCAGGCACGGTGCCTCATGCCTGTAATCCCAGCATCTGCCTGCCTGCTGAGGCAGGCAGATGGCCTGAGCTCAGGAGTTTGAGACCACCCTGGGCAACATGATGAAAACCTGTCTCTACTAAAATACAAAATATTAGCCAGGCGTGGTAGCGCACACCTGTGGTTCCAGCTACTTGGGAGGCTGAGGTAGGAGAATTGCTTGAACCCAGGAGGCAGAGGTTGCAGTGAGCTGAGATCACGCCACTGCACTCCAGCCTGGGCAACAAAGTGAGACTCCATCTTAAAAAACAAAAAAAAAAACCCAAACAAAAAAAAAACAACCAATTTAGCTTAGGTATACATTTTTTTCTTTATAGTGGCAAAGAATCTACTCTTTACATTTGTCTCCCTTTTTATTGTTACAGTGAAGCTTTCAGCGAGAGTGTTATTGGATGTAGTTACCAGATACCTAACTAGGAATTTCTGTCTGCGTGCTGTGACTCCAACCTTTTCCTTATATTATTTTATTTGCTTTCTGGAAAATTCATGGTGGAGATACTATGCCAGTAGATTCTAACCTTGAGTTTCTGCATAAAATGCTCATGAAAACCAGCATTTTGCCCCTTTACTCAATATTTGCCAATCTATTATTATTCTTTACAATTCTTTTGCCATTTTGGTTTTGTTACTATGGAGATGTTTGCGAACATACCTTGCTGGAATGATTTGGAAAGAGGCTAGGATTTGGGAGGTGTGGAGATAGTGTGGTACCCACAGAAAGAGAGCCTGGGGGGCTTCTGGACAAGGGTGAAAAGGAAAGAAGGCTTATGCAGCTGTTCAAAGATAGCTTGAGCTAAGGGCTGTGCCACAGGTGTCTTCTTCAGGTGGGTGGGATGGGAGGGGCACACCTGAGTGGAATTAGCCCCATAGGCACTGGGGGTGGGGTAGTCAGCATTGATGCTGAGGTCCCTGGAAACCCTGGTGTTTTATACCTGCTGTGACCCCACGGCACCTGGGATGTGCTTTGCACATAATAAGCAAATGAGCGAATAGTAGGGAACAGAGGACTGGAACAGCAGAGATTAGGAACTGAGGAGCCACGTGTGCTCTGTAGGAGGAGGGCAACCTGAATTTGCAAAGCACTGGGTCTGACTCGTCCCCTTCTGCCAGCCGGGTCAGGCCTGGGAGCACTGCAGGTCAGCTGGTCCCCTGGTAGGGACCCACTTCGAGAGGCCTGTTCAGATTCTTGCACCAACTACCTTTGCCATCTGAACAAGTCACTTGTGCTCAACATCAGTGTCTTCAAGTGTAAGATGAGAGGAACCTGGTTCATTTCTTTTTTCTTTCTTTTTTTTTTTTTTGAGTCTGAGTCTTGTTGTGTTGTCCAGGCTGGAGTGCAGTGGTGTGATTTTGGCTCACTGCAGCCTCCCGCCTCCTGGGTTCAAGCAATTCTCCTGTCTCAGCATCCCGAGTAGCTGGGATTACAGGCATGTGCCACCATGCCTGGCTAATTTTGTATTTTTAGTAGAGACAGGGTTTCATGACGTTGGCCAGGCTGGTCTTGAACTCCCGACCTCAAGTGATCCATCTATCTCAGCCTCCCAAAGTGTTGGGATTACAGGCATGAGCCACCACGCCCGGCCAAGCTCGGCAAGTTTCTGTGGCTCTTTGCAGCTTTGAGCCTGCTGAGCTTGAGAATCTATGTGCATCAGACAGACGTCCTCAGGCTTTGACCGAGCAATATTGTATCCTGGAAGTTGCCCTACGGAAGCCGTGGTTGATGTGTGTGTGCTGAGGTTTAGCTCAGAGGATGCTCACTGCAGGCAGAGAAGTTTAGACAGCAGACCATTGGGTGCAGCCTTTGGGTACAATAAATAATAAGAGATTAGAATAGGAATGGTGCATCCACCTAGGAAAATGCTGAGTGGCTTCTAAACATGTTTTTATAAAATAATATTGAATGATATAGTAAAACTTACACAGTTAAGTAAAAATACAGTTTACCAAACAACAATCCCATTTTTACAGAAATAAAAGTGTAAATACATGCACAGAAGGAAGCCTGGCCTGCTGCATAGGAAGAGTGGGCCTCCCTGGGAGGCAGATTCCTCAGTGGTTTGCTTTTCCGATTGTCCTACTAGGAATGGATATCACTTTTGTAAAAGGGAAGGATGCTAGAAGTTGACTTTAAAGGGTTCACTTATTTTAGTAGACCCTTCCTGGCTCCTGCTGTGTGGGGCTCCCTCCTGAAAGCTTCCTGATTCCCCCAGGTGATGGGCAGAGGCTTCAGTGTCCCCTTCGCCTCCGCAGGAGAGGAGAGGCAGCAGCATGGCGAGTGTCCTGTCCCGACGCCTTGGAAAGCGGTCCCTCCTGGGAGCCCGGGTGTTGGGACCCAGTGCCTCGGAGGGGCCCTCGGCTGCCCCACCCTCGGAGCCACTGCTAGAAGGGGCCGCTCCCCAGCCTTTCACCACCTCTGATGACACCCCCTGCCAGGAGCAGCCCAAGGAAGTCCTTAAGGCTCCCAGCACCTCGGGCCTTCAGCAGGTGGCCTTTCAGCCTGGGCAGAAGGTAGGTTGATCCCAACATGGACAGGTGTCCCGTCTTGCCAGTCTTGGGGTAGGGGGCTGGGGTGCCCTAGTGACAGGCCGGAAACTCTCTGGGCACCGTTTTGAGTGCAGACCTTTGCCCTCCAGCCACAGGGCACCTGGGCAGCAGATCGCCCAAGAGAATATGACATTGTTAGTAGACCCAGGGCTTCTCTACCACAGTGTTGTCTGTAGAAGGTGGCAAGACCTAGCATCAGACGCTGTGGGCTTTGGCTTGCTCAAAACCTCAGTTTGAAGGATGACCATAACCACGTTTCTCTTAATCTGTCTCAGTTTGCAACTTTAGCAAAGGAAGGCATCTCAGGCTTATGAGAATCAGAGAACATTGCATCTTTGAATTCCCTTTAGACACTTTTAAGACTCAGAGATGTTTGTGTAGTTGGATTCGGTGTGGATTTCCTTTTCCAGCATCCCTGCCCCTGTGCCAGGGCCCTGGGTCTGATGTTATGAGGTCCAGGTGCCTGGGGTTCTCTTCTGTTGCCCTCTCAAGGCCTCCTAAATGAGGACTCTACCTCTGGCTCCCTGCCAAGGCTTGTGCCTCCAGGCCTCCCTGCCTGTGAGAGAAGGTGGCCTGCCAACTTCCAGGTCCCCCTGTTGAGAGGTTGGCCTGTCTCTGCACCCCTGCCACCTTGTCCCCAGGTAGACTCAGCATCCTTTGAGTGCAGGATAATGAGCAATTCAGAGTGGCAGTTGGGCACCAGCAGACAGGCAGTGCATCCGGGTCAAGGAAGGCAGGATGATGAGCACAGATTCTAGATTCAGAGAAAGTCCCAGAAACTGACATGTTTGCTGTCTGCCAGTCTAGAGAGCTGATAAGGATCTGTCTTGGGAGGAATTGGGCCTGTGTGGGTGCTCAGGTGGGAAGCGAGTACCTGGGAACATCTGCTTGAATAAAAGATGAGTGAGGCAGAGAACATGGTTTGTGGCAGGCAGATCCTGGCTCCTGGGACGTGGGGTGCATGAGAACTTCAGGGCGAGACCCATCCAGGGCTGACCACTAACTGCTGTCCCTCTTCCCACAGGTTTATGTGTGGTACGGGGGTCAAGAGTGCACAGGACTGGTGGAGCAGCACAGCTGGATGGAGGGTCAGGTGACCGTCTGGCTGCTGGAGCAGAAGCTGCAGGTCTGCTGCAGGGTGGAGGAGGTGTGGCTGGCAGAGCTGCAGGGCCCCTGTCCCCAGGCACCACCCCTGGAGCCCGGAGCCCAGGCCCTGGCCTACAGGCCCGTCTCCAGGAACATCGATGTCCCAAAGAGGTTTGTGTGGGAGAAGAAACTGGGTTTTAAAAGTCACGTGGGTAGTGTGGTGTAAGGGTGTGGGCTGTGTTGTGGTGGGGAAGAAATGTGGTGTCATTGGCATCTGGGTGCCAAGATATTGGGACAAATGGGACACAGAAAAGGGGAATCTTTTAAGAAAACCAGAGTGGCATCTTTTCTTTCTTTTTTTGAGACGGAGTCTCACTCTCTCACCTAGGCTGGAGTTCAGTGGCATGATCTCGGCTCACTGCAACCTCTGCCTCCTGTGTTCACGCGATTCTTCCACTTCAGCCTCCCGAGTAACTGGGATTACAGGCGTGCACCACCACGCCTGGCTAATTTTTGTATTTTTTGGTAGAGATGGGGTTTCACCATATTTATTGGTCAGGCTGGTCTCAAACTCCCGACCTCTGGTGATCCACCTGCCTTGGCCTCCCAACGTGCTGGGATTACAGGTTTGAGCCACCATGCCTGGCCGAGTGGCGTCTTTTCTTTTCCATAGCTCTATTATGGGCAATGTACCTTTGGTTGGGCATAGGGCTATTTTTTCCCCTCTCATGCTTAAACTGAATCAGGTCATAGTTTATGATAAGAGACAGGGAAGAACTGGCTTAAATCGAGAGTCAACAAACTTGTTTTGAATGGGCCAAAGAGTAAATAATTTAGGCTTGATGGACTACACAGTCTCTGTCCCCACTGCTCAGCTCTGCTGTGGTGTCCAAACAGCCAGGGGTGATGCAGAAACAAATGGGCATGGCCGTCCTCCAATAAAACCTCATTCATGGACCCTCAAATTTTAGTTTTATATACTTTCCATGTGTCACATGTCAAGAAATTATATCCTTCTTTTAATTTTTAAAACTATTTAGGCCAGGCGCAGTGGCTCACACCTGTAACTCCACCACTTTGGGAAGATTGCTTGAGGCTGGGAGTTTGAGACCAGCCTGGGCAACATAGGGAAACTTTGACTCTACAAAAAAATAAAAAAATTAGTCAGGTATGGTGGCTTTTGCCTGTAGTCCCAGCTACTTAGGAAGCTGAGGCAGGAGGATTGCTGGAGTCCAGGTGGTTGAGGCTTCAGTGAGCAATGATGGCACCACTGCACTCCAGCCTGGGAGACAGAGCAAGACTCTGCTCTAAAAACAAAAACCAAACCAAACCAAACCAAAAAACAAACAAACAGGCTGAGTGTGGTGGCTCACGCCTGTAATCCCAGCCCTTTGGGAGACGAAGGTGGGTGGATCACGTGAGGTCAGGAGTTTGAGACCAGCCTGGCCAACATGATGAAACCCCGTCTCTACTGAAAATAGAAAAATTAGCTGGGCATGGTGGCGCATGCCTGTAATCCCAGCTACTTGGGAGGCTGTGGTATGAGAACTGCTTGAAGCCAACCTGGGTGACAGAGTGAGACTGCATCTCAAAAAAAAAAAAAAAAAAAAAGAAAAAAAAGAAAAAAACCCACAAAACAAAACCATTTAAAAATGTAAAACCATTCTTAGCTTGAAACCCTACAGAAACAAGCAGCAGGCTACATTGGGTCCACAGCCTGCAGCATGCTTACCCCTGGCTTAGATATTCAGAACCACTGGTGAATGAAGAATGTATTTTGCTTTAGAATTTTGTGATACAACTTTTTTCTAAGAATATATATCCTAATTTCTATGTTATATGCTGTATGTACATTGATCTTTTAAGATTTAAAAGGAAAATCTGTCGACTGAAATTGTCTTATATACAAGATGTGCAAGCAGTCACACCCTATCCCACCTCTCTGTGTTTGTCTATGAGTGCGAAAAAACACAGCAGACCCAGTATTTTGAAACCAAATTAGAGCAGCAATATTTGTGATAGTGTATTCAGTGGAATGCAGGTAAAGAATTTATTTTTCTGTTCTATGGAAATGAAAATTCAAAGATCATACAAAAACAGAGGTGCTAATGTGTTTCACGTTTTAATAGTCTTGGTTTAGCTGCTTCAAACCCAAGTCATATTTTGGCGGACCTGAATTGTAAGGAATAAATTAAGACAGCTTTTTGAAACAGACCACTTAGAAGTTTATTTCAGACTAACTTTTACTAATACTTTAGCATTAACTTGTAGACAGCTCTAGTTTTACTTCCAAATAATGTAGTGATATACGGATTTTTAAAAAATTATGTGTAACATTTTATAGAACTCTGCTGTATAAAGCATGGACACTTGCATTGGGAGATTTATTTTAGTGCTTCTGGTTTATTTGCACATTGGCTTGGGTAGTAGGTTCTGTTGACATTCAGAAGCTGTCAGAATGCCTTACCATTTTTCTTGGGGGAGGGGTGGGAGAAGGTGGTTAGTGTATAATTGTTCCCTCTTAAATTTAAATATGGGACAAGGAAAGGAGGTAATTGTTGTGCTTTTGAATTCCAGTGGGCATCTTTTGTCCTCGTGTTCATTTCGAGTCTATCCTCTTTCCCCTAAATAAAATTCTCCTTTTTTTAAGCTGCAGAGTTCAGCAGCAAAGTCATGGGAGAATGGGGCTGTCTCAGGGCGTCACAGTGGGATGAGACCCAGCGGCTTATACCGGGGCTGCCTAATATTAGAAGCATCACTCAGAATGGGTACTGCTCAGGAAGAAGGGGAGACCTTCATGTTTCACTGAGTTTATATGATCTGAGCACACACTGGCTGATTGGAGTTGGGGGCACTTGGAGGGGACAGTCCAGAAGTGTAAGATGATTGTGTGAAACCAGCCAGAAGTGGTGTCTCGTTTTGCAAGGACCATGGGCCCGCCATGCCAGGAAGTAACATTTCCCACTCATCCGTGTGAATCCAGGAAGTCGGACGCAGTGGAAATGGATGAGATGATGGCGGCCATGGTGCTGACGTCCCTGTCCTGCAGCCCTGTTGTACAGAGTCCTCCCGGGACCGAGGCCAACTTCTCTGGTGAGCAAGCGGGGCCCAGCTGGGTTCTGGGCATGGTAGAGGCCCACGACAAACATCCTCTGTGCAGAGCAGCTAGTTGCCTATGTCACCAGCCTGGCAATAGAATGTCCAGGGACACCTCCCACTGGCACCTCTGACCGGCTGCATGCCATGGAGTTAGATGCTTCCGTTCTTTTTCCTCAGTTTCCTCACCTGGGGAGGAGTTTCCTGGTACATTGTGAAGATGGTTGAGCATGGGACTGAGCTGCAGTGGCCAGTGGAGTAAGTTCTTCAATGGGAGTGGCTGAGCCCAGCACTTTGGTGGGGTCTGAATGAGGCCAATAGAGGAATATTTAGTTCACAAAGTAGCAATATGCTAAATGGTCTCCTAGTGGCCTCAGAAAATTCATGCCCTCATTCCACGTGCCTAATTCAGCCTCATAAATTAGTGTGGGCCTATGGGACAAGGACCCGGAATAAATGAGCTAAATTCTAAAGTAAATCTAATTGCTTAATAAAAACCAGTGATTCAACTTCAAGGCAAATTTATTAAAACAAAATTGCTATAGTTGCAACCCCAAAATACTTTATCAATAATATGAGGGAAAAAAGGGTTGCTGAGTATTTGTCAGTAGTTTGGCAAGACTGGTAGTGAACCTGAAGTTTTTTGGGAAATTCATGGCAGGGCTGGCCTACCCTACTCCCAGGGAAGAACTTCTTCATTGGTGGACACCTAACTGAATTGCAAGCTACTTATAAACTTACAGGAAAATATGGAGTTAGCTCTGAGCACATAGCAGGAGGAAAGTGGCCTTCATAAGTATCCCTCATAAGGAATCTCCCTAAATAGAAATTAAACATAAAGGAGAGAGAAAACTTACTTTCTTGACTCAAAGTCAGCTGTCAATGACTAGGCTGCCAAAGGAAGTCATTGCATTATGAGGACACCTAGCTGTGAAGCTTAGTATTGCATGCCTGCTCTATTAGCGCAGCCAAATAGGGAAGAGGAAAGGAGTTAATTTCTAAGTTCTCAGGAGAGTTTAGGAGATCTGGATGGTTGGGTTAACAGTGGAAAGATCTAGGAAAGTGTCCTAAAGAAAGAAAAGAAAATTATTGACTCCAGTTCCCATCATGAGGGTATGTATAATACATGCATACACAAGTGCACATCAACGTAGAAGCATCTCACTGATGATATGCCATCATCCTGACAATTTTAAGTCCCTTTGTAAAAAAAAAAAAAAAATTGTCTATTAAATTTTTTTTGATGACAGTATATTTTTTATCTTATAGCTGAAGTCAGTGGAAATATAAGGCTTCCTTGGCCTAATTATCTTGAAGTATTCTGCAAAGTGTGGTCTATACAACAACCAAAACCTTGACTAAGAGAGTCGTAGATACTATTTGCACAAATGCCACATAGTCCCTTTGGTTTCTGTGTGGTTAGGATGGCATGTGTGTGTGCATGTCTATGTATAGAAAACAGGATTATAAATATTTCTTAAAAGTTCACTTGTAAGCTCTGAGTGCCGTGCATTTGTAGAGCAGTACTTTATTTTCATGGTATAGAAAGTGTATTTATTGCCTGTGTCCTAGAAAAACTTATGATCAAAGATGGAGTCACAACTTACACATTAACTTATAACTTATAGATAACGTTTTGCTTTATGTTTTGCTTTCTTTGTGTGCCAGTCAAAATCTGCCATGCAGATTTCATGCATTTGAGCCATTGTGAGTGGTTCCTATAGGGAAGGGCTACCGCATTTGTAGGGTGTGCCTGCTGCTTGACCTGCTCTTTGTCCCGGAGTCCTGAGCATCCTAGATGTTGCCATGTAGTATTCTGCTCACTGCCCTTCTCTCCCTGATCGTTTTCCTATCAGTGGATGTGCGTGGGTCTTTCACCTGTTGGCCTGTTTAATGATTCTTGTCTTCTGCCCTGAAGGTGTACCCTTTTTTAAGCACACATGTACATGTAGTAATCTCTTGGTTCCCAGGAAGGGACAGTGATAGCTGTGAGACATGACAACAGTATCTGGGCAGGGAAGAGTTCTTCCTCCATCTCATTCTTTTTGGGTGGGCTGCTTCTAGGATGTGAGATGTAAGGAGAGCCTGGACTAGAAACATGGAAAGATGGGAGCCTGTGCCGGGTAGATCCCTGATTAGCATTGAAGGAGTCTGGACTATGAGCAAGAGGAGAGAAAGGCAGCAGGATTTTATCCTGGCCACAAGGGATGTGCTAGTAGACCTTGGAATCCAGGGTTAGGGGGCTCTGTGGAACGCCCCTGTTGGGAGTTGGGGCTTTTGAGGACAGGTAGCTTTTTTCCCTCTCTCTTGGTATTTCCACATATCAGAATTTCAGATTCTTCTATATTATAAATTCACCTGGATTTTTGGCCAAGGAGTGAGAGTCTGGGTTGGGCCCATGCAGCCTGCAGATGTGCTGTTTAAAAACGGAAGATTCTCCATGTCTGCTGATGCCCGTCCTCCTGCTCAGAGGCATTCAGGAGCCCAGCAGCTGCTTCAGGGCCATGTCAGGCACGAAAGCCCCCTGCCACCTTGCGATGACCAGAATTGCTCGCAGAGCTTGTCTTTCCTCCTCCAAACATGTTACTTCTTGATTAAAGCAGGTTCCACCTGGGCTGCAGCTAGCACTGGGAAATGTTGTGCACCCTCCTGAGAGTTGCAAAGGCTGAGTTGTTTGTTCCACCCACAGGTTTCTATGGACTGGCCTGGGTTTAGATGATTGAAGAGCATTTTTCAGGAAAGCTGGTCAAGAAGACCTTTAAGTTGGCGTCAGCTGTAGGAAAATGCTCTGGGTGGTACCCAACACTCTGGGTGTGCCTGTTCTCAACCAGGCCTGGAGGCTGCAGAGGCTTTGCCCTTCCCCCTCCCCATCCCCCCTTTATTTAATGTATAAAGTGAGAAACAGGCAGCACTTTGGGAGGCTGAGGCCAGAGGATCGCTTGAGGATAGGAGTTTGAGACCGGCCTGGGCAACATAGCAAGACCCCATCTCTAAAAAAAAATTTTTGTTTAAAAAGAGAAATTTCAGTTAGGTTTCTCTTTGTATGAATCCTATACAAAGCAAACTTGCAGTGTGTATCTGTTGGTCAGTGATGACCAGGTGGCTATGGTAGGAAATGTCTGCGAGGGTAGAGCAGTTCTACCAAGAGAAATTGCTGCCATGAATGAACTCCTCTCCATGTTTACCGAAGCTCAGAAGGGAGAGTTTGCCCAGGGACACGCCCGTGAGCGTCCTCTCATCTTTTCTTCATCTGGCCAGCTTCCCGTGCGGCCTGCGACCCATGGAAGGAGAGTGGTGACATCTCGGACAGCGGCAGCAGCACTACCAGCGGTCACTGGAGTGGGAGCAGTGGTGTCTCCACCCCCTCGCCCCCCCACCCCCAGGCCAGCCCCAAGTATTTGGGGGATGCTTTTGGTTCTCCCCAAACTGATCATGGCTTTGAGACCGATCCTGACCCTTTCCTGCTGGACGAACCAGCTCCACGAAAAAGAAAGGTACGTGATTGTGGTGTGAGTGGGAGCCCAGGCTGGAGCGGATGATGTCTGTGTGGGGACAGCCAGCCGTGGAGAGCAGGGGACCCTGCAGGCCCTAGATAGTCTTGGGTTCACTCCCATTTCGGTTTTTTATTGCTGCTTCTGTTACCTGGTGATATTCCCAGGATTCTCCTTCTCCTATTTAAAGCCTCTTCTGTTTTAGCCTCCACCCCAATCCCTGCCTTCTTTCCTGTGTTTCTGCAGAGGTCTGCGTGGGAGAGGCCTCCAGTAGGGTCTTAGCCACAGCATGGAGCACTGCTGTTGGCCACTAGGACCATCTCTTAGATTGGGGCTTTCTAGCCCCTGGTTGTAAGTTTCTCTGGTCCCAGAGAACCCCTTTCCTGGAGGTTTTTGTTGGGTCAGGCCGGGGACAGCAGCCAGTTTGAGTCCCCACTGGGTAAGGTTGAGCGAGGGATAAGGAGAAAGACATATCCACTCACCCTGTCTTCCTTTCCTGTAGAACTCTGTGAAGGTGATGTACAAGTGCCTGTGGCCAAACTGTGGCAAAGTTCTGCGCTCCATTGTGGGCATCAAACGACACGTCAAAGCCCTCCATCTGGGGTATGTGCGAGCCCAGGGCCTCTAGCCTAGGGTCGCGTGTGGGTGTCCCTCCACCCTGCCGAGTCCCTGTGACCCACAGCCCACAGTGCTTTCAGGAACGTGGCTTGCTGGGAACACCCCCTGGTGTCTCTTCCTGGCCCCCTGAGAAAGACATCCTGGTGAACATTGTTGCTGTTGATGGGAAGGGAGCTCTGTCCATCTTGGGGATGTGTCTTCTTGCCTCATTGCAGGAAGCAAGATGTTTTAGTTCTGGGTAGAAACGGGGTCATTTGGTTTAGTTGCTGGTGAGACCCCGTTTCCAAGATGTTTAGTGGCCAAGCACTGCACCACCCACTCTTCCTTGGGAGTGGGTCTCCGCTAGCCCCACCCTGGTGCCTCCGCCGTGTTCTGTGCAGAGCGAGTTTGCAGGCTGCTAGTGGTAGGAGCTGACTCATGGCCCTGGGGGAGAAAGCGTGACTGCAGGCAGGTGGGGCCCAGAGAGGGCTCGTGGTCGTGCTCAGTGTGGGATGCCTCCTGCCAGAGGAGAGGTTGGCACATGTTCCGGGAGAGAATGAGCCTTAGGTGCCAGGAAAAATAATTCCCGTTGATGTGCAACACATAATCCTGGTGACACCCGTCAGGAGCGAGGCACCTGGGTGTTCTCTTGGGCTCCGTCCCTGGCTTGCTGGGTGGCCTCAAGCAATCACTTCCCTCCCTACCGCGGTCCCCGCTGGGTTTGAAGGGGGCAGGGTGCCCCTGATTATACCGCATCTCCCTCCCACACAGGGACACAGTGGACTCTGATCAGTTCAAGCGGGAGGAGGATTTCTACTACACAGAGGTGCAGCTGAAGGAGGAATCTGCTGCTGCTGCTGCTGCTGCTGCCGCAGGCACCCCAGTCCCTGGGACTCCCACCTCCGAGCCAGCTCCCACCCCCAGCATGACTGGCCTGCCTCTGTCTGCTCTTCCACCACCTCTGCACAAAGCCCAGTCCTCCGGCCCAGAACATCCTGGCCCGGAGTCCTCCCTGCCCTCAGGGGCTCTCAGCAAGTCAGCTCCTGGGTCCTTCTGGCACATTCAGGCAGATCATGCATACCAGGTATGGGGCGGGGCTCGCTGGAGGCTCAGGCTCATAGCTGACTCATCACGGGCCAGCTTGATTACAGGCTACCGACCACCCTGATGGAAGGCTGAGCCCTTTGGCCAAATTGCTAATCTCTTCTACAAGGAAACAAAAGGAAACCGAATTCACTGCTCAATAAATGTGGGAATTCCTGGAGTTATCTACATTGGCAGCTGTCATGAGTGGTTACTAGGAATCTAGCTAAATCCCTAAGTAACTGGGCGATGGATTTGGGTGGGGGAATTGTCACACCTCTGCTTATAAGAGAGGATGGAGTCGTGTAGTTGGGCTTCCCACGTGACGTCTAGGTCCTAGAATTGTGTTCTGTGGACAGACAGTCCAGCACGCATGTTTTGAATACTTCCTGCGGGCCAAGAATTGGACTAAGTAAGACTTTCAGGTTGAAGAAGGCTTAGTCCCTGCCCTTGTGGAGGGCATGGTTCAGATTGAGAGAGAAATGAATATGTAACTATGGTTAATTATAATAACCAGTCAAAGTACTAATTACTAGAGGCATGAGAAGGTGTTGTAGGTACCAGAGGGACCAACCTATTTTGCCCTTGTGGATGAGAAACTTATCACAGAGGGTGATATTTAGGATGGTCTTCGCTGCATGTAGTAGGTACTCAAGGAACATGCAGCTTGCTGTGTGCTGATATTTCTTAAAATTCTTTTGTGCCTATTTTATCAGTCTGTGGGCCAATTTGCAAATTAGTTATTAAAAGGTATTGCTTTCAGTGAGAAAGCTTTATGAAATGGGCCAGCCCTCCTCCTTGTTAGAATGAGTGGCCGCTTAGCGATTTCATGTTTGGCCCACTTGGAGCTGTGGCTGACCTATGGGGCCCAGACATGTAGCTGGTGTTTTCACAAATAGCCCTGAACCTGGATACCCATGAGCACACTACTACTCTCAAGCAGTTGCTGGAAGATCCCATATCTTATCCCAGCCATGCCCCCTAGACGCAGAAGGCTTGGGGCCTCTTTTGGCACGTGCCATGGCATGTTCTTGGTAGGTGATCCAGTTGAGAAGTTAAATCTTCTGCGGTGATTAAGTCATGAGGCTAGCACGTAGACCAGCGCTGAGGGAAGGGTTCCAGGATGAGATTGGAGCCTCGCAATAAGGAGACTACTGCAAGGCATTGGATGATACTCCAGTGTTGTCCTCGAGAAAGCCGAGTGTGTCCCAGCTCTTTCTGGTCATTGCACTTACGCAGAGATGCACCTTCTGCTGCTGTCATGAGGCTGTGGGGATTGTGGGCAGACTCTGAACACTTCCTGAGCTAGAATCCGGGCTGACACCCTCGTCTTCCGCAGGCTCTGCCATCCTTCCAGATCCCAGTCTCACCACACATCTACACCAGTGTCAGCTGGGCTGCTGCCCCCTCCGCCGCCTGCTCTCTCTCTCCGGTGAGTGTGCGGGCAGCACGGCTGGGGCCTCGTATGGCCGAGGGCTCTCCCACACATCCCAGGGCTGGAGGCCATCCCTTGGGCACGGGGCACGTGGCCACAGGTCGGTGTGGCCATCTTGCTTTCAGCCCCCAAACGTGTTGAAGATGTCCTTGTGCTGCCCCCTCCCTGGCACTCCCCATCTGGCCATAGCCCCTCGCGGAGGTGGAAGGAGGCGCTTGTAGAGGATGTCCAGAGCAAGCAGGTTTCTTGCCAAGAAAATCACCAGGCGAGGCTGGGGTCAGTTGCCCCATCAGCTCCTAGTGCCCGTGGGTGTTTTTAGGATTTTAATGCTGAGGAGAGGAAGGGGGAGAATGTGGAGGCTGTGTGGGCTGGGTCAGAAATCTCAAGGCCACTGGAGACAAGGGCCATAGGTGGACCCCCAACTCAAGTAAGCGGGAAGTCATTTTGAACTCTACCTAGCAGGCGCTGGTCTTGAGTTATCTCCTGCAGGGCGGTGTCACACTGTAAATCAGATTGCCAGTGATGCCACTGAGGCAGTGTGAGGCTTCCAGGCATAGCGGCTCCGTCTAAGTCCCCTGCAGGAGAGCCTCAGAGGGGGCCAGGTCCAGTGGCTCCCCTGTCCTTGTCCTTGGCTGGGTCCTGAGTGTGGCATGAAGGCCTGCTCCTTCCTCACTCTCCTGCCAAGAGCTCCCCTCGGCTGGAGTGTTCTCCCTGAGAAGGTGCGAGGCCTTCTGCACCAGGAGCTGGGGACGGGTGGCTGCCTGTCTTTTAGGATAGCTCCCTCACCTTTCCTGAATGTCCCTGTGCTCACAGCCCCTCTCCCCACGCCCAGGTCCGGAGCCGGTCGCTAAGCTTCAGCGAGCCCCAGCAGCCAGCACCTGCGATGAAATCTCATCTGATCGTCACTTCTCCACCCCGGGCCCAGAGTGGTGCCAGGTGAGATGTCCGCTGTCGTCCCCTGCCTTCTGGTTTCTGTGCCCTGTCTCCAGTGGCGTGGACTCCGACCCCACCCAGATGAAGTCACCAGGGTTAGTCCCCAGAGAGGAGCCCAGATGGCGGATGCACCAGATGGGATGACTGTTTGGTCCTCAGAGCCTCTGGCCCCTGGTCCTGGTGACTTTTGCCGGGAGCTGCCCCTTTGGCCTCTGCTTGTTCTCCCAGCCCCACTTGGCCACTCTCCTGGGCCCACCACCTGTGTGGGGCTCGATTTGCATTCCTCTCTTTCTGCAGGAAAGCCCGAGGGGAGGCTAAGAAGTGCCGCAAGGTGTATGGCATCGAGCACCGGGACCAGTGGTGCACGGCCTGCCGGTGGAAGAAGGCCTGCCAGCGCTTTCTGGACTGAGCTGTGCTGCAGGTTCTACTCTGTTCCTGGCCCTGCCGGCAGCCACTGACAAGAGGCCAGTGTGTCACCAGCCCTCAGCAGAAACCGAAAGAGAAAGAACGGAAACACGGAGTTTGGGCTCTGTTGGCTAAGGTGTAACACTTAAAGCAATTTTCTCCCATTGTGCGAACATTTTATTTTTTAAAAAAAAGAAACAAAAATATTTTTCCCCCTAAAATAGGAGAGAGCCAAAACTGACCAAGGCTATTCAGCAGTGAACCAGTGACCAAAGAATTAATTACCCTCCGTTTCCCACATCCCCACTCTCTAGGGGATTAGCTTGTGCGTGTCAAAAGAAGGAACAGCTCGTTCTGCTTCCTGCTGAGTCGGTGAATTCTTTGCTTTCTAAACTCTTCCAGAAAGGACTGTGAGCAAGATGAATTTACTTTTCTTAAAAAAAAAAAAAAAAAAAAAAAAAAAGAGTTTCTGGCTGATGGGTGACTCAGAGTGCAGGACTGCCTGGCCGTGGGGCAGAGGGGTTTGCCCTTCTCGGAGGGTACCTCCTGTTCCCTGTCTGAGCATCCTGCATGGAAGTCAAAGGAAATCCCTTTCTTGGTGACGACTTAAATCTGGGTTCCCTCAGACATTGGGTTGCACCCCAACAAATATTAAATGGCTTCTTCTTAAAGCCCAGAGAAAGAGGTTTTTTAAAAGACTGTCGCCAAATAGCTGAGCCAAAAGGCTGATCAGAATTCACTTTTTGGAATGTGGCAGTTAAACACTACCTTGATCATTCTCTCCTCTTTCCTCGAGGAACTCCTGGAGGGTTTGAGCGTCTGGAAACTCTCTGCTCTGACCCGAGGAAGCACCCTCCTGACGCCGCCTTCCTCCGGTTATTGAAAGGACGCCTCAGAAATGCTTTGTTTTCTTTTACGATGTATTCAGAAGCCTTTACTGATTAAAGTTTTCTTTTATTTGGGTGGCCGGGAGAGACCCAGGGAGGTTCTGGAGGTTCCTTTCTGTCTCCTGGCCCCACCAGGGATTTCCCCATTTCTGTTTGCTGCCTGAAAGCAGGATGAGGAAGGCCAAGGAGAGTCCTTGCACCCGTGAGCGTCAGGATGAGGAAATGACAGGAGGAAGACGTGGGTTTGGGTTAGTGGCTGCTGGCGTTTTGGCCCTTGGTGTTTCTGGAGCCTCCAGGGATCTAGGGGAGCCTGGGCTGCGTGCATGTCGATAAGCAGAGCTGTTCTTGGGGAGAAGGAGGGAGGTCTCGGGAGTGTAGCACCATGCCAACCAGCCCTGCGCGAAGACAGAGTGAGCCACGCCCGGATGGCAGGGCATGTTTCTGTTTTGGTGTCTCACTTTCCTCCCAGCGTGACTTATTTGGGGATTCCTCAGGGCCTACTGGAATGTGACTGCCCACTGCCCAGCTGCCTCGGGTACAAGTCCTGGCCCTATGTCCCAGCTGTCAGGGGCTCAGGGAATCCTACCCAGCCACCTGTCCTGGGATGGAGTGTCAGCATCCACCCCTTGGTTGTCATCGAGGCCGCCCTCCCAGTCCTGGGTGAAGATATTTGGGCCACCAGGGCTCCCTTGGCCCCTTCACGTAGGAAATAGACACGTGCTTTTTAATGCAGGACACTTTGAGTGTTACAAAATCTGTAGACCTGGCAGTAGGGTCATGATGTTGGGAAGGGTGTAGTGCCCTAGGTTGGTGACAGAAGGGACAGACACTTGTGCACAGGTGTCTTTGGTGATGGGGTTTTTTTTTTTATAACTTAGTAAAAAAAAAAAAATGTATGTGGAATTCTGTCTCTTGGTAAAGCTCAAAGCCAGGCTAGCCTGAGGTGGCGCAGGGCTCTCCTTCCTGTCCCTTCGATCTCCTTGAGAATTAAGAGCTGGCAGCTGCTGATGGTGTTTCCCAACCCCCCTCACTTCCCAAGACAACCCCCAGCTTCAGGTCCTCATGGGGAGGGGAGGGCACGTTCTTGACACATGGGAACTTCGCTCAGGAGGGCCTCCCCTTCCCCTCTCCCTCAGAGTTTTCACTGCCGTCTCGTCTTTAGAAAGCTGTTTGAATTCCCCCCGCCCCCAGTTTGGACCGTGTAGATATAACTGGATATACGGATTTTTCTCTTTGTGCAGGCTTCTTATGCCGTTGGTATACAGGGCAGGAAAGAGAGGAATAAAGGGAGAGAGCAGTGTGGAAACCACGGTGGTTTTGCTTTGTTCTTACTAGGTTTTGGTGCCACCTTCCCTGCCTGCGCTTGTGCCCCCTCTCCTCCTTGGCACTGGCGGCCTCCTTGCCTCCCTTCCACCCGTGCTGCCATCCCGTGCCTGTCGTGTTGGTTCTTCACACGTGCTCTGTTCTCGGGGTTGTTCCATTCATGCCTTCTTGGAGGGTGAGGGTGGCTTGGGAACCGACCCAGTGATCATGCCTACTTTCTTCTTTGTATCTCCCTCCTTCCCAGCCCACCCGGGCAGCAGACTCTGATGGAAGGAAGGTGCCGTAGGTGGGCTTTTAGAAACTAACGGGACTGGTTTTCAAAGCAGTTATCTTGGGAAACTGTTTATTCCAGCGATGTGACTTTTTTCAGAATATTTCTTGGAATCATATTCAGAGTCTGGGGCTGTGTGTTGAGCAGCCTTAAGGATGCTAGACACTCATTTAGTGCCCAGGGAGTCCAGCGAATGACGTCTGTGGCCAAGCGAGGTCTCAGGTGCAAAGCAAAAGGACCATTTAAAGTAAAATAGCTTGGATTCAATCATGTGACTTTTAAATTGGCTCAGAAAGCAATTTTGTAATTTCAGAGAGTGTTTTGAGCCATGGCCACGTTGTCATTGTGAGTCTATAGCTTGACTCCTTGGAGAACAATATTCATTTGGTTGTGGAGACTGATTTGCTGGGAGAAATCTGTCCTGTTACTTTCTGGTCATCCCAGGTTCTGACTTTTACCAGGGGCAAAAAAAAAAAAAGCAAGAGGGAGATAAATCCCATCTGTGAGTTTGTCTTATTGGCGCCTTTTTCCTCAGCTGTCTTCCAAGTATTATTTTTACTGTTAAAAAATTTTTTAAAAATGTGAAATGTAATGTTTTTACAGCAACAATATGAAATATATTTTATAAGGAATAAAATGGTACCTTGTCTGATTTAATGTGTGCCTGTCCTTTGCCCCTTCCCTTGCAACAAATAAGATTATCACTGTCCTTGTCCTTGGTGTTACACAAATGGTAGCATATCACACTGTAGCAAAGTATGACGTTGATTCACTTATACTAACAGTAGGTAACGCTTCCCAATGACTAGGCCAAGTGTATACATGGGTTCCCTATTATAAATAACCCTATGAGAGAGTGCTGTTATTGTTCCCATTTTGCAGATGAGAAGAGTGAGGCACAGAGGTTCAATAACTTGCTCAAGGTTATAAACTGGGAAATAACAGCACTCCAGGCAGCATTTTCTGCTGCTTTTCTTGACAAAGGGGAGCATATTCTTGACTGCATTCCTGAGTCTTTTGAGGAGCAAGCAAGTGACATGGGAGAAAATAAAGTCACACGCTACCTATCAAATGGCTTCTGAACATGGTCTGCTCCATACAGACATCAGTTCCAGGTGCTGCGATGGCCCAAGTGGCTGGCAGAGCTGGCCTAGGTGGGAAGGCTGTTGGAAGCAGAAGGCGTCATTCCACCCAGGGGCTGGTTTGTGCAATTTCAGTTGCTGAATTTTAAGAACCACTTAGTGAAGCAATGATAGATTCCAAGAAGACCAAGTCAAATAAACCAGGCTT